>NC_000012.12:99581340-99884370 GCF_000001405.40 Homo sapiens | reverse complement strand
AATGAATGTTTACCTTTGTCAGAAACTGCCAAACTTTTCCAAAGTGGCTGTAATATTACATTCCCATCAGCAATGTTTCAGAGTTCCAATGGCTCTGCATACTTGCTAATACCTGCAGTTGTCTGTTTTTCCCCCATTCTAATAGGTGTGTAGTAGCATGTTCTTGTGGATTTTTATTTACATTTTCTAATGACTAATGACAGTGAGCATCTTTTCATGTACTTATTTACTATTAAGTTGTTGCAAAAGTAATTGTGGTTTTCAGCATTAAGAGTAATCACAAAAACCGCAATTACTTTTGCACCAACCTAGTATCTATGTATCTTCTTTGGTGAAGTTTTCTTTCAAATCATGTATTTATTTTTTTTAATGAGTTGTTTGTTTTCTTAAGTTTGGGGAGTTTTCATATAGTCAGATACAAATCTTTTGTTTGATATATGATTTGCAGATTTTTTGAGACAGAGTCTCACTCTGTCACCCAGGCTGGAGTGCAGTGGCACGATGTCAGCTCACTACAACCTCTGCCACCCAGGTTCAAGTGATTCTTCTGCCTCAGCCTCCCAAGTAGCTGGGATTACAGGTGCCTGCCAATGCGCCTGGCTAATTTTTGTAGTTTTAATAGAGACGAGGTTTCACCATGTTGGCCAGGCTGGTCTTGAACTCCTGACCTCGTGATCCACCCGCCTTGGCCTCCCAAAGTGCTGGGATTACAGGCGTGAGCCACTGTGCCCGGCCGATTTGCAGATTCCCCCCTGCCCCAAGTCTATGCCTTGTCTTTTCATGGTCTTTACAGGGTCTTTGGCAGAGCAAGAGTTTTATTTTGATGATGTCCAATTTATCAAAATTTTTTTTATGAATCATGCTTTTGGTGTATCATTTCCTAAACTAATGTTACTAAGATTTTTTCCAATTATTACTCAAAAAACTATATTTGATGTTTTAAATTAGTTTTATGTTTTATGTTTATGTCTATGTTCTCTTTTAAGATAAGTTCTGTATAATGCGTGAGGTTCTTTTTTTGTTTGTTTGTTTTTTTGCTTCGAAACGTCCATTTGTTCCAACACCTCTTATGGAAAAAACTATCATATCTCCATTGAATTGCCTTTGTACCTTCGTCAAAAACCCATTGATCATACTTTTGTAGGCCTAGTTTTGGACTCTGTTTGCACATTGAAAATCTCATCAGACAATGCTCTGTTTTTTGCTCTTAACTGTTAAACATACTCTAAATGACTCAGGGTGAAAGAATAGTCTATTATATTTACCCAGAAATTTACCATTCCTGTTGTTCTCTCTTCCTTTCTGATGTTCCACATTTGCATATGGCATCATTATCTTCTGGCTGAAGAACTTTCTTTTAGTCATTCTTGTAGAGAAGTCTGTTGCTAATGAAAATTCTCTTAGTGTTTCTTCATGTAAGAATGTCTTTATCTCATTGTTAGTCCTGAAGAGTATTTTTGCTAGATACAGAATTCTGGTTTCATGGTTCCTTTTTCTCAGTGCTTTAAAAATGAGTGCACTTTCTTCTGGCCTCCATGACTTCTTTTTTAAAAAAAATTATTTTTCTTCTTATGATTTCAGTAGTTTTGGGGGAACAGGTGGTGTTTGATTACATGGATAAGTTCTTTAGGTGGTGATTTCTGAGATTTTAGTGCACCCATCACCCAAGCAGTGTACACTGCACCCATTGTGTTGTCTTTTATCCTTCACCCCCTTCCCCACCCTTTCCCGCAAGTCTCTATAGTCCATTATATCACTCTTATGCCTTTGTTTCCTCATAGCTTAGCTCCCACTTCTGATGAGGGATCCTCAGACTTTGAAATCATTGCTTCCCTGTAAGTAATGCATCATTTTTCTTTGGTTACTTTCCAACATTATTTTCTGTAATTTTTAGAAGTTTGATTATCATATGTCTAGGTATGGGTATTTTGGGGTTTATTCTTTTTGGAGTTCACTGAACTTTTTGAATTTCTGGGTTTATGTCATTTGGCAAATTTGGTCAGTTTTTAGCAATTACATTGTTTTTCTTTGTACTATACTCTCTCTTCTCTCCTTCTGGGACTGGGATGATATACATATTAGGCATTGTGATATTGTCCTACAGGTCCTGAGGCTCTTATTTATTTTTTAAAGTATTTTTCTCTATGTTGTTTAGATTGGATAATTTATACTGATCTGCTTTCAAGTTTATTGATACTTTGTCATTTTTATTCTGTTACAGAACTCATTCAGTGAGTTTTCAAAGTTTTGCTATTGCATTTTTCAGTTCTAAATTTTCCATTTGGTTCTTCTTCACGTCTTCTATTTCCTTGCTGAAACTTTCTATTTATTTCAAGAGTGTTTTTAATAGCTGCTTTGACATCTTTGTCAGGTAATTCTAACATATGTATCATCTTGGCATTGATGTCTGTGAAATTTCTTCCTCTATGTAATTTGAAATTTTTCTGGCTCTTTGTAATGCTGAGTAATTTTGTATTATATTCTGAACATTTTGAATATCATGTTATGAGACTCTGGGTCTTATTTACATCCTATGGTGAATGTTGATATTTTTATTTTAGCATGCAATCAACCCAGAGAATTCAGGTTGTAAGGTCTGATCAGCCTTCAGTGGCTTGTGGTTTCAGTGTCAATTCGTTTTCAAACGCTCTGTGATGCTCTTTTGCTCTGTCCCACATATTTGCAACCAAGCAGCCAGTCTGAGATCTGGGTAGTGGTCAGTAGTTTAATTCATTTCTCAAGTCTTTGTTAGGTGTTCAAGATCATATCTCTGTATGTGCAGCTCAGGACGGGCTCATATCCCAACCCTTTCTCCGCAATATCCCCAGTATTTTTTGGTTCCTTGGCCACAAACTGGAGTTTTAGTTATCCTGCTCTGCCACACACATCCTGTAGTTGTACCCATGTTTAGGTTCAAGAGGTAGGTAAACAGAGATAGAGAGAAAAAGCAGTAGGAGTTTGCCTCTCTCTTGTGGACTACACTTCTATCCAAGTTTCAGGCACCTGTGAATCACTCCATTGCTTGCCATTGTTGCTGCTGCCACTGCCACAGGATGGCCTGGAGACTGAGGCATGAAAGAGAGAAAACATAAGTAATAATGATGATATAAGAGAAAAACCTGGAATTTCCCCCACTCTCTCTGAGTGTTAGAAATCTCTTTGTTTTCCTACCTGTTGAGCCAGAGCTAGAGGACTTCTCTGGAAATCTCTCTGTTTGTATGCTGGTGTCTACTCCTGGTTTTGGTGTACCAGGTGTAGACACCAGACTGGGGGATACTAAGGAAAAACAAGAAACGCACTGCTGATACTTTGAATTCTGGTCTTCTCCAATCCATCTGCAATTCTTTACTCTTTGGAGCCCTCAAATAGCTGTTCAGTGCATTCTGTCCAGGTTTTACCATCCTTCCCAAAACTAGCACCCACAGAACACTTTTTGTTAAATTCTGGCTAAGGGTTCTAGTGGAGAAAAATAATCAGCAAATTATGTATTCATGCTCCATTTTAGCTTTCACTTGTTATGACTAATTGCTTAGTTAATTAAGAACTTCTGTCTTGATGGGGCTCTTGGCAGAGGAAGGTTAGTTTTCAGTTTCACAAATCTTTCAATCCATGCAAAGAAGATAGACTTAGAAAACACATTTCCCTGTAATAAAGGATATAATCAGAGTGAATGATTTGGGAGCAATAGGCCTAAAAACTGCATGATATTTTTATGTTTTATGTCCTTTACTCATTATGGAAATGAGCATCACATGTACACAACTATTCTATACTACTACCTGTACATAGAAGGCAGTTAAATGGAGAAATAATTTGGTCCAAATTTTGCAGTGTCGTTTTGAAATCTTCCTTTAAGTTAGTCTGTGGTACCGAATATAACTTACTTGGCATTCCATAAGAGAGCTAGAGAGAACCTGGGGACTCAAATTTGAATGATGCTATCCTTGGGCTGTGTATTGTAAGTGGTTAAGATCAAAGACGATGGAACCAGATTTCTTCAGATTGAATCCCTGTTATCTACTTTTGGCCGTGTGACCTTGGGCAAGTTATTTAACCTGTTCATCTATCAGTTTTATCTTTTATAAAATTGGCACGGTGATATCCCTACCTCATAGTATTGTTTTCAGGATTCAGTAAGTTAATATCTGTAAGGCGCTTAGTGCATATTACTCTCACTACTTTGGAAAATTTGATCTGTTGGAGTTAATAATAGTAGTTTGTATATATTGAATACTTGTGTGCCAGGCATTTTGTTCACTTAATCCTCATCATCACTCTACATTTTTTCAGGTCAAGAGGATAATATAAACAGAATGTGTGCAAGATTATGCATCTTGTAAAGTGGTAGAGACAGGATTTAAGGCTAGGCAATCTGACCTCAGAGCTCATGCTCTTAGCTGCTACGTCATATTACCAGAATGGGGATAACCAACAATATAATGGCCATTCTAATCTGGTCGTGCATGATCTGGTTGTTAATGGGTAGAGTTTTGCTCTGGAGCATATTTTGTTCATATCTATCAATGTCTTCAAGTTTTAAATTCATAATTAGAGACTTACCTGTTTCAAAATGGCAGAAAAAGTACTTCTTTACTAGAAATCACTTAAAACAAACAAACAAACAAAAGCAACAGGTACTTTCCATCTTTAGGAAAACTAGATTTCTCTAACCTTCATCTGTAGTATAGGAAAATTGAAAGCATATGGAAGAATTGTAGATAACTTAGCAGCAAGAATGTAAAATCTAATTATCTGCAGAGGGATATACCAATGATAAACAAACTGATTCATCCTGCAGAATCTGAGATAGGCTTAGGAATCAGAAATTAGGTATTATGGAAGTTGGAGTGTGATTGTGAGGGAGAGATGATGTGGGTGGCATACAAACAAAAGAATTGTTTAAAATTAATTATATTTTTCAGTCATCCCTACTAGGCACTAACAACTGCCACTTCCCTGTCTCTGCTGCATATGAAACGTATAATCTGTGAAGAACTGAACCTGAGAGACTGCAAAGTAGGGAGGATAGGAGTGAGGGGAATTAAGTGATCTGCATAATGGTGAGACTTCTAGCTGCCTTCCTGTGCTGAGTTCTACAACAGTAGCAGCAAGGCTTATAACTGCCTTTCTCTCTTAACACCTCTTCAGATAGGTGATCCTTCTCTGAAGGGATAACATGCTTCAGAGAAAAACTCTGTAGATACTGACATGTGGGCTTCCCTGATGAGGAAACTAACGGGCTTCCTGATTGTCCTTTAGTAAAGCTTACTACTCATTAAGCTTTGGCCACATGCACGCAGCTTCTAGTCACCCTTCTAGTACCTCATTCTTAGATATGACACAGAATCAATTATCACCAGTCAATTAAGGAGAAACTCCAACAGGAAAAGAGATCAAAACTAACAAAGAAATAAACAATAACAATAACAAAATAAAGCTCAGAAGAAAGACTGTCAGGAAAAAGAAGAAAACTTCAAGGAATTATAATCAGTACCCTCAGAAAGATGAGAAGATTTTGCAACCATAAAATAAAAACATAATACTATAGAAAAGGAAGAATAAGAGAGTAAGAAAGCACTTAAGAAATAAAATATTCAATAAAAGGGTTAAATGCAGATGAGGAAGTCTCCTAAAAAAGAAGTAAAAAATAATACCAATGTAACAAACCTGCACATTCAGCACATGTATCCCGGAACTTAAAATAAAAAAGAAGTGAAAGATAATGAGATGGGAAATAGGAGAAAAAAGATAGATGATCAGTATCAGAAGTTCAACCTTTGACTTTTAGGAGCTCTCCAGAGAGAATGAAAAAACAAAAAGGATAAAACTATCAACTAAATTTTAAAAGGAAAATTGCTAGGACTGAAAATATGTGTTTCAAACTTAGAAGGACTCAAAGAGTGCCCAGCACAAAAGATTTTTGAAAAGACGCACACCAAAGCACATTGTAATGTTATCTCATATTCCAGTTTGTCTCTTTCAACCCTTGCTTTTCTTCATTGTAGAGGCCGGAAAGCTAAAAGCTTACTTTTTTCAATTCCTTTGTAGTTAGATATGACCAAGTGTGGTAAAGTGCTGGCCCATAAAATGTAAGTGGAAATCTGTTGAATCTTCTCCTTTCTCTTCTACTTTTTCTCATTTGAAACCTGAACAAGATGTCTGGAGCTACAGTATTTTGCGACCATGAGAATCACAGAGTTCTCAGCTCTGATATACCTGAACTGCTGAATCAATTTCAGCAACTACCTGTCTCTGGATTTCTTGTTACATTGGGGGTGGGAGGTTGTCTATTTGTTTGTTGTTGTTTGTTTGTTTTGAGACAGGGTCTCACTCTGTCACCCAGGCTGGAGTGCAGTGGAGTGATCTGATTGCACCCTCCACTTCCTGGGCTCAAATGACTGTCCAGCCTCAGCCTTCCATGTAGCTGGGACTACAGGAGCAAGCCACCAATGTCTGGCTAATTTTTGTATTTTTGGTAGAGATGGGGTTTCGCCATGTTGCCCAGGCTGGTCTCAAACTCCTGTGCTCAAAGCAGATCCACTCACCTTGGCCTCCCAAAGAGTTGGGATTACAGGTGTGGTCAGCACCTGGTCAGGTTCCCTATTTGGCTAAGTTATAACTTGTTGGATTTTATTTTACCTACAACTAAACACAATCCTAACTCATACTTTGAGAAGCCGAAAAGCCCCACAAATCAACGCTAGAAACTAGAAGATAATAATTATGAAGGAAAGCAATTTTCAACCTTGAATTGTTTACATTGTTAAAATATCAGTCAAGGATGACTGACAAATGTATGAAAATAAATTTACCTCTCATGCATTCTTTCTCAGGAAGCTAGTAGAATGTGGGTTCTATCAAAGTGAGATTGTTAGAGCCTATGTTTCCTAGATTTGGAGGCTTCCTATTTCTTGGTTTACACCATAGACAGAAGGAATTCCTAGGACAGGCCAAGGGGTGAGTACAGGGGCAGATTTCTAGGGGGCATAATCATGGGGAAAAATAGATTATCTGATAGGTTTGACTATAAGAAAAATGGTATTTAGAAATGGCTTTAGAGCCATTGGAATGTGGGGGAAGATTAAACCAGAGAGTAGAAGAGAACAATCAAGTACATGCAAATCAACATTAGAAAAAGGAAAAGGTATCACAGAGAGGAAATATAGTCAGAGTATAATACCTTAATCAGCAAGCAATATTTACTTAGTCATTATAACTACAATTATGGATATCACCCCACATTATGTTTCAACCATATTGGGGACTGGGGTGGGGGGGTGAAGTGGGTATGAGGTGAAAGTTCTTATACTGTGTAGGATACCAGTATATCAGTATAGACACACGTGATTTAGAAGCATGGCGCTAAATGCCAGAAGCAGCAGCTAAACCAATTTAACATGGTTGCATCTGGGACTGAGAGAACCTTGATGGTAGTGTAACCAGCAGAAGGGTGGCCACAGGACTGCTGTGTTTCGAGTCTTTTTGCACCATCTGACTATGTGCATGTATTACTTTGATAAAACTAATTAAGAAAAAAAGCTCAGAAGTAAAAGAACTCATACTTTTTATACTTATACTTTTCCAAACATACAGTGTTCTTTGCACAGTTTCTTTCCTCTCTCTCTCTTTTTTTTTTTTTGTGAGAAGCAGTGTCACTCTGTCGCCCAGTCTGGAATGTAGTGGCATGATCTTGGCTTACTGCAACCTCTGCCTCCCGGGTTCAAGCAATTCTCCTGCCTCAGCCTCCCGAGTAGCTGGGACTACAGGCACGCCACCACTCCCGGCTAATTTTTTTGTATATATATTTTTTAGTAGAGACGAGATTTCACCATATTGGCCAGGCTGGTTTTGAACTCCTGACCTCAAATGATACGCCTGCCTCGGCCTCCCAAAGTGCTAGGATTACAGGCGTGAGCCACTGCGCCTGGCCTCTTTCTTCTTTCTTGAATTCTCTTCTTTTTATGTTCCTGGGAAAATCCTACTCATTTTATATGATTTGGCTGATGTAAAGCCACCATTGTCTTCCTAAGCAGAGAGGGTCTTGCTTTTGGGTGCTGCACAACTTTGTGCAATTTTTCTGTTACATCATTTATCTTTTGGGGATTGTTTATTTTCATACTTATCTCTCTTCCAGGACCATGTTAGGGAGAGGTGTTTTTAATTTTTACCTTTTCTGCAGCACTTAGCACAGTGCCTAATCATAGTAAATATCACGTAAAAGTTGAATGAAGGAATGGATGTTTGATATAGAGTTAGGACACCTGTGTCCAGGTCTGGCTTTGCTTTTCCTTTTGCCCCCTACCTCAATCGAAGCAGTTTACATATTGCTGTCTTGGATTCCTCTTGGAAAAACTGGACTGATGAACTTCAAAGTCCCTAAGAAATTGAAAATGTATGATTCTTTTATGTTACACCTTAAAATCCGTGTATAATGCGACTGCTTCCTACATCTTGATACTTCCTAGCCCTTATTATTTTCTGTTTTCACATAAAAAAGTCTATTTTGTCAATAGACTGTAAGCTTCCAAAAGGCAAGGACATGTCTGTCCCATTCAGCATTGTTTCTCAGTGCTTGTTAGAGAGCTTTGCACGTGGAGACACACAGTAAACATCTGCTGAATAGATCTTGATTATAATTTTATGGATGCCCCCAAAGTCCCATTGTTCTTCCAGACATTTCAGGAAAATATCTTTAAGTCAAAATCCAATCACTGAAATTTGCATATAGTCTGTGTCAGCTATTATGTAATATCACTTCTGTCTGCATCCTTGGAATGGTTTTCCATTTCCTGTGCATTCAGTGCTATTCCACTCCTTTCATTACTTCTTCAAAATTTCTTTCTTTCTTGAGGTCTTTCTGAGTTAATCTTTTCTTCTAAGTCTCAGCAACTTAGTGTACAAGAGCTGTGGTTTATATAAGACTTTTTTTTTTCTAAGTTAAACTGTAAATGATTTGGGGCACAATTTTTGTGGCTTGATAAAGCACTCTATACATTTTAATGAGTTAAATCTAAATGATTCAAATCTACAAGCTGGCTTTCCCTTGAATACATGCAAGTAAAAAACTTAAGGACTTGGCAAAATTTATTTTAAATTTTGCCAAATCCAACATTTTGAAATGCAATTTAAATGTTTAACCAAATCCCAAACATCACTGCATTTATTCTTTTCTGACTAGAAGCTGCAGTTTTCTAACAGCCCAAGTCAAAGCATCTTTCTAAACTATTTGATATCTTTTAAAGGATTCTCAGCCTTTAAAATAGTCTCTTTAGGTAGCAACTTCATGCAGCAACTTTATTCTTCCATCTGCCTCTCTCCCCCTCTGTCTACCTCTTTACCCCAAGGCCAGGAGAGGTTAAGTTATTTAGGTTATAGTTGATCCAAGGGAAAGTGATGAAGCAGGAATGTATCTCACCTTTGCTGAGTTCTTACTATAATACGTGCTTCAAAGTAGACACATGTCAAGTATTTGCAATGTATTAGGCATTCTGTCAAGTGCTTTATGTGTATTTTGAACATCACACCAGTCTTGTGATGTAAGTTTTATCTTTACCATTTTATTGAAAAGGAAATTGAAACTCTTTGAGGAATAAGCAAATTGTCCAGTTATAAAACTTGTAAGTTTAGAGACAGCAGTTGACACCAGGCCTGTCTGGAGCAGCATATGTCCCACCTTCCTTGCATATCTAATACTCCCTGAGAATTTTAATAGCAGCATATGTATGTCAGTATTATTTGAATTCAGGCTTTGTTTATAGTTGATGATGTCAGAGACTTCTCTTGATCTTAGCTATGCCTCTTTTAGTTTGATAAAGACTAATATTTCATTAGTATGGAGCTGAGAGTATTTGTAAATGTATTGAAATGACAGAATCTGGAATCCAAAATATCTTGACAGCAGTCAATGAAAAACTAAATTTCAGAGGATAAAATTTAGTAGGAAAAAATGTTAGGTATTATGTGCAGGCCCCCCAAAACAATTCACAAATACAGAATTGGTGAGCTGTAACAGTTCTTGTGGGAAGTTTTTGGGGATTTTATTATGGTAAACTCAATATAAGCAGTGATGTGGATTAGGTTGCTCTTTGGTTGCGGTAAAATAATTATATTAGGGAGGTGAAATTGCAGTTTATTTATTCTATATTATGGTCAAATTGCATTGGTCTGATTGCATAGGTCCATGTGACCTAGAAACAGTTTTAAGAGTTATTTGGATATAATAAAGTGAGGTTAGACTGGCATATCCACAAAGGTAGGTAGTGTTTTCTACTTGTATTCCTGAAGCATAGCTGTTTTAGTCAAGGTTCTCCAGAGAAACAGAACCAACAGGATATATATATATATATATGTGAGAGAGAGAGAGAGAGAGATTTATTTATTTTAAGGAATTGGCACACAAGATTATGGAGATTTGGCAAGTCCAAAATCTGCAGAGCATACCAGCATGCAGGAGACTCAGGGAAGACTTGCAGTTCCAGTCCAAAGGTGGTCTGCTGGTGGAATCCCCTTTTCCTTTAGGGAGGTCAGACTGTTAAGGCCTTCAACTGATTGAACGAGGCCTACCTAGATTGCAGAGGGCAATCTGCTTTACTTAAAGTCTACTGATTTAGTGTTATTCTCATTTAAAAATTGCCATCATGGAATCTTTGATCAAATATCTGGGTACTGTGGCCTAGCCCAGTTGACACATAAAATTAACCATCACAATAACAGAGATTTGAATGAATATACTGATGATGAAAGAGAATGGTCTGTAAATAGTTAAAGGAGATGGGTATGTCTAACTGGAGAAGAGAAGACTCAGAATAAAATAACGGCTATCTTTAAATATTTGAAGGGCTTGGAACTACGAGGTAGAGCTGAGGGTAGGGAATGAGTCTTTAAGCAGTAAACAAAGGGATAGGTAGAAAGTTGATCTATGGAGCAGTTAAACTCCTCTTCCTGTTCCTTTGCACAGCATCATCAACTAGACAGCACTTTCCAGGTTAGGAGAAAAATGTATTCTTCTTTGAAAGAATCGAGTGGCTCCAAAGAAGACTTCATATACTGATATCTAGAAATCCCCCAGTACAAGGTTACTTCCTAACATGATCACTGAGAATGAAGCCCTTATGTCAACAGTCTTCCTCATGCTCACAAATTTGTAATCAGCAATTTAGTGTTTTACTTTAAAAAATAAATAAATAGGCAAAAATGATGGTGATAATAATAATAGCCTAACATTTAGACACAGTGCTAAGTGATTGACATGCATTATTGCATTTAATCTTCACAATAGCCCTATGAGGTAGGTATTAGTCACATCATCCCCATTCTCCAGATATGGAAATTGAAACACAGATTAAGAAATTTGCCCAAGGTCACAAAATTTTGGATGTGATTAAGATTTGAACTGTGACACACTGATTAACAAAGAACATAGATTTGGGGGTTATAGGGACAAAACTTCTTTTTATAATGTATCTAGTGTTGGAAACAATTGAGAATAAGACCCTCATCATTTTATTTAAAAATGTTTACTTAGGATTGGTGTATCTATATAATTTCCCTAAAGAGATAGTTTTCAGTGTAAACCTAACATATAGATTATAAAGAGAAGAGGCAACATTTACTGAATATTTTTGTCTGGTGATCCTTCTTTTCAGACTAGGGCACTAATTTCTAATCTGGGATCTGTGAATACAAAAGGGTACACAAAAACAATAAGAATCTTTAAAATTGTTTTTAGCATTTCAGAAAGCTTAATGAAATTACATACTTACATTTACTAAGGCTGTATAGATAAACTGAAACATCAGGTTTTTGTTGTTGTCTAAATATCAAGTCCTTATTTTATCACTGGGTAGTGTTTGTGCCAGTGAGAAATGATTTCAGGTTCCTGGATGGGCATTTCTGATATTTGTTTCACATTGGTGATTTTCTCTCCTTATTTTTCCCCTGATTAAAAAAATTGAAGTATATCATACATACAGAAAAGGGCACTGACTGTAAGTATACAGCTTTATGAATTATTATGAAGCAAAAGACCTATGCAAGTACCATCTAGAATAAGAAACAGAACATTACCAGTACTAAGAAACACCCTCATGCTTCTTTCTAACTGGTATACACACACATGCACATACATACACATTTCTGTTATATCTAAAAATGGTATTGCTAGGTTATAGTGTATGCATATTTTTCCAGAGTGGCTGTAAAAAATTTATACTCCGCCTGGAAATACATGAGTAGTTCTTATCCAAAACATTTGGTATTGATAATCTTTTTAATTTTAGCCATCCTAGTACATATGTTTTTTCCCATCTGTGGTTTGCCTTATTACTTTCTAATGTTGTCTTTGACGAATAATAGTTGTTAATTTTAGCTAATGCAAGTTATCAATCTTTTCATTTGTAGTTAGTGTTTTTTGTATTCAATTTAAGAAAATTTTGAAGTCCTAGTTAGAACAGTCAGACAAGAGAAAGAAATACAAGGTATCCAAATAGGAAAAAAAGAAGTCAAACTGTCTCTCCTTGCTGGTGATATGATTCTATACCTAGAACATTGTAAGACTGCACCAAGGCTCCTGGAATTAATAAATGACTTCATTATAGTTTCAGGATATGAAATCAATGTGGAAAGATCAGTAACATTTCTATACACCAATAATGTACAAGCTGAAGGCCAAATCAAGAACACAATTTCACTTACAATAGCTACACACACAAAAACAAAATACCTAGGAATACTGCTAATCAAGGAGGTGAAATATTTCTACAAGGAGAACTACTAAACACTGCTGAAAGAAATTATAGATGACACAAACATTGGAAAAAAATTCCATGCTCATGGATTGGAAGAATCAATATTATTAAAATGGCCATACTTCCCAAAGCAGTCTACAGATTCAATACTATTCCTATCAAACTACCAACGTCATTTTTCACAGAATTAGAAAAGACTATTCTAAAATTCATGTGGAACTAAAAAAAGAGCCCAAATAGCCAAAGCAATCGTAAGCAAAAAGAACAAAGCCAGAGTCATCACATTATTGGAGTTCACACTATACCATAAGTCTACGGTAACCAAGACAGCATGGTACTAGAACAAAAACAGACACATAGACCAATGGGACAGAATAGAGAACCCAGAAATGAAGCCACACACCTACAACCATCTGATCTTCAACAAAAATAAGCAATGGGGAAAGGACTCCCTATTCAACAAATAGTGCTGGGATAGCCAGCTAGCTATATGCAGAAGAATGAAACTGGACCCCTACCTTTCACCATATACAAAAATTAAGACAGATTAAAGATTTAAATGTAAGACCTCAAACTATAAAAATATTAGAAGAAAACATTGGAAACAGTATCTTGGACATTGGCCTTGGGAAAGAATTTATGACTAAGTCTCAAAAGCAATTGCAACAAAAATAAAAATTGACGAGTAGGACCTAATTTAAAAACTAAAGAGCTTCTACACAGCAAGAGAAACTATCAACAGAGTAAACAGACAACCTATGGAATGGGAGAAAATATTCACAAGCTATACATCTGACAAATGTTTAATATCCAAAATCTATAAGGAACTTAAACATTTCAAAAAGCAAAAACCAAATATCCCTTCTAAAAAGTGAGCAAAATACAAGAACAGACAATTCTCAAAAGAAGACATTCAAGTGACCAACAAGTATATGAAAAAATGCTCAAATAACTAATCATCAGAGAAATTCAAATCAAAACCACAATGAGTACCATCTCTCAGAATGGCTGTTATTAAGAAGTCAAAAAACAACAGATGCTGGCAAGGCTGTGGAGAAAAGGGAACACTTACATACTGTTGGTAGGAATGTAAATTAGTTCAACCATTGTGGAGGTGGGATATTTCTCAAATATCTTAGAACTATCATTTGACTCAACAATCACATTACTGGGTCTATATCCAAAAGAAAATAAATTGTTCTACCAAAAAGAACATGCAATCATATGTTCATTTCAGTAGTATTCACAATAGTAAAGACATGGAATCAACCGAGGTGCCTGTCAATGGTGGATTGGATAAAGAAAATATACGTATATACAGTGGAATACTATACAGCCATAAAAAAGATTGAAATCATGTCCTTTACAGCAACATGGATGTAGCTGGAGGACATTATCCCAAGTGAATTAATGCAGGAGCAGAAAACCAAATACCACAGGTTCTCACTTATAGGTGGGAGCTAAACATTAGGTACTCATGGACGTAGAGATTGCAACAATAGAAACTGGGGACTACTAGAAAGGGGAGTGACGGCGGAGCAAGAGTTGAAAAACTATCGAATACTATGCTCACTACCTGAGTGATAGGATCAGTTGTACCCTAATTCTCAACATCACACAATATATCTGTGTAATAAATCTGTACATCTACCCCGAATCTAAAATAAAAGTTGAAATTATAAAAAAAGCAAGAAAAAAAAGTTGAAATTAAAGGACAGAAAAAGAAAATTTTGCTTATATAAAGGTCATGAGTTATTCATTTATGTAAACTTTTAAGATATTTTATTATTTTTTCATAGATCTATTAGGAGTTCTTTTTTTATATGATGTGAGGCATATAGCAGTTTTCATTTTTTGCTATTGATATTTATTTGAACCAGCACCACTTGTTGAAAAGATCATTGTTTCTCTGTGGCTCTGCAGTACAATTTTTTTTTTTTTTTGAGACAAAGTTTCACTCTTGTTGCCCAGGCTGGAGTGCAATGGCGCGATCTTGGCCCACCACAACCTTTGCCTCTCGGGTTCAAGTGATTCTCCTGCCTCAGCCTCCCGAGTAGCTGGGATTATAGGCATGCTCCAGCACGCCTGGCTAATTTTGTATTATTATTATTTTTAGTAGAGATGGGTTTCTCCATGTTGGTCAGGCTGGTCTCAAACTCCCAACCTCAGGTGATCCTCCTGCCTCAGCCTCCCAAAGTGCTGGGATTACAGGCGTGAGCCACCGTGCCCAGCCCAATCTTTTAAAATATATGTATGAGTCTATTTTGCACCCTCTTCTGTTTCATTGGTTCATGCATTTATCTTTGTGCCAATACCATACTGTCTTAATTATTCTAGTTGTCTGATGGTGTACCTCCTCCCACTTCTTCAAAATTCTCTTGATTTTTTTATATTAATTTTTATAATCATCTTGTCAATTTCCACAAAAATTCTGCTGGGACTTTGATTGGAATCACATTGAATCTATAGAACAATTTGGAGAAATTGACATTTTCAGTATTTTCTCTTTCATCAGCATGATATATCTCTCCATTTATTTCTTCCTTAAAATTTATTTATTTATTTTTTGAGACAGACTCTCATTTTGTTACCTAGGCTGGATTGCAGTGGCGCAATCTCCACTCGCTACAACCTCTGCCTCCCGAGTTCAAGCTATTCTCATGCCTTAGCCTCCCAAGTAGCTGGGATTACAGGAGCCTGCCACCATGCCCGGCTATTTTTGTATTGTTAGTAGAGACAGGATTTCGCCATGTTGGCCAGGCTGGTCTCGAACTCCTGATCTCAAATGATCTGCCCGCCTCGGCCTCCCAAAATGCTGGGATTACAGGTTTGAGCCACCACACCCGGCCTCTTCCTTAAATTTTTAAAATAATGTTTTATAGTGTTCTCTGTAAGGACCTTGCATATCTTCCATTAGTTTCCGAAGTGTTGGATATTTTTAATGTTATAAATGGTGTCATTTAAAAACTTTTTTTTTAACTGCTGATATATAGAAACAGTTGATTTTCTATTTTGACCTGAAATCCAATAATCTTGCTATGTATTTTTATTCTAATACTTTATCCATAGATTATTTTGGGGTTTTCTGCATGAAATTTCTTTCTTGTCGTCCTTCATGTCTTCTATTTCTTTTTCTTATTGCACTGCCTAGGATCTCCAATAAATTGTTGAAGAACAATGGTGTTAGTGGCATGCTTGTGTAATTTCCAATTTCAAGAAGAAAACTTTTATTATTTCATAATTAAGTATGACTGCTATAGGTTTTTTTATTGTTGAAGTATAATATACATAGAAGAAAGTGCTCATACTGTATTTGTACAGCTCAGTAAATTCTCATGAACTTGCCACGTTTGGGTTTTAAGCATTCAGATAAAGAAATTAGCTCTTCTGAAGCTCTTTTCTTACTCATTCCATTTACTACTCCCAAAGGACAACCACTATCCTGACTTTTGAATTCTTTGGATTTGCTTTATCAGTCCAAGGCAGTTTCATTTTATTGCCAGTTTGCTAGTTTCTTTTTTAAAAATCATTAATTGGTGTTGAATTTTATAGAGTGCTTTTTCTGCATCTATTGAGATAATCATATGATTTTTCTCCCTCATCCTGTTACTGTAGTAAATGATATTACATTATTAGAATAGACCCAGCTTGATCATGGTTTATTATCCTTTCTATATATCGCAGGATTTGATTTGCTGAAATTTTGTTCAGGTGTTTTGTACTCATGTTCACGATTAGGATTTGCTTTTGACTTTGCTTTTTTGCAATGTTCTTGTGAGGCTGCGATATTAATACTATCCTGGCTTCAAACAACAACAACAACAACAACACACATTTGGAAGTGTTTTATATTTTCCTGTTCTCTGGAAGAGTAGGTGTAATGTTGGTGGTATGATCTGGCTGTGTCCCCACTCAAGTCTCATCTTGAATTGTAGCTCCCATAATTCCCAAGTATTGTGTGAGGTACCCGGTGGGAGAGAATTTAATCATGGGGGTGGTTTCCCACATACTGTTCCCGTGGTAGTGAGTAAGTCTTGTGAGATCTGATGGTTTTATAAGGGGAAACTCTTTTTGCTTGGCTCTCATTCTCTCTCTTGCCTGCTGCCATGTAAGACAACATGCCTTTCGCCCTCTACCATGATTGTGAGGCCTTCCTAGCCACGTGGAGCTGTGAGTCCGTTAAACCTCTTTTTCTTTATAAATTTCCCAGTCTCGGGTATGTCTTCATCAACAGTGTGAAAATAGACTGATATAATTGGTGTTATTTATTTCTTAAAAGTTTGAAAGAATTGAAAGTCTAGTACAAAAAGTTGTCTTATAGGATGGGTTGCAATGGGGAGGGGATGGGGGCTTTATTGGTTTGTGTTATAATTTTGATGTAAGGCCATAATGGCTCTATGTTTGTGCCGTGGGAAGGGAAAGGATGAAGAATAGCAATATTAACAAAATCTTGACTCATATAACATTTTATAGTCTACAAATTACTTTCATTTAATCTTTACAGTGGCCAGGTGAATAGGAAGGAGATTTAAATAAAAATTTAAGATAACTGTAAACTTTGACCTTTAAATTACTGTGAGATTACTGGTGCCCCTGATTTAAGTTGGGATGTCAGATTATTTCCCTTTTTCCTCTTGTTTAAGAGGGATTACCGGACATACACAGTTGCTATCTTTTTCCCTGAACCCCTTGCAATGACAGAAAACACATAAAACCCAAAATAAATCAATGGAGATGTTGGAATCAAGGATAATGGCCTAGGGAGACCTATTCCCTTATCTATAAAATTATGGCCTTAGATTAGGTGATCACTACATTTTTCAGATTTCTCAATTTCTATAAATTTATAAATTATACATTTAGATTTTCTTTTACTGATTTATTTCATCGAAGAGTCCTGGGGGAACAAATACTGGTATCATACCTTTAACAATTAATTTTGGACACATTGTACTTAATACAGTAATGCATATTTGTGAAAAGATACTAGAATAAAGGCAATGGCATTGAAAATGTTAAGAAGTACAAGATAATTGAACATGTAAACAATAATATGAGCTACTCAAATTACTTAAGTTCTCGAGACAGCAAATGTACAAATAAATCAATACAGCTAATGTTACTAGAGTAAACCTTGGCCCAATTATGAAGAAAATCGTGTAATGGGGAAGCGTGGCAGGAAACAGTGGGAATAGAGTGAATACTGCTGAAAATGAGGTAGGAAAAGTAAACAAAAATGCCCCCTTTAAGTTTTGTGTGCTTGAAAAATGCAAGTATGCTGGATACTTCTGTAATAGAGCCATAAAAACACCGTTCAACAAACTATAGGGTAGTTTTGTTTTCAAATATTTGTAGTTTTCATTTGGAAAGACCAGGGACAAAGTTAGGCAAAATGGCTTTAATTCCTTATCAGGGCTTCTTAGGCTGCCAACAATAGGAACCAAGTCTAGTTAAGGAAGCAGAAAGGAATTTATTGAAAGATTATTGGGTAGTCAGCAGAATTAAGGTAAAAGCTAGTGACCAGGCTTACGGTTTCTGAACAGCAAGATACTCACAATAGTTTTGTTGGAGCGCTATTTCTGGGACTTTATCCTTTTCCATTCTTAAGCTACTCCACTTTAGATTTAAATTTTGGAGAGTCTTACTGGCATAGCTTGGATGATTACTGGTTAGAGGAGCACAGGGCATGTTGACTTGTAGCACCACCAAGACTGGATACAATAGAGAGGAGGGAATTCTCTAAAATGAAATAAGGATGCTGTTGCCCAAAGAAGGAAGAAATGGATTCTAGATAGCCAAATCTCCACAAATGTTCACTGGGAAATTTAGACTGAGGCATAGGTTTAAGTAAAATTTTTTCTAATTTAGTGTAAATAAAGACCAACTAAATATTTCTTTTTTAGATGGCTTCTAAGCTAGTTTCAGCCTTCTTTTTCCTCCTACTATTAAGTACTTGGGTTCGGATGTCTGCTCTATATCAAGCCCTTTTCCCTCTGCTTCTTACTTTCCCTTGAAAATACTGTTGCATGTAAACAAATTTCCAGCAATTATGACTTGCAGCTTTTACTTGGCTTCTAGTCATTGATAACTGCCAGGATTTCTTGACTACTCTTTTACAGTCTATCCAGGATGCCTCGGTACCTACTACTTCTGGAATTGAAACTGCAAGTGTTGCACTTCTTCAAACACTGTGTAAATAACCCCTTTCCCCCTCCCACCGACCCCTGAGGTTATTTCACATATACATACTTGGATTACGGGCAGTTACGAGTCCAGGGGGCCAATCTATAAAGGATGCTAAAATATCACTGGAGTCAATTAATAACATGACACTAGTTAGCTCAGTTTTCCATGTTTACATAATATGGCAAAGTGTAAATATATTCTTTTCCCGTTGAAGTAAGCAGTAACATAGAGTGGAAAACATATTTCAGTTGGGTACTGTCATTCCACCAGGATGTAACTTTTGAAACTTATATAAAAATAGTACATTTGAAGGGAAAGTATATTATTTGCATGTGTAGGACACCAATACCTATCTGGCTCTTTCAGTCAGTTTCACAAAGCTGTCCAGCAGCTCATTAACATTGATGCTTATTGCCTGGATGGTGTTGGAGAATGGAAAAGATCACTAGGCAAACGTTACGAGGCATAAACTGTGAGGTCACCCTCATTTGTCTCTGCAAGGAAGAAAAGGAGTAGAGGAAAGCTGCAATTGTTCTCTGTCTGTACTAACTCAGGATCTTTGCAGGTGACAGCTAACTCATTATTGTCATCAGTGCATTCTGCTTGGGGAAGCTAATGTTGGTATTTCAGAAGGAAGACTTACCTAAATGGAAGACACCATATCATGCTTTTAAAATATGTAATTTATATCCTGGCAACTTTCCAAGGTAGATGTTATTATATCATTTCACAGCTCAAAAAGCTGTCTCTCAGGTTAAGAGCTTGCCCCAAATCAGACAGCTGGCAATTGCAGAATCTGAATTCAGACCCCAGTCCTATCTAATTCCAAAGCTCATGCTTCTCTAAGAAGCTTAGAACCTATATAAGATCTATTATTCATCTTTGTATCATACTATCTAGCACAGTCCCTATCACAGCAAACAAGGAGGGAAGATTAGTGTGAATAAAGACACAAGATGTGCAAGCTCAGGTACATTTCACTTAATAATATGTAGTCCAGTGGTTCAAACATGGAGTATATGAAGGAGATTGTGTGAGATCATTTTGAAAAGTGAGATTGAGGTGAGATCATGAAAACCTTTGATTTTCATGGCTAAAAGATTTTAAATATTTTCAATAATTGTGAATTCACTAAAGATTTTTGAGAATTGGAGGAGGAGGATCACAGTTGTGCCATAGGAATATTAATTTAATAGCAGTGGATATAATGAATTGGGGATAAAGAGATTGAAGGTGGGGAGACCAGTTAGGTGTTTGTGACCATTTAAGTGAGAGGCCTGGGTAATCCAAACTTTGGGATGGAATTACATAACAAAATTGGAAAAGAGGGGTTCTACTTTTTTTTTTTTTTTTTTTTTTGAGATGTAGTCTCGCTCTGTTGCCAGGCTGGAGTGCTCTGGCGTGATCTCGGCTCACTGCAACCTCCAACTCAACCTCTGACTCCCTGGTTCAAGTGATTCTCCTGCCTCAGCCTCCTGAATAGCTGGGATGATAGGCATGTGCCACCACGCCCAGCTAATTTCTGTATTTTAGTAGAGAAGGAGTTTCACTATGTTGGCCAGGATAGTTTCTATCTCCTGACCTTGTGATCCTCCAGCCTCGGCATCCCAAAGTGCTGGGATTACAGGCGTGAGCCACCACGCTTGGCCAAGGGGATCGACTTTTGACAAATATTTTGCTATTAGGCTATATAATTTGGCAAGAATTTTTTTTTTTATTTTTTTGAGACGGTGTCTTGCTCTGTCACCCAGGCTGGAGTGCAGTGGTGCAATCTTGGCTCACTGCAACCTCTGTCTCCTGGGTTCAAGCAATTCTCTTGCCTCAGCCTCTTGAGTAGCTGGGACTACAGGTGTGTGCCACCACGCCCGGCTAATTTTTTGTATTCTTAGTAGAAATGGGATTTCACCGTGTTAGCCAGGATGGTCTCAATCTCCTGACTTCGTGATCCACCTGCCTTGGCCTCCCAAAGTGCTGGGATTACGGGTGTGGGCCACTGTGCCTGGCCAGCAAGATCTTGATATGATGAAGAGAGAGAAGGAAAACTCAGTTATCATTTTAAAATGTAATGCTTGAAGGATTGAGAGAATGGTGTTGCCAGCCACAGGGAAAAAGTCAAGTGGTGGAGTTTTTTTCTTTTTTTCAGGTTTAGGAGAAAATGAATGGTTTTGGGGAATGTTGACTTAAAGGTACAAAGGAGATCATTGGCAGGGCCTGGAAATGCATGATTGGACTTTGGAGAGAGGTCAAGGATTGATATAAAAAACAGAGGCACATACATAAGAAGCCAGCAAAACAAAACAAAAACCAACCAACAAACAAAACAGTCACCATCTTAAGGTCAGCCTGTATATGAATGGCGCAGCACACATGAAGTATGGTGTTAGATGTTAGTTCCTTACTGGGATTGCCTCTCTATTCCTCATGACAGCTGGGTCTAGGGATAGAGTTGCTGTAGCATACTGTTTTTTCCATCTGGTCTAGAAATACTGGGTGAGCTCCCTGGGGACATTTGTTAAGAATTAATAACTGAATCCAAGAGTGTTGAATCCTATTTTTCCTTCTCCATGTCAGCTTCCCCTCCTTTACATTGTTGTTCTTTTACTTCTTTTCACCCCTCCCTAGATTTTGCATTCTCATACTTACTGCTCGCAGTAAAAGTGTCTCATGGTACAATGTGAGAGAAAAATAGAATGGATTATAAAGTTTGGATATTGGGCAGGAAGATGAAAACAATACATTATAATAATTTGTGTTTCTGTAAGAAAGAGTCTAGTAATTTCCTAAACTTGAATGGTTCTTTGTATCTTTGATAACTGAATAGCATTCGTAGTATTTAGCTGCATTAAGCAAGACACATGAAAAAGCTGCGCTCATCAGCATCATACAAAACATGATACCCTTTTAAGAACATATTTGCCTTGCTAGAATAATAGCATACTGTTAGAGAGACAAACATAAGAAGTATTTTATAGCATAGGAGGTGGATTCTTTATTTGTCTTGAGTCTACCTTTGTGCTTTTTCTTTTTGATATTATATAAATAACACAGATGTCTTGCTTTAAATGTTGCCTTAAATCTAGTGATGAGTTTGACTATTGAAAAGCCTTTGATGTTTTTCCACTCTGAAATTTGCTCTATGCTTTTTTATTTTTTTCAAAAACAATCCTTTTACAAACATAATCCTGAAATGCTTTGTTTCCTCTTTGATGCATAAGAGCATGCTCATTGGAAGCATATTGTGTGTGAAGATTTTCACTTGTTCAATTTTGTGCACTGATGGTGAGCAGAAAATCTTTTTAGTCTCCTTCTTTGTAAAAAATGGTTTATACAACACCCCTCTAAAAATTCAGTGTTAACAGTAAAATTAGTTCTAGAGCTATTACAATGAAGAATGAGAGAAAACCTACCATGTTAAAAATGAATTATGCATTTATTTTAATCTTTGGCTTCAGCCCCCCACCCCCGCCCCACCCGCTTCCTTTTTGGCTACTGAAAGGGATGCAATAAAATTCCCCAAAAGTGTTAATTTTTTTCTGGAGCTGCTCCAGTGGCATGTCAAAAAGAATTTTGAAAAGAACATTCACTTTCGTATAACAGCTTTGGAATACATAATAGGATATATTAGTATGCTTTTAAAAGGAGCATGGGTAGATCGTGAATTACATAAAAGAAGTATATGAACTTCTTTATTGTTGTTCATGGTTAAACCAAAATTGTTTGCATGCGAACAGATTTAATTGTTTACAAAATCTGCATAACACTATCAACAGCAATGGGATCATGAGGGAGGGAGATATCAGAGCTTTTGGGCTTGTGAAAGACTGATTATTATTCGTAGATATTCCTCTAATAAGTAGCTTTTCCCAAATATAATCTGAAAAAAATATAACCATGAAGACAATTACTGATAGACAAAACAATTCTATCAATTCTATGATATTTTGAATTGCAGGTTGATACGGATCATGAGGGTAACAAGACTCTTTAGAAAATGAATAAAGTTCTACAGATTATTTGAGAGTCAGTGATAGAGTAACTAGATATATCTTTTTAAAGAAATTACACTTCTTAACAATTTGATTTACTGTACAAGGGAATTTTTCTACCATTGATTTTCTTCTCTTATTTCATGTGATTATATGAAAAGAATAGTGTTAAAAGAAAAACTTTAGACAAATTACATTTAACAGTTAATTTGAGCAAAGAATGATTTGCATTATAATTGTGCAGCCCTCAGAACCAGAAGAGGTTCAGAGGGTTCTGCTCTGAGACCTGGGCAAGCTGCATTTATGGACAGAACACAGAAGCGAGGTACAGGAACAGCCTGATTTATTTTAGCTAGGCATTTGCCTTATTTGAACATGGTCTGATCAGTTGGCTGCTTGTGATAGACTAAAGCTCAGCTGCTGTGATTGGCTGAGACTCAGATATTTGTTACAAAAGTATACTTCTAATTAGCTTTTCCTGAGTTTATGTACTAATTTGGGTTGTAGTTCTTTACATAGGACTCAAAGTATGGAGGCAGCCTTGGGGCAAATGTAGTTTAATTTATCAGTAGGAAAGATATAGCCATCCTTTCATTTGTTTGTTCCTAGGTACCTCAGCTACAGTGGCTTGAGTTTATTATACTCTTCAGTTCATGATACAATCAACAAGCATCATGACTGCCTTACTCTCTGTTTTAAAATCTTGTTATTTTACCCATTAGACTTAGTATTCACTTTCATTCCCAATTCCTCTTACAGGTTTCTACCCTGCAGTGTGTTGGGTATGTGTGGGTCTTTAACAATGTATGGAGTTGTATTGTTTAGGGATGCACCTAACTGTTGCAGTACTAATCTCTAGTCTCACACACTTTGAACCCATCCTCCATGTGTCCTCCAGAGGGATCTTTCTAAAAAATATAAATCTGATCATGTCAGTCAACTACTTAAGATTCTTGGGAGACTTTTCCTTTCATTAGAAGATCTTCCCTGAATTAAATCCCTTTCTGTTCTTCCTGTCTCCCATCAAACTCCACCTTCCTCCCTAAACTACTAAATGTTTGCTGAACAACCCATGATGTTTCATGACCCCAGCCTCAGCAGTCTTCCCTCTGTATGGCCTGTTAGCAGTCTCATATCTCCCTTTATTTTATCTAGAAGGTAGTTTTTGCCTTTTAGGACACCACTCAAGATCTCATGTTCTTTGCTGTAAAGCCTTCTCCAGACCTCTGTGGGCATAATTGCTCTGTGTCTTTTGCCTTTGTGTCTTCACTGTGTCCTAAATAGAATTTTATCTTAACACCTTTAATACTTTTTTTGGTTTCCATGTTTTCATCTCTCTCCTAAACTTCAAAGAGGCAGGGAAGTTCTCTTAGTCAACTTTTATCTCAAGTAGTATTTCCCAATTCCCAATAAATATTAATCTTTGGGATTCAGAAATGAGAAGTAGTAATTCTTGAGAATTTCTGGGAATTCCTGAAATTGTAAGTTGTTTTAAAAATACTTTCGGCCGGGCGCGGTGGCCCATGCCTGTAATCCCAGCACTTTGGGAGGCCAAGGTAGGCAGTTCATCTGAGGTCAGGAGTTCAAGACCAGCCTGGCCAACATGATGAAACCCTGTATCTACTAAAACATATAAAAATTAGCCAGGCGTGGTGGCAGGTACCTCTAATCCCAGCTACTCAGGAGGCTGAGGCAGGAGAATCGCTTGAACCTGGGAGGCAGAGGTTGCAGTGAGCCGAGATTGTGCCACTGCACTCCAGCCTGGGTGACAGAGCAAGACTCTGTCTCAAAAAAAAAAACAAAAACAAAACAAAAAACTTTCAACAGTTTTTATATGCTTTGCTCATTATTTTAAATATCTAACATTTTGTTTAATATATGAGAAATATGAAGTTTAATAATAGTTATAGAGAACTGTAGCCTGTAGTGAATATTCAGACACTAGAAAACACCAGTCAAAAGTGATTGGGTAGTATTTGAATTACATAACATTCAGATCTCCTAGCAAAGCTAACAGTACCTCAAAGAATTATATGTCAAACTTGTCAATGTAAGGGCTTACTTTGCTTCCAAAACTTGTCATTTCTTGGAACACCACTCAGTGGATTTGCATAAAGTATATTATGCGTGTAAACTTGTTAATGTTTATTTTACTTGCAAGAGTTCTTCACTGTTAGCAGCATGCAATGCCATGAATACTCACATATAACTCTGCAACAGCCACAATAAGACTAACTGATTAAATGTGACAACTTCTCTCCTATGTTCACCTTCCTTGGTTACTGGAACTTCAGTGTTCTACTCCATGTGTCAATATTATCTGCTCTTGCTTTCAACTTTACATCAGTATATTCCTTTGAACCAGTAATGTCTCCATGTTATTAAGCTTCAATCCTCACAAGAGAATTATAGTACTTTTACTGGTTCTGGTTTTCCCTATTTCTTTTATTATTTATTTATTTATGTGCATGAATAAGTTCTTCAGTGGAGATTTCTGAGATTTTGGCGCACCCACCACTGGAGGAGTGTACGCTGTACCCAGTGTGTAGTCTTATATCCCTCACCCGCCCCCTCTTTCCCCGAGTTCCCAAAGTCCATTGTATCATTCTTAGGCCTTTGTTTCCTCATAGCTTAGCTCCCACTTATGAATGAGAACATATAGTGTCTGGTTTTTCATTCCTGAGTTACTTCACTTAAAATAATGGTCTCCAACTCCATTCAGGTTGCTGTGAATGCCATTATTTTGTTCCCTTTTATTGCTGAGTAGTATTCCGTGGTATATATATTTACCACATTTTCTTTATCCACTTGTTGACTGATGGGCATTTGAGCTAATTCTATATTTTTGCAACTGCAAATTGTGCTGCTATAAACATCAGTGTGCAAGTATCTTTTTCGTATAATGACTTCTTTTTCTCTGGGTAGATACCCAGGAGTTGGACTCCTGGATCAAATGGTGGAGCTACTTTTAGTTCTTCAAGGAATCTCCATACTGTTTTCCATAGTGCTTGTACTAGTTTACATTCCCACCAACAGTGTAAAAGTGTTCCATTTTTACCACATCCACACCACCATCTATTATTTTTTTGATTTTTTGATTATGGCCATTCTTGCAGGAGTAAGGTGGTATTGATTTGCATTTCTCTGGTCATTAGTGATGTTGAGCATTTTTTTGTATGTTTGTTGGCCATTTGTATATCTTCTTTTGAGAATTGTCTGTTTATGTCCTTAGCCCACTTTTTGATGGGATTATTTGTTTTTTTCTTGCTGATTTGCTTGAGTTCCTTGTAAATTTTGGATATTGGTCCTTTGTTGGATGTATAGATTGTGAAGATTGTCTCCCACTCTGTGGGTTGTCACTTTTCTCTGATGATTATCTTTTTTGCTGTGCAGAAGCTTTTTGGTTTAATTAAGTCCCATCTATTTGTCTTTGTTTTGTTGTGTTTGCTTTTGGGTTCTTGGTCATGAAAGCTTTGCCTAAGCTGATGTCTAGAAGGGTTTTTCCAATGTGTCTTCTAGAATTTTTATGGTTTCAGATGTTAGATATAAGTCTTTGATCCATCTTGAGCTTATTTTTGTGTAAGGTGAGAGACAAGGATCCAGTTTCATTCTCCTACATGTGGCTAGTCAATTATCCCGGCACCATTTGTTGAATAAGGTGTCTTTTCTCCTATTTATGTTTTGGTTTGATTTGTTGAAGATCAGTTGGCTGTAAGTATTTGGGTGTATTTCTGGGTTCTCTATTCTGTTCCATTGGCTTATATACCTATTTTTATACCAGTACTATGTTGTTTTGGTGACTATTGCCTTTTAGTATAGTTTGAGGTTGGGTAATGTGATGCCTCCAGGTATGTTCTTTTTGCTTAGTCCTGCTTTGGTTATGTGGGCTCTTTTTTGGTTCCACGTTAATTTTAGGATTTTCTTTTAGTTCTGTGAAGAATGATGGTGGTATTTTGATGGGAATTGTACTGAATTTGTAGATTGCTATTGGCCGTATGGTCATTTTCACAATATTGATTCTACCCATCCATGACCATGGGATATGTTTCCATTTGTTTGTGTTGTCTATGATTTCTTTCAGCAGTGTTTTGTAGTTTTCCTTGTAGAAGTCTTTCACCTCCTTGGTTAGATATATTCCTAAATATTTTATTTTATTTTTTTTGCAGCTATTGTAAAAGGGCTTGAGTTCTTGATTTGATTCTCAGCTTGGAAACTGTTGATGTATAGCAGGGCTACTGATTTGTGTACATTAATTTTGTATCCAGAAACTTTGCTGAATTCATTTACCAGTTCTAGGAGCTTTCTAGATTAGTCTTAAGGTTTTCTAGGTATACAATCATGTCTTCAGCAAACAGTGACAGTTTGACTTCCTCTTTACCAATTTGGATCCCCTTTATTTCTTTCTCTTGTTTGATTGCTCTGGCTAGGACTTCCAATACTATGTTGAATAGAAGTGTTGAGAGTGGGCATCCTTGTCATGTTCCAGTTCTTAGCAGTAATGCTTTCAACATTTTCCTGTTCAGTATAATGTTGGCTGTGGGTTTGTAATAGATGGCTTTCATTACTTTAAGGTATGTCCCTTTTACGCCAATTTTGTTGAGGGTTTCAGTCATAAAGTGATGTTGGAATTTGTCAAATGCTTTTTCTGTGTCTATTGAGATGATCATGTGATTTTTGTTTTTAATTCTGTTTATGTGTTGTGTCACATTTCTTTACTTGTATATGTTAAACCGTCCCCGCATCCCTCGTATGAAACCCACTTGATTGTGGTGGATTATCTTTTTGATATGCTTTTGGATTTGGTTTGCTAGTATTTTGTTACAGATTTTTGTGTCCGTGTTCATCAGGGTTATTGGTCTGTAGTTTTCTTTTTTTGTTACTTCCTTTTCTGGTTTTGGTGTTAGGGTGATAGTGGCTTCATAGAATGATTTATGGAGGATTCCCTCTTTTTCTCTCTTTTGGAATAATGTCAGTAGTATTGGTACCAATTCTTTAAATGTCTGATTGGTCCTGGACTTTTTTTTTGGTAACTTTTAAATTAGCATTTCAATCTCACTGCTTGTTATTGGTCTCTTCAGAGTTTCTACTTCTTGGTTTAATGTAGGAGGGCTGTATATTTCCAGGAATTTATCCATGTCCACTAGGTTTTCTATGTTATGTGCATAAAGGTGTTCATAGTAGCCTTGGATGATCTTTTGTATTTCTGTGGTATCAGTTGTAATATCTCCCATTTCATTTCTAACTTAGCTTATTTGGATCTTCTCTCTTCTTGATTAATCTTGCTAATGGTCTATTAATTTTATTTATCTTTTCAAAGAACCAGCTTTTTGTCTCATTTATCTTTTGTATTTTTTATTTTGTTTTGTTTCCATTTCATTTAGTTCTGCTCTGACCTTGGTTATTTCCTTTCTTCTGCTGGGTTTGGTTTGGTTGCTTCTTGTTTCTCTAGCTCCTTAAGGTATGACCTTAGATTGTCTATTTGTGCTCCTTTAGACTTTTTGATGTAGGTATTTAATGCTATGAACTTTCCTCTTAGCACTGCCTTTGCTGTATCCCAGAGGTTTTGATAGGTTGTGTCACTGTTATCATTCAGTTCAAAGAACTGTTAAATTTCCATCTTGATTTCATTGTTGACACAATGATCATTCAGGAGCAGGTTATTTAATTTCCATGTATTTCCATGGTTTTGAGGGTTCCTTTTGGAGTTGATTTTCCATTTTATTTCACTGTGGTTTGAGAGAGTACTTGCTATAATTTCAGTTTTCTTAAATTTGTTGAGACTTGTTTTGTGGTCTATCATATGGCCTATCTTGGAGAATGTTCCATGTGCTGATGAATAGAATGTATATTTTGCAGTTGTTGCATAGAATGTTCTGTAAATATCTGTTAAGTCCGTTTGTTTTAGGGTATAGTTTAAGGCCATTGTTTATTTGTTGACTTTTTGTCTTAATGGTTTGTCTAGTGCTGTCAGTGGAGTGTTGAAGTTTCCCACTGTTATTGACTTGCTGTCTATCTCATTTCTTAGGTCTAGTAGTAATGGTTTCATAAATTTGGGATCTCCAGTGTTAGGTGCATATATATTTAGGATTGTGATGTTTTCCTGTTGGACTAGTTCTTTTATCAATATATAATGTCCCTTTTTGTGTTTTTAAACTGCTGTTGCAATATAAGAATATATATTGAATATAAGAATATATATTAGTTACTCCTGTTCACTTTTGGTGTCCATTGGCATGGAATATCTTTTTCTACCCCTTCACCTTAAGTTTATGTGAGTCCTTATGTGTCAGGTGAGTCTCTTGAAGACAGCAGATACTTTATTGTTGAATTCTTATCCATTCTGCAATTCTGTATCTTTTAAGTGGAACATTTAGGCCACTTACATTCAATGTTAGTATCGAGATGTGAGGTACTATTTTATTCATCATGCTATTTGTTGCCTGAATACCTGGGTTTTTTTTTCAATTGTATTATTGTTTTATAGGTTCTGTGAGATTTATGCTTTAAGGAGATTCTATTTTGGTGTATTTAGAGGATTTGTTTCAAGATTTAGAGCTCCTTTTAGCACTTCTTTTAGTGCTGGCTTGGTAGTGGTGAATTCTCTCAGTGTTTGTTTTTCTGAAAGAGACTGTATCTTTCCTTCATTTATGAAGCTTACTTTTGCTGGATGCAAAATTCTTGGCTGTTAATTGTTTTGATTAAGGAGGCTAAAGATAGAACCCCAGTCTCTTCTAGCTTATAGGGTTTCTGCTGAGAAATCTATGTTAATCTGATAGGTTTTCCTTTATAGATTACCTGATGCTTTTGCCTCACAGCTCTTAAGATTCTTTTCTTTGTCTTGACTTTAGATAAACTGAGGACTGTGTACCTACGTGATGATCTTTTTGCGATGAATTTCCCAGGTGTTCTTTGAGCTTCCTGTATTTAGATGTCTAGATCTCTAGAAAGGCTGGGGAAATTTTTCTCAATTTTTCTATCTAATATGTTTTCCAAACTTTTAGATTTCTCTTCTTCCTTGGGAACACCAATTATTCGTAGGTTTGGTTAACATAATCCCAAAATTATTGGAGGCTTTGTTCCTTTTTAAAAATTCTTTTCTCTCTGTCTTTGTTGGATTGGGTTAATTCAAAAACCTTGTCTTGGCCGGGAGTGGTGGCTCCCACCTGTAATCCCAGCACTTTGGGAGGCCGAGATGGGTGGATCATGAGGTCAGGAGATCGAGGCCATCCTGGCTAACACAGTGAAACCCCGTCTCTACTAAAGATACAAAAAAATTAGCTGGGCGCGGTGGTGGGCACCTGTAGTCCCAGCTACTCGGGAGGCTGAGGCAGGAGAATGGCGTGAACCCAGGAGGCGGAGCTTGCACATGAGCCGAGATCGCACCACTGCACACCATCCTGGGCGACAGAGCGAGACTCCGTCTCAAAACAAAACAAAACAAAACAAACAAACAAAAAACTTGTCTTTGAGCTCTGAAGTTTTTTTTTTCTACTTGTTCAATTCTGTTGCTGATTCTTTCCGGTGCATTTTGCATTTCTCTAAGCGTGTCCTTCATTTTCAGAAGTTTTTGACTGTTTTTTATTTATGCTATTTATTTCATTGGAGATTTTTCCATTCATATCCTGTATCTTTTTTTTATTTCTTTTAGTTGGACATCACCTTTCTCTGGTGCCTCCTTAATTACCTTAATAATTGACCTTCTGAATTCTTTTTCTGACAATTCAGAGATTTCTTCTTGGTTTGGATCCATTGCTGGTGAGCTAGTGTGAACTTTTGGGGGTGTTAAAGAACTTTGTTTTGCCATATTACCAGGATTGTTTTTCTGGGTAAGCTACGTCAGAGGGAGGATCTGGGACACTAAGGGGCTGCTGTTCAGATTTTTTTGTACCACAGGGTGCTCCCTTGATGTGGTGCTCTCCCCCTTCCCCTAGTGATGGGGATTCCTGAGAGCCAAACTGCAGTGAGGGTTATTTCTCTTCTGAATCTAGTCTCCTAGCAGAGCTACCAGGCTCTGGGCTGGTACTGGGGAGTGTCTACGAAGAGTCCTGTGATGTGATCTGTTTTCAAGTCTCTCAGCTGTGAATACCAGCACCTGCTCTTGTGGGTGTAGCAGGGGAGCAAAGCGGACTCTATGGGGGTCCTTGGTTGTATTTTTAAGTGCCCTGGTTTTGTGTTGGTTGCCCTCCAAAAACCAGGAGGTGGCACTTTCAAGAGCGCATCAGCTCCAGTAGTATAGGTAGGATACAAGCTTGCCCTAGGGTCTGGGAGTGGGTGGGGCCATAGCGCTCCTAAGAGATTGTCCTTTTTTTTAGCTACCAGTGTGGGTAGAGAAACACCACCAGGTTGGGGCAGATATAGGCGTGTATGAGCTCAGACTCCTTGTGCGTGGCTTGCTGTGGCTGCTATGGGGGAAAGGAGTTTGGTTCCCAGGCCAATGGAGTTATGTTCCCAGGGGGATTATGGCTGCCTCTGCTGCTCACACAGGTTGCCAGGGAAGTGGAGGAAAGCTGGCAGCCACAGGCCTCACCCAGCTCCCCCGCAACTCACAGCCTGAAAGGCCAGTCTCACTCACACTGTGCCCTCCCAATAGAACCGAGTTTATTTTCAGGCAGCCGTTGAGCAGAGTGGAGAACTTGCCTCAGGCTACAAGCCTCCCAGCTGAGAAAGCGAGTAGACTTACAGTTCCTCTGCTGTCCCACACAGCCTGCGGTGCCAATCCACCTTCTTCAAAGGGTCTGTGCATTCTCTTGGCTTTCCTGATATGTTCCTATGGTAGTTCTTGGAGCAAAAGTTCACAGTGTGAGTCTCCACATGCTGCTCTGTACATCCGAGTGGGAGCTGCAAGTTAGTCCTACCTCCTATCCGCCATTTTTTCTCCTGTTTTTCTCTATTTCTTGACTGATTTTTCTTGGGATTTGGAAAAACATACATTTTCTGAGAAATGCTGGAAACTAATTATTACATGGAAATGTTAATCCCCAGTGCCTAGCATAGTAAATATTCAATCCAATATTTTGAAATATTTTCTTAAGTGAATGCATATTTATAGCCCTAAAGCTTCTAACATAGTATCTGGTATACAGAGATTCTTAAGATACCTTAACGTTTGAATGTATGGTTCTTTTGAATCAAAGTGACACAATAAAATAGGGCATCAGAGCTTAGATTTGGTAATTAATACCATAAGTGTCAGGTTAGCTTACATTATTTTGGTCACTTGGAAGCATGTACCCTTTATTCAGCTAAAATCTTATGAGAAAACCCGTAAGGTGAAGGAAACTTACCAAAGACTTCTTTTATAGCACTCTATACATGTTTCTATTGTGTTTGTACCTTTGACCATTAATTAATTACTTCTACCATTATTTGCTTGATGTGTTTATTTTTAGCTAGACTGAGCTTTCTGAGAGCAGGGACTGTTTCTATCATATTACAGGTGTGATACCAGAAAGTGCTAGTCAACCACAGGCATGCATGTAATAGATAGCTTAATAAGTATTTATTGTATGCATAAATGAATGAAGATATCAATCCGAATGAAGCAGAACACCTCAAAATGTGACTCTGCTTTACCCTAAATCTCTGAAGGGTTCTGAATAGCATAGTTTGAAAACCACCACAGTATTCTTTGATACATACTGCATAGTTAATTTTGTCACATAGTTTTGCAAAAGGCTTTTTGTTCCTGTGACTGGTAGTGAAGTATTACCCCAGTGTGAAACATATGCCCATTAGCTTGTCTGGGTTACCAACATCATCTTTCATTATAAGAGATAGTACATTATTAAAATTGTTATTACCAATATTACTTGCTTCTTTGTGACACCTTTAGAAAAAAAATTTCACTCCTTCCAGTTTACTAAATAATATTTTTCCTCAAATAACCTCAAGGATATCATAATGTAATGTTCTAAATTTTCAAGGTTAAAAGCAATTTCTTATTTAGATTTTTAGTATCTCCTCCTTCATTAGTAGGAGTAGATCCATGAAATGGAACAGTAGACATATTAATACTTGTAATGCTTTAATAAGTATTAATACTTATGTCCTAGTTTTATCATGATGATCAGGTGGGGGTAGGGCAAGGCCAGAAAACTTAATTAGGAAGAGTTGAACTGGAGGGAATGAGGGAGTATGAGGCAGAAAATGGCATCTAAACTTCTGAATAAAAATGTTAATAATTCTCTGAACATGTTCTGGTTAGGAGTTTTCTTAAATTGTTTTAAATATTCCTGCCACAGGAAACCTAACCAACATAGTGATTTTCTGCATTTTGATGATTTTCAGGGTTTCAAGTGGTCTAAATAAAACAATAGCAACAACTCAGTTTAGCTCTAGCACTGAGTTTCTAGAGCTTGGAAATATGGTGGTGGAGAGCAGCTACTCATTCAGAATCTGTGGTCATTTTCATGTTATGGAGATCTAAAACTTATGCTTAGAATTGAAAACATAGATGTCCCCCATTAGTGCAGATTTTTATGGTAAGTCAAACAAAAAATAGGAAGAGCATGTTATTGAATTTCTCTTGTACCTTTCATTTTCATGATATGAATTCTTTGATTTTTATCATATTCTTCTGATTTCTTCTAGTTGTGAGAAACTTGAGTTAGGATTTATATTTGTGGCTGATTTAGAGTATACTGAACTAGCTGAGAAGAATTTTCCCTTATGTCTTTGTCAAAAGCAAAATACTATCACTCTTAAACTTGACATTAACATAGTCTTCACTAAAAAAGAGCAATCAAGCAAATTTAATCTTTTCATACAAAATTAACTCTATCCCTTGAGTCACTTAACATAATTGGGGTATTTCTGCTTGGGATTATAAAATGCATCTAACTAGTTTGTAGGGATAAAAATGGAAGACAAAAATAGCTATCATATATTTGTAGAAACCTAGAATTATTGATGTGTTTTGTGCATTGGAAATTGGTTTAGAAGATAGAGAATTTGGGTTACTTTGAAGCTGTATGTATAAAATGAAGGCTATAGCAAGAGGATGGAAGTTTCAAGTTACTAAGAGATTAAATTTAAGAGAAAAGAGTTTATAAAAATAAATAACTAATAACTAAATAATAAATAAGGTCAGCTAGGCTTTGTGGCCTGCTTCAGGGAAGAAAGGGGAGAGTAGGTGAGAGAGAGAGAGAGAGAGAGAGAGAGAGAGAGAGAGACTTTCTTGCTTCTGCTGTTTTCTCAAATGCGAAGATACCATATTTTGGGATAACATGTTTTGAATCACATCAATTTCAAGAAAAGGAAAGATTAATATAACTGAAATGACTGAAAATTCTTAGATCATAAGGAATAAACATAAAACAATTGTATTTTTCCAATTTCTGTTACCACTGTTATCTAATGAAATCTCCATTCCTGCTGAATAACATGCTCCCTAATGACATCTAAATCCAATTCTATAATTTTTCACTTTCTGTTATTAAAACAGTCACATTCCAGCTATTAAGACTTAGTTTTTGTCATTTTGTTTAAATAAACCCACAGAGAGGTATGTAAATCATAAGTTTACAGCACAATGTATTTTCACGAAGTCATTACATCTATGTATCCAGAATCCAAATTAAGAAATAGAATATTGCTAGCATCTCAGAAACCCCAGTTGTGCCCTGTTCTAGTTACTATCCCCCAGAAGGGTAATTACTGTCCTGTTTTCGTTTTTCAACTTGTTCAGATGGAATCATTCAGTATGTGTTATTTTCTATATGACTTCTTTTGTTCAATTTTATGTTTGTAAGACACATTTTTGTGTGGAGAGTAATAATAGTTTTGTTGCTTTTCATTGCTGTGTAGTATTCTTTGTGAATGTACTACAGTTTATTCTTTCTACTATTGATGGACAGTTTTGCACTATTATGAACAGTGCTGTACATGCTTGTACATGTTTTTTAGTGAACATAGGTAAGAATTTCTGAATTGCTGGTCACAGAGTATGCAAATTTGAAGGTTTAATAAGTACTACTAAGTAACTTTCCAGTGTTTGCACCAATTTATATTTTACTAGCAGGGTATGAGAATTCATATCCCCAGCAACATTTGGTTTCATCTGTCTTTGATTTCAGTCATTCTGGTGGATATGTAGTGGTGTCTCACTGTGATAGTAATTTGCATTTTTCCTGACAACTAAGGAAGTTGAACAACTATGTGTATATGTGTATATACATATATGTATACACACACACATATATATATTTGGTATTTGAATATTCTTTTTGAAATATCTGTCCAAATATTTGCTTATTTGTTTTTTTCAACTGTTATTTTAGATTCAGGGAATACATATGCAGATATATTGCATGATTCTGAGGTTTGGGATATGAATGAATCCATCATCCAGGTAGTGAGCATAGCACCTAATAGGTAGTTTGTCAACCCTTGTCTCACTTCATCCTTTCCCCCTCTTTATTTCCCAGTATCTATTATTCCCATCTTTATGTGCATGTATACCCAGTGTTTAGCTCCACTTACAAGTGAGAACATGTGTTATTTGGTTTTCTGTTTCTGTGTTAGTTTGCTTATGATAGTGGCTTCCAGCTGCATCCAAATTGTTGCAAAGGACATGATTTTGTTCTTTTTATGGCTGTGTAGTATTCCATGGTGTATTGTACCACATTTTTTTTTTAAATGCAATCCACCATTGACGTTGCTCATTTTTTATTGGGCTGTGTGCCTTTAAATTTTTTTCTTCTAGAAATTTTATTGTTTTGCCCTTTAATATTTAGGCTTGTAATCTGTCTAGAATTTATTTTTATATATGGCTCAGGGTATGGGTTGAGATTCATTTCTTGTATATAGATATGAAATTGACTCAGCGTCATTTAATAAGAAGTGCCTCACTTCCATGTCATCCTTGTCATAAATCAAGGGACTATATAGATTAGGGTCTGTTTCTGGGTTCTATTCAGTTCCATAGATCTATTTATGTATCCCTGTGCCAGTTGTTCTTTTACATTATCGTGATATATGGTACTTTAAGTCTTCCAGCTTTGTTGGTCCTGTCCACTTGAAAACTTCATCTCATATTTCATTTAATGCTTTTTCTCTTTGCAAAAGCAACTTGGTATGGTAGAGAATGGTAGGGAATACATGGTCTGTTCTTTCTCTCTATTTCCTCCCCTTCCTGTTCCCTCTGTCCCTGGCCCCCATTCTTCCACTTTGCAGGGAGGAGGGACAAGGAGGAAACTGAAAACTGATGCCTCATACACTGTGACTGCCCACAGTATTTTTGACCCTTTTCTCTTCAGCATTACTCCAAAGCAGGTTTGTCAATAGCCTCCCACAAATAGATGCTATCACACCATGCAGTCAGCCTCAGGCTCTCTTCCTCTCCTGCTTGTTTACCTCCTGCTGCACTGATTGATGGCCAGACTGTGGCTCTCAGTCTCATTCACCATTTGCTGCCCCAATTCAGGCTTCCCTGGGTCTGGGCAGGACCCATGTTCCATACATTCTAGAAACTGTTCTTTTTCACCAGGAACAATTTGTCATTTCAGTCTAATGTTTCCCTGTCCCTCTTCCTCTACTCCCACTCTGCCTTAAGCTTTGGGGTAGGTCAAGCAAAGGGAAAGTTCAACCATGGACTGAATTTGTCGGTTATTCCTTCATGCAGCAACTGTAGGGGCAGAAGGGTGTGATACCTTTCCTAACCCATCTTAAGGGTCAGGGTCAACACTCCTACAACTAAAGATAGGTTAACAAGAAAAAAGAATAACAGATTTATTTAATCAAAGTTTTATATGTCACAGGAGCATTCAGAAGTAAAGACCCAAGGGAAAACTGTTCATTTTTATTTTTAGGTTTGATGAGAATGGACGGCCACATAGGAATGTGATTAGACAAAAAGGGAATGACTTAATGGTAATAGACTGAGTGGGGAAACCCAGCAAGGCCTGTCAGTTGAGGTTCTTCTTGACCTCTCTGTGAGGCATTTGTTCCTTCTGGGTGTAGGGCAGGACTCCTTCTAGAATGAGGGTCTTATGACCTACTATCAGACAGTAGGTTAGAGAATTTCTTGATGGCCAGGTTGTACACAGAAAGGTCGGAGAAGGTTAGAGTAATATTTCTAGTTTATATGACTTGCCTTGGGGAAGAGGAATTCTATTTTTTATGGCCTGCCTTGGGGAAGAAAGGGGAGCAGGAGAAAGAAGCTCAGAAGGACAGAAGGATTTCCAACCAAGTATGGTGGCATGCACCTGTTGTCCCAGCTACTCAGGAGGATGAGGTGGGAGGATCATTTGAACCTAGGAGTTTGAGAATGCAGTGAGCCATGATTGCCATTGCACTGTGTACTGGGTGACATGATGAGACCCTGTCTCAAAGAAAAAAAAAAAAGAAAGAAAAAAGAGAGAGACCTTGCTTCTGAGGCCCTGCCACTGTCCTTCAGTTCAAAGTACTTAGCGTGCCAAAACATCATAATTTAGGGTGTTGCTTTCTGAGGCCCAGCAACACACTTCAAGTTTTTCTTGGTTCTTCTTTCTGTGAACTTTGGGAAGGAAACCCAGTTGAGTGTTTTTTTCTTCTACACCTATGGGAGGGGAGGAGAACAGATAACCTGTCTACACAAAGACTGCATTCCGCAAAATGTGACCACATCATAGTTCTAATCCTTTTTTCATATCTCTCAAAAGATTTCTCATATCTTTATATCTCCTAAAGACTGCTTGCAACTCTGGGGTGGATGAATCATATTCCAGTATATAGGACTTTAGTGGTCATGGCACTATGTTTGTAAATTCTGTGCCTTTTGGTAACCTGAAGGCAGCAAAATATCACAGTATCTCATATAATCTTTTTAAATATTCAAGAAACTATGGTGAGCAATGAAATTAGTAAACCTAAGTCGCTATTGAAAACATGGTTGTCAAATACAACATAATTATTAAAGTATTTCTGAAATAAAAGAGGAAATAGTAACACTATAGCATTAAAATTCTACCTTGTTTTATCAAAAATCCTTGGGTTAAAAGTGGGAAAAGATGCAAGTTATGTTTTGTTAAAGATGGACATAGTTACAATGTAATTATTGATGTCAGTAAGAAATGTAGGTTTAATATATTTGCAAAAAGTAAAGGACTATTAGGAATAAAATGTTAAGGAAAAATAGCTAGAAAGGAATAAAGAAATGAAGAACGCTTGATCAAGAAAACAGAGAAGAGAGAAGAGGAGGGAAAAGAATAGGAAAGGAGAATAAAAACATTACATACAATTTAGCAGCAGGAATAATAACAAATGTTAGTGAATTAAAAGGCAAAGCTGCTCAGATTATAAAACAAAAAAGCAAACTGTAGCTATAGGCCATTTTCAAGAGATAAAGCCAAGATAAAATGACAGAAATAGAAGGAAAATAAATGGATAGGCAAAACTCTACTAGTTAAGTTAAACAAAAGGAGAGCAGATGTAGTAATATTAATAACAAGGCATAATTCAAGGTAAAGAGCAATATATGGAACAAAGTCAATTTTTTAAAATAATAATAAAACATTTAATTCATAAAGATGATGTGCCATTCTTTTGCTTAACTGAAAAACTTAAAGAGACCAATATTGTTCTGAAATTGAGGCAGTAATAAATAGCCACCAACCAAAACCCAGGACCACACAGTTTCACATCTGAATTCTACCAGAGATACAAAGAAGAGTTGGTGTTATTCCTATTGAAACTATTCCAAAAAAATCGAAAAGGAAGTACTCCTCCCTACCTCGTTCTATGAGGCCAGCAACATTGTGATACCAAAACCTGGCAGAGATACAACAAAAAAAGAAAACTTCAGGCCAATATCCTTGATGAGCATCACTGCAAAAATTCTCAACAAATTACCAGAAAACTGAATCCAGCAGCACATCAAAAAGCTTATCTACCACGATCAACTCAGCTTCATCCCTGGGATGCAAGGCTGGTTCAACATAAACACATCAATAAACTAAGTCATTACATAATCAGAAGTAAAGAAACCACATGATTATCTCAATAGATGTAGAAAAGGCCTTTGCTAAAATTCAGCATCCCTTCATATTACAAACTCTCAGTAAACTAGGTATTGAAAGAACATACCTCAAAATAATAAGAGCCATATAAGACAAACCCACAGCCAATATTATACTGAGTGAGCAAAAGCTGGAAGAATTCCCCTTGGAAACCAGCACAAGACAAAGATGCTCTCTCTCACCACTCCTATTCAAGTATTGGAAGTTCTGGCCAGGGCAATCCGGCAAAAGAAAGAAATAAAGGTATTCAAATAGGAAGAGAGGAAGTCAATCTATCTTTGTTTGCAGATAACGTGATCCTATATGTAGAAAACCCCACATCTCAGCCCAAAAGCTTCTTAAGCTGATAAGTAACTTCAGCAGTCTCAGGATGCAAAATCATTGTGCAAAAATAGTTAGCATTCCTATACAGCAATAAGAGGCAAGCCGAGAGCCAAATTATGAATGAACTCACATTCACAATTGCCACAAAAAGAATAAAATACCTAGGAATACAGCTAACAAGGGAAGTGAAGGACCTCTTTAAAAAGAACTACAAACCCCTGCTCAAAGAAACCAGAGATGACACAAACAAATGGAAAAACATTTCATGCTCATGGAAAGGAAGAATTAATATGAAAATGGCCATACTGCCCAAAGCAGTTTATAGATTCAATGCCATTCCTATTAAACTACCATTGACATTCTTCATAGAATTAGAAAAAACTATTTTAAAATTCACAAGGAACCAAAAAAGAGCCCAAATAGCAAAGAGAATCCTAAGCAAAAAGAACAAAGCTGGAGGCATCATGCTACCTGACATCAAACTGTACTATAAGACTATAGTAACCAAAACAGCATGGTACTGGTACCAAAACAGACACACAGGCCAATGGAACAGAATAGAGAACCCAGAAATAACATCATACACCTACAACCATCTGGTCTTTGACAGACTTGACAAAAGCAATGGGGGAAGGATTCCCTATTTAATAAATGGTGCTGGGAGAACTGGCTAGCTATATGCAGAAAATTGAAACTGGACCCCTTCCTTATACTTTATACAAAAATCAACTCAAGATATATTAAAGACTTAAATGTAGAGCCTAAAACTAGAAAAACCCTGGAAGAAAACCTAGGCAATATCATTCAGGACATAGGCATGGACAAAGACTTCATGATGAAAATTCCAAAAGCAATAGCCACAAAAGCAAAAATTGACAAATAGGATCGAGTTAAACAGCTTCTGCACAGCAAAAGAAACTATCATCAGAGTGAACAGACAACCTTCAAAATGGGAGAAAATTCTTGCAATCTACTCTCTGACAAACACCTAATATCCAGCATCTAAAAGGAACTTAAAACAAATTTACAAGAAAAAAACAACCCCATTAAGAAGTGGGCAAAGGACATGAACAGACACTTTTCAAAATAAGACATACATGTGGCCAAGAAACTTTTAAAAAGCTCAACATCACCTATCATTAGAGAAATGCAAATCTAAACGACATGAGATACCATCTCACACCAGTAAGAATGACTGTTATTAAAAAGTTAAAAAACAACAGATGCGAGGTTGTGGAGAAAAAGGAATGCTTTTACACTGCTGGTGGGGGTGTAAATTAGTTCAACATTGTGGAAGACAGTGTGGCGATTTCTCAAAGACCTAGAGACAGAAATACCATTCAACCCAGCAATCCTATTACTGGGTATATACCTAAAGGAATATATATTATTCTGTTATAAAGATACATGCACATGTATGTTCATTGCAGCATCATTCACAAAACAAAGACATGGAATCAACCTAAATGCCCATCAATGATAGACTAGATAAAGAAAATATGGTACATATACACTGTGGAATACTATGCAGCCATAAAAAGGAAAAAAATCATGTCCTTTGCAGGGACATGGATGGATCTGGAAGCCATTATCCTCAGCAAACTAATGCAGGAATAGAAAATCAAATACCACATGTTCTCACTTATAAGTGGGAGGCAAATGATGAGAACCCATGGACACACGGAGTGGACAGCACATACAGGGCCTGTTGGAGGGTTGGGGGTGAGAGGAGGGAGAGCATCAAGAAGAATAGCTAATGGATGCTGGGCTTAATAGCCAGGTGATGGGATGATCTGTGCAGCTAGCCCCACCTAGGCTAACCAAGGAGAGAAAAATAATACAGAACATTAGGAATTACAATGGTAATAGAGCTGTAAATATAGAAGATAACAACAGATTTAAAAATATGTGTGATTTCTAGTCAACAAATTAGAAAACCTAAATGGAAATAACTTATCTCCTAGAAAAACATAAATGACAGAAATGATGTAGGAACACATTTCCCTGTGTAACAAGCCTGCACGTTATGCATATCTACCCTTGAACCTAAAAGTTGGAAAAAAGCCTTAATACAAACAAACAAACTGAAGAAACTACAGCAACAAAACACATGAAGCAAACTTAGAAATACAAAGAAAATTTGGTAATAATTCAATCACAGTGATATACTGTGTATGGTAACATTTCCAAAAATTTGCGAATGAAGTAGACGAACTAAATAGTTATTGATGGTTTGAATTATGCAATTAATAAGCTTGAAAAGTACACATCTCTCCCTAAAAAATAGAATATACTTTTCAATGCTCATGCATTAACAAAAATTATTCAATGATGCTTGTTAAAGCAAGGTAAGGAAGACAATATTCAGGACTATCACAGGTATAGGGACCACTGCAATGGGATTTTGCAGTGGGGGAGAGAGATTGGGGTCAGTGCCAAATATAGCATGGGCAAGTGGAAATTCATAGCCGGGGAACAGGGCAGGGGTCAGTGGATGGAAAATTACCAAGAGGAAACATGGGTAAGAGGGTTTTTGGCTAAACCAACTTCGAAAAGTCTAGCTGAAGACAGGCCATGGTGACCAGGTATCACCTGAGGGATGGTGGAGGATGAGGAATCTGATAAGATCTCAAGGGTGGAGGTTCTTGCTAAACTGACTGAGCAGAGCTCTTGCTATTTTACAAGGAAGTACACAGATGGGCCTAGGAGAAGTTTTAGGAGGCCAGCTAAAATTTGGTTAATCAAAGAACTTTTGTCACATGTAACATAACAAAAACTACATACTAGTTTTCAAAAAAATTCTAAATAAATTATTAGAAGTTGAAGAATTCTTTTCTGACTATAATGTGGTAACACTAGAAATAGAGCAAGACATATAATGATTCTAAGCATTGATAAATTTAAAAAACAACTATAATTTTCAGAGTAAAAAGGACACAAAAACTGAATTACAGGCTGTGTATATAATAATTGAAATGAAAAATAACTCGTCAAAACCTAAGTCATGTGGGCAAAACCTCCGTAGAAATGTCACAGCCTATAATGCTTTTACCTTTGAATAAGAAAGAATAAAATTAAATGAGTGAAGCATTCAACTCAAATGTGAAATAGGTAACTGAATTCTTATAGTTAAGAACAGAGAGTAGTTAATTAAAAAGTAAATAAACAATGAATAAATAACATATCCAATAGACATTTGATAAAAATAAAGCTAACTAAATCTCTGAATATGCTGATAAACTAGCCCCACCTAGACTAACCAAGGAGAGAAAAATAATACAGAACACTGGGAATTACAATGGTGATAGAACTGTAAATATGGACAATAACAACCGATTTAAAAATATGTATGATTTCTAGTCAATAAATTAGAAAGCCTAAATGGAAAGAACTTATTTCCTAGAGAAATGTAAATGACAGAATTAATGTAAGAAAAAGTCGACTATATTAGTAAGTCAGTAACCATAGAAGACACTGGAATTTTATTAAGGGTTTACTCCACAAAAGTGCCAATCCTAGATGATTTTACATTTGCTCTTTCAAATATTCAATTAACATAATCAATTTCTATGTTGGTTGAATTATTCTGGAAACTAGAAAAAAGGCCCCAAACTCTTCAGTTTATGTAACCTGCTTCCAAAACTGAAATAAAAAAGACAAGAAAACCAGAGACAATTTACATGTGAATGTGAATGCAAAATCCTGTTACAAAGAGCAAATCAAATTCAGGATTATATTAAAAAAATACACCATAAGTAGATAAATTTACTTCCAGTAGTGTAGAGATGCTTCTCATCCGACATTAAATATGTTAATGTATTAAAAGGGAAAAGCTGTATGACCATCGTGAAAGATATCCTAAATAAATTTAACAAACCACAAGAGCCATTCTAGATAAAAACTTTTCCTACAGAAAGGATGATTATTATGTGTCAGGCATTGTGCTAGCACTTTACATCTAATTTAATCTTTACAGTAACCCTATGAGCTAGCTATTACTGGTATATTCATTTTATAGATGAGAGAACTGAGGCACGGAGTAGTTAGGTAATTTTCCCAAGGTGGTGCAGTTAGGGAGGGGATCAGCATTTTAGTCCAGACAGTTTGAATCCTGAGTCCGTGCTTTTATCCATTATGCTATTCCACCTTTTTGTTCTTTACTGAGGGAATAAAAGTTTCCTTAATATGCTGAAAAGGTATCCATGAGAATCCAGTAGCAAGCATCATACTAAATGGTGGTGCCCTACCAGGCATGCCGTTAAATTCATCAACAAGACAAAGATTATCTTCTTATTATTTTAGTGGTTCTAGCCAATGCAGTTTGTGTAAGGAGAAAAAATGGAATGAATATTATAAAGGAAGAGATACATGATTATTATACCTAAAAATAATAGAGAACCTCTTCTGCAAACTTATCCAAATTAATAAATGGCAATTCCAATTTTCTAGTTGCTCATGACAGAAATCTCGCAGTCCTTCCTGTTTCTTTTCTTTGCACGTCACAATTTGTCAGCAAATTCTGTTTCCTTTACCTTTAAATGCATAATCCAAGCATTTTTTCCCTCTACATGATGCTACCCCTTTGCTCTAAGCCGTCATCATCTTTTCCTGCATTACTATAGTAATTTCCTAACTGATCTCCTTGCTTCTACCCTTTCCCCTTCAGACTATTCTTAGCAGAGCAGCAGAATACAAGTCAGATCATGTCATTTCTCCATTCAAAACTCTCCGATGGCTTTCCATATCAGTCAAGGCCAAAGTCAGAATGGCCACAAGGCTCTATATGATCCAGCCACACATCTCTGACCCACTTTTCTGTGCTCTCTTCCTTGCTTACCCTATTCCAGCCACACTGCTGTCCTGGCTGTTCCTCAGCATTAAGCCCATTTCTTCCTAAAATGTTCTTCCAAAGTTGCCCTATTATCCCAGAGGCTTCCTCGACTATGCTGCATAAAACAGCACTCTGTTCCTCTTGCCTTTCTTGATACCACTTCTTGCTTCATATATTTATATATTCATTTGTATATTGTTTGTCTAACTAAATCAGAATGTAAAGACCATGAGGGCAGGAATTTTTGTCTTTTTTCTGTACAGCCTTCTCCAACTGCTGTGTTGTCAGTGACTAGAACAATGAGAACAGTGCCTGTATATAGTGGATACTCAATAGCTATTTTTTGAATGAGTGAATGAATTTGAAAAACACAGTGTTCTAACTAGCAGCAGTAATTAAAAGACATGAAAAATAAGACTTCATGTGGAATAGTAATAAAGAACTAAATTACTTAGGAATTAAAATAACAAGGCAATAGATAATGATTAAAGGCATGCTGTGGTTTGAATCCCTGCTTCACCTGGTAGGGGCCATGTGACCTGAACCAAGGTACTTCACTACTCTGTACCTTAGTTATTTAATCTGAAAAGTGTAGTAATTATAGTACTCATTTGATAGCGTTGCTATGAGGATTTATTGAGTTAATATTTAGAAAACATTTAGAATGATATCTGGCACATAGTATTCACTATGTAAGTATGTTAAAGAAAATAATTTTAAAATATTTTTAAGAGTTCTATAAAGAAAATATAAAAAGGTTAGACCAATTAAATAACATTTAATAAGTACCTTCTGTGGATTGCGTAGTATATTTAATACTTATATTTTTTCTTTAATCTTCTCACAATACAGTGAGGTTATTACTGTGATTATCCTTGGGTTTTACCTATGGGGAAACTCAGGTCTAATGAAGTGAAGTACCTTGCCTAAGACTGTTACCAAAGCTGTAGAGATGGAAATCAGATTCAGCTGGAAAAATACAGAATTGCAAAGATCTCATTTCTTCCTACTTTTTCTATAAGTTTAATGCAATTACAGCCAAAACTTTTTTTTAAATTTGACAATTTGACTATACTTATTATTTTTTATTTTAAAGATGAGGTATTGCTGTATTGCCCAGGCTGGACTGAAACTCCTACGCTCAAGTGATCCTCCTGCCTCAGCCCCCTGAGGAACTGGGACTATAGGCACATGCTACTGTGCCTGGTCTGACTATACCATCTATTATACAGATGAATAAACCCATGATAAAAACAGTTAAGAATATATATATCAGAAGAGATCTATTTTTAGCTATTAAAATATGCTATAAAGCTATAGAAATTAAATAATGTAATATTAGTCTTTGGAGAAGATAGATGAATGTAACAAAACAGTCAAAATACAGATTTGAAATACAGGTACAGAAAAATAATATATGAGAAAGGAAGCATTTCACTGGGGTAATTAGATGGCAATTAATTATTTTAAAGTGGTATTGAATTAGTTTATTCCATTGGGAAATACCTCATATCATATACCCATAATAGAGAGAAATTAAAAAATTTCATCAAAAAAAGAAATAGGAAGAAATACTAGAGAATATTGTTATCATCTTGTAATCAGGAAGACCTTTCTTTCAATGGTACCAAGGCTAGAAACAATAAATTTAAAGAAAGATAGAATGATTTAGTAAACATTATGGCCAGGCAAAGTACACCATAAGTTCGGCTGAAAGATGAAATAAGGGAAATATTTTCAACATTAGAAAGGGTTAATATCTATAAATATAAAATGGCTTCTTCAAATCAGTAAGAATGATGAAAATCAGTAAAAATAATGAAAAACTCAATACAAAAACTGGGCAAAGAATATAAACAAGCTACTCATAGAAAAAATGAAATTGGTCATGAAACATAAAAGGTCTAGGAATGCTTATACACCATTGGTGGGAATATAAGTTAGTATAACCTCTTTGGAAAACTTCATGGAAATATCTCAAAGAATTACCATTTAATCCAGGAATCCCACGACTGGGTATCTATCCAAATGAAAATAAATAATTGTAGCAAAAAGATACTTGCACTTGTATGTTTATTGCACTATTGACAATAGCAAAGATATGGAATCAATCTAAGTGTCCATCAACAGATGATTGGATGAAGAAAATGTGATATGCACATACACAATGGGATACTATACAGCTGTAAAAGAGAATGAAATAATGTCTTTGGCAACTTGGATGGAGCTGGAGGCCATTATCTTAAGTGAAAGAACTTAGAAAGTCAAATACCACATGTTCTCACTTATAAATGGGAGCTAAATAATATGTACACATGGACATAGAGGATGGAATGATAGACATTGGAGGCTAGGAAAGGTGGGAGGGTTGGGGTTGGGCGGTGAGGGATTAAAAGTTACTTAAAAGGTACAATGTAATTATTTGGGTGATGATTACACTAAAAGCCCAGAATTCACCACTATGCAATGTATCCCTGTAACAAAACTGCACTTGGACCCCTTATATTTATACAAGTAAAAATGTCTCCACTTTATTATAATCAAAGGTAAATAAAAACAATGAGACTGAAGTATAATGTAGTGGTTAATGTCATTGGCTCTGGAATCAGGCAGCCTGGTTCCAAATCTTGCCTGCAATGTGAACTAGCTGTGTGATCTTTGATAAATTACTTTTCTGCTCTTCAGTTCTTCATTTAAAAATCCAGGGGTTATAAAAGCCCCCGTCTCACATGGTTGTTATGAAGATTAACTTAGGTAATCAATACAAAGCATTTTGCATAGTTTCTAGTATGTAGCAAGTCCGCAGTCAATGTTTTGTTCATGCTCTCTTTCTCATGCTACCTTAAATTCCCAAGTATTTGGAAAGGTCTGAACGTCTCATATTTCGGGTGTGTTAATTACAATAAGCACACCTGTATTAGTTTCCCATTGCTGCTGTAGCAAGTTACCACAAATGTAGTGGCTTAGAATAACACAAATCTGTTATCCTATAGTCCTGGAGGTCTGTGGTTCTCACTGGGCTAAAATCAAGGTGTGGGCAGGGCTGCATTCTTTCCTGAAGGCTCTAGGAAAATCTGTTTTCTTGCCTTTTCCAGCTACTAGAGGCTGCTTACGTTTCTAGGTTCATGACCCTCTTCCATCTTTAGAGCCAACAATGGCCAGTTGAGTCTTTTTGACTGTGCCGTCTTTTTGATTCTGACTCTTCCATTTCCCTCTTCTCCACTTGTAATTACATGGGGCCCACCTGGGTAATCCGGGATAAAGCCAGCTGATTAGCAATGTAAGTCTATCTGCAACCTTAATTCTCCCTTGCTGTGTAATACAAAATATGCACACGTTCCAGAGATTAAGACGTATACATCTTGGGGGTACCATTATTTTTTCCTACCATAGTACCCTGGAATTATTGTTACCTATGAAGAGAATGTGAGGATAGGAAAAACAATTGCCACCAAAATCAGTGTTCGTGTGACAATGAGAGATTAATCTGCCTTGTCTGCTGGTTTATTTTCCAGGAATTATATCTATGCAGAGAAGAGAAAATATGGGCTGGGAGGAATGTTTTACACTTTTAGAACAAGTGATGAAGTTAAAACTAGGTTAAAATAGATGCTCTAGTTTTCCTCTCATGTCTCTTGACTCTGTGTTTATGGCTCGGTGTGGTTACAAATTCTTTTCATATTCTAAAATTCCATCTTGTGGCACATACTGTATATATTGAAGAGAGGTCATAATTGTATTATATGTGTGATTATAACTCAAGGAGTTACTTTTGCTCATAGTCATTCAATTCGCATTTGCTGGTAAAAATACATGTATTGAGAATTGCATCAAGTAATTCAAGGTGCACATTATTCATCAGAAAATGTTTAGTTAGTACGATTTTGACTATGATGCTCCTGATGTGCTTTTTGTAAAATTGTGCATTACAGTCTAGGATATGACTGTATACTAGATCTATTATTTATTTTTGCTCCAAAGGCAAGATATCTTTAAGAAATTGTTTGTGACTCAAATAGACATGTATTTACTACAAAGCCAACGTTTGCAGTTATTTTTAGAAAGCTTTTGTGCGTGTGTGTGTGTATGTGTCTGTATGTGTTTCGATGAAACTTTATTTACAAAAACAAACAGTGGACTGGATGTGGCTCATGGTCTACAGTTTGCTGATTCTTGTTCTCATTCTTCACAGAAGGCCAGTTCATAGTTGTTCTCTGCATTTTTAAGCTTTATAGTGTATATCTATCTTACTTAGATGGTTTTGCACATTTCAGTAAATATTCATTCAATAAACTCATATGGGATAGTATGTGGGTTCCAATGTGACAATACTTTTTTATTATTTATTTTTCATCAACTTTTATTAATATTTTAAGTTCTGGGATACATGTGCAGGATGTGCAGTTTTGTTACATAGGTAAACGTGTGCTATGGTGGTTTGTAACACAGATCAACCCATCTTCTAGGTATTAAGTCCAGCATCCGTTAGCTACTCTTCCTTATACTAGAAAGCTTTTTCATATTATTAGAGTTAATTTTCTTTTTTCCCCTTGGAATAATTATATAGAAATGCCCTGTGCTGTGCAATATAGTAGCCACTGTCCACATCAGGATATTAAGCATTTGAAATGTGGCTAGTCCTAATTGTGATGTGCTATAAGTGTAAAATAAACACCAATATTGAAAACAGTACAAAAAAGAATGTGAAACATCTCAATACTTTTTATATTGATTATATGTTGAAATAATGTTTTTGATATACTAGGTTAAATAAAATATATTCAAACTAATTTCACATCTTTTTAATGTGGCTACTAGAAAATTTAAATTCACATATATGGCTCACATTATATATTTTTTTCTTTTTATTTTTTGAGACTGGGTCTTGCTCTGTTGTCCAGGCTGGAGTGCAGTGGCACAGTGTCAGCTCACTGCAACCTCCACCTCCTAGGCTCAAGCAATCCTCACCTCAGCTTCCCGAATAGCTGGGACTACAGATGCATGCCACCATGCCTGGCTAATTTTTCTTTTTGTGTTTTTTTTTTTTTTTTTTTGTAGAGATGGGGTTTCACCTTGTTGCCCAGGCTGATCTCAAACTCCTGGGCTCAAGTGATCCACCTGTCTTGGCCTCCAAAAGTGCTGCGATTACAGGTGTGAGCCACCATGCCCAGTCCTCACCTTGTATTTCTAAAGGACAGTGCTGATATAGACCCATTTGACCCATGTGGGACACTTGTAGCCCATGATAATAAAATTGTGCCATCACTAAACTGATGAGAACTTCACTTGTAGTAATCAGTAGCATATGTACATATGTCCAGTTCATCCAAAAATGGAAGTAAACTATTAAGACACAGATTGAGAATAAGGTTTATTTTGCATTGCTTGAAATGATATGATCTGTCAGAAGACCATTCCTACATACTCTGACCCTGCCTGAGGCATTAAATGCACATTCTGTATGAATTTCCATATCTGATGCCTCGGCGTGATCTCATGTGTCAGGGGTCAGATAGGAATCAATAAAAACTGAAACAGTTTTATGTTATTTCTGATAGATTTTCCCCATAGACTGATGGAAGGTATAATAATGATCAATTTGTGGAGTAGTTGTGCTTCAAATCTTATTTGCTGTACATATGGATATTGGCCTAAGAAACTCAGGCTTATGGTTTAAGAATAATCTTATTTAATATGTGAAAGCTTAGATAATAGAATATTCTGACTAATGAATGTCCTGGTTATTTGAAAGTTTGGTAGAAAACTATTTTGTTTATATTTATTCTAAAATCTACTAATCTGATTTGTTACATTAGTGCAAATAATATAACAAAGGAAATTAAATTTTTGGTAATTGGCAACCCCATATTGTCTGAGAACATTCATTTTGGGCAGTAATTCTCACATACAGAATTTAAGATATTGACAAGTAGGCATAAGAAATGGGATTTGGGTGTGTATTAGACTAAGACCAAGGATCTATAAATTGCTTTTTTTGGAATAAATATGTAATAAGCATTTTATACTTTTTCAAGACATTTCTTAAATGTGTCTAGAAACTCTTGCATTTTATGAAACAAGCTTAAGTTAATCAAGTTTTTAATCTAGGCCCTCTTTCTAAATTTGAAGATTATGCCTGAGTAAAGGGGGCAAGGCAATATAAAAAGTTGGAATGAAGCAGAACCTTTTAGAAATCAAGGTTTCTTTTTTAAATTAAATTTTTAGTTGGAGGGTTTGGGTCTGGCTTATTTATGGTGTTTCAGATGTGTCGGTGGATGTTCTATGGATATGTGGATATGTGCCTAGAGGCTCTGTCAATAGGTGCAGTTGAATATATTTAGATATATGCTAACTTTCCATTCTAAACCTCCTTGTTTAAAAAAGATGTATCCATATCCATTTTGCTAGGAGAAGGCGACATTCAATGGAGTTATTAAAAATGTGTGTATTATAATTAATTTTTGTATAATGGGGAACTGAGTTGGTATAGGTAATTGAAATCTATAGGCCCTGAATCTTATTTTAGTTATAAATATCTTCTCTTACAAAATATTTGTAAGGTCTAATAACATGCAGAAATTTAAAAAATGTATGACAGTTAATTTGCAGTATTTTCCTATTTCTTTTCCATTTTTTGCCTGAGGTACTCCAAGCAACCTAGTGTTCTAATCAGTTTTAACTGAAACTTGGCTCCTGCCAGAAGATACTACTGCCCTTGCAGCTTTTTCTAGTGGAGATATCTCATCATTGATGCATTTCGTTCATGGTTGAAACCTCAGCCATTCTCTTGTTCTTATTCTATTCATATGGATACCATCTCCCATAGGTTTTATTTTAGACATATCAATTTGAATTTTCTCACCCTCTCTCTCTCTACCACTATATCTGCATTTGTTCAAATTGCTTTGTTTCTCCCCTGGTCTGTAAAACAATTAACCTGACTCTCACTCTGTTTACCTTCCACCTGTTACAAGAGCTCTTATTCTAAAACACTGACTGATCATGTGAGGAACATACTTATCTTTCTGAAAGCCATTTAGTTCCAAGTTGCTGCAGAATAAAATCCAAGCTTTTCAATATATTATGAGGTTCTTCGTAATCTGGAGCAAACCTATCTTTCTTCCTTTGTAGTTTATTGTCTTTTCTTTTCCTTAAAGAAATTCATGATAATTTCAACATTCAGACTATTCACAGAATGAATAATGTATTTTTGCATGTATTTTTCTATGTTATTGCAAATATTTTTCATCTATACAATGGGAATAGTAATAGTAACTTTCTTATAGTCGTGTGGCTATAAATAAGCTAATGCATATAAAGCATTTGGAATGCTCCAGACACACACAATATTCTGCAATTTACGTTTTTCACTTTATATGTTTTGGCTGACTTTCAAAGTCAATACATTCAGATCAAAGTTATTTATTTTAATAGTTGCATAACATTTCATAGTGTGAATGAATCCTAATTAACTTTTCCTTTTTTGCCCCATTCTCAGCTATTGGACTAATTAATTTTTTATTTTTTTTTTGCTGGGCATTTATGAGCTTTCTCTCTCTCTCTCTCTCTTTTTTTTTTAAAGATGGAGTCTCTCTCTGTCATCCAGGCTGGAGTACAGTGGCCTGATCTCGGCTCACTGCAACCTCTGCCTCCTGGGTTCAAGTGATTCTTGTGCCTCAGCCTCCTGAGTAGCTGGGATTACAGGCATGCACCACCATGCCTGGCTAATTTTTGTATTTTGAGTAAAGTGTTTTTTTTGCCATGTTGGCCAGGCTGGTTTCGAACTCCTGACCTCAAGTAATCCACCTGCCCCGGCCTCCCAAAGTGCTGGGATTACAAGCACCCGCCGCTACCCCTGGCTAATTTTTGGTATTTTTAGTAGACACAGAGTTTCACCATGTTGGACAGGCTGGTCTCGATCTCCTGACCTCAGGTGATCCGCCCGCCTCAGCCACCCAAAGTGCTGAGATAATAGGCATGAGCCACCATTCCAGACCCTTTCTCTTTTATACTATTAAAATTCTACAGTGTATATTTTTGTGTCTGCAGTCTTCATATGAATATTTTTATTTCATAGATATCAATCCTGAAAAGTGGAGTTGTTGGGTCTAAGAGTATTCATATTTGAAATTTGATTATGTATTGCCATGTTACTTTCCAAGAATGTTGTAGCAATTTACACTTCAATGAATATTCTGTGAGAGTGACTATTTCTTCACATATTTGCCTCCATTGATTGTTATCAATTATTTCTTTAAAAATTTGTGCCCATCTGATGGTAGAAAAGTAGGCAGCCACTGTTTTATTTTGCTCTTTGCTAGCCACAGTGAGGTTAATTATATTTTCAAATATTTATTAGCCATTCACATTTCCTTTTCTGTGAATTGCCTGTTAATATCCTGTTTTTCCATTTTGTTGTGAGATTTTTATTTTATGTTAAAGAATAGTGATATCTGTTTATCTGTCACATATATTGAGCCATTGTATAAAACTAAGAAGAATTGCGTCCTCTCTAGGATCCCTGGCTACTCTGTTGGTAGACTTTCTCCTCCCAGGGAGGTTCACATAAGCTAAAAAAAAAAAACCCTGATCAGTAGGAGCTCAAGCCATATGCTACTGGAGCCATATAAGACACTGATGCTGTGGGTCTCATATAAGAAAGCTAGAGAGAAAGATGAGTACTAAGCTCTGGAGGCAGGCAGTGTTAGAAATCTAGCTGACAAGAGCAAAGAGAGAATAACTATTCTAAGTGGCATTATATATCAAAATCCATAATTTTTACTACCCTCACTCTGTGATAAATATTTTTATAGCTAAATATTTGTACAAACTATTAATTAATTTCTTAAAATAATTCCTCTTAAGGAGAATTTCTAGGTAACACATTTGCACACTATGAAAGCTTTTAAACATGTAATGTCAAATTGCCTTCCAGAAAAATTGTACCAATTTACATTTTCACCACCAGCTTATTATAAGCTCTGCATGCTAACCATTACTGAATATTATTGACTTTTTTCCCAATTTGATAAAGAAATATATAATGGTATGGGTTTGGTTTTTTTTTTTTTTGCTTTCTTTGATTGCCAGTGAGGTTGACATTTTTCATATATGTACTCAACATTTTTATATTTCATTTAACAAATATTTACTGGTCACCTACAATATTCCAGTCACTGTTTTAAGACCCAAAGATAGTGTGGTGGAGCTTTCATTCTAGTGGGGAGACAGACAGTAAGCATATAAATAAATAATATAATGCCAGATGGTGATAAGTCCCATAACTAAGAGGAAAGAGAATGATGATAGGGTGCTATTTTTGACTGAATAATTAGGGAGAGAGTTTCCGAAGAGATGACATTTGAGCAGAAAGATTGAGCCATATGATTGAGGAAAAAACTTTCTAGGCAGAGAGAATTTCAAATGCAACAGTCATAAGGTGCAAGCATACTTATATTTTTAAGGAGGCCTGTGTGGTTTGAACAGGGTGTGTGAGAAAAAGAGGGTAGGAATGAGGTTTGAGAAGTCAAGAACAAATCATGTGGATTAAATTTTGCTAAATGGTATGGGGTAGGGAATTGAAATTGTTTTTTCCTTCCCATTAATTAAAACATATTTCTCGGGACTATTTATTGAATGATGTTTTCCTTTTTTTTTTTTTTTGCTTCTTTCAGATGTCAGCTTTATTCCTATATGTATGACTGGTTTGTTTCTAGGGCTTCTCTTATATTCATTGAGCTCTCTATTCTGGTGCTAGACTAACATTTTTTGGTATTGTTTTATGATATGCTTTCATAATTGGTAGTATGTAGATCCCATTATTACTTCTTGTTTCACAATTTTTTTTCCCGTAAATTCTTCTAAATCAAATTTAGAACTTTTAGTTGAGTTTTCCGTAAAATATTCCATAGAGATTTTTGTTGAACAGATGTATTAATTTAGGGAGTTAAAGATTTTTCTATTGTAGCATTTATTTAATAAGAACAAGAAGATTGATAACAAACAATTATTAGGTGTTTTCTGTGCTGTAGGAACTATGGTCACTGCCTATATTGTAATTTATCTGTATATATTTTTCTCTATTAGATTGTCAGCTCTTTGGAGGAAGAGATGATATCTTATTCATTATTTTGTTTGATTCTTGGACTTGTATTTTCTTGGACTTAGAACTTGGAGAGTGTCCATTAATAATTGAAGATTGCAGATTGAAGTAGAAGTAATAGGTATGAATAATTTCTCTTCATTCTAGGTTTCCTGAATAGTGAAGACTTGTTAGTGTAACTAGAGTTGAAAGAGGAAAAATTTAAATTAAGAGAATAGCCCTGGATGGGTGTTTTAGGAATTTGGTTTGTTTGTTTAATTGAAATTTAAAAGACCGTATCGGACTCACTTCAGTTATTTCTTTGTCTTTTTTTTATTTTTATTTTTTATCAAAGCTATCCTGGTCCTTTTTTGTTTTTGTTTTTGTTTTTTGAGACCGAATCTCACTCTGTCGCCCAGGCTGGAGTGCACTGGCGTGATCTCGCCTCACTGCAACCTCTGCCTCCCAGGTTCAAGCATTTCTCCTGCCTCAGCCTCCTGAGTAGTTGGGACTACAGGCATGCACCACCACGCTTGGCTAATTATTGTATTTTTTGTTTGTTTGTTTGTTTTTGAGACGGAGTCTCGCTCTCGCCCAGTCTGGAGTGCAGTGGTGCGATCTCGGCTTACTGCAAGCTCCGCCTCCCAGGTTCACACCATTCTCCTGCCTCAGCCTCCCGAGTAGCTGGGACTACAGGCACCCGCTACCATGCCTGGCTAATTTTTTTGTATTTTTAGTAGAGACAGGGTTTCACCATGTTAGCCAGGATGGTCTCGATCTCCTGACCTCATGATCCGCCCTACTCAGCCTCCCAAAGTGCTGAGATTACAGGTGTGAGCCACCGCGCCCGGCCTAATTATTGTATTTTTAGTAGAGACAAGGCTTCACCTTGTCGGCCAGGCTTGTCTCAAACTCCTGACCTCACTCGGGTAATCCACCCACTTTGGTCTCCTAAAGTGCTGGGATTACAGGCGTGAGCCACCGCGACTGGCCCATGTACATTTTATTTGGTAAATTAATGTCCTTCAGTTCTGATAATTTTTAAAATGATGTCTTTCATTGTTTTCATTCTCCTGTTTTCTGTGTTTTGACTTTAAGAACCTCTATTTTTCAATATTGGAACTGCTAAATCGGTGTCCTACTTTTCTTATGATTTCCCTTCTATTTGTCTATATCTTTGCCTTTTTTTTCTAAGTATCTGAGATACTTCATGAGCTTTATTTTTTACTTTTTATTTTTGAGACAGAGTCTCATTCTGTCACCCAGGTTGCAGTGCAGTGGTGCGATCTTGACTCACTTCAACTTCCGCCTCCTGGGTTCAGTCGATTCTCCTGCCTCACCCTCCCAAGTAGCTGGGACTACAGGCGTGCGCCACCACACCTGGCTAATTTTTGTATTTTTGGTAGAGATGGAGTTTCACTATGTTGACCAGGTAATCTGCCCACTTCAGCCTTTCAAAGTGCTGGGATTACAGGCGAGAACCACCATGCCTGGCCTTATCAGCTTTATTTTTAATTCTTCTACTGATTTTATCTCTGATTTTCTTTTTTATTTCATTGTTCTTACATTCATTATCTTTTCTAATATTGAGATGATATTAATGATAACTGTTTTTGAAAATTTCTTCTCCATGCATAGTCTAAATTTTCTCTAAGTTTCTTTTTTTTCTGTAGTTTGTTCCTAATTTTTTGTTTTGGTTTCTTTAGTAGTAAAGGCTTTCCTCAAGTGATTGGATGTCTTTGGTTATTTGTTCATATTTGAGAGTGGAGGTTTTCAAAAACTCATGGGAAGCTCTGAGTTCATAGTGTTGGGACTTGTTGGTTGTAGGCCTTTGAATGGTGTGCTGGATTGGCTTGTGTCTGCTTGTGAAGTGCAGTTGTTAGCATCTCTTCCTATCACTGCGTTAAGTTGAAGTATTTACATCACAGAAGTTGATGAAGGCTACCAATCAGGGGTCTAGTCCAGAGATCATGCATTTTATCTGTGCCAGAGAATGTCTCCCTTTCTGCTGGGGAGATTGAAGGGCAGCCATTCTGCTGTTCTTCCTGAGAAAATCTAATTGATTTAGATTTTCAACCAATGTCGTAGTATTTAATTCCTTTTGTTTCTGAGTATTTAATTCTTTTTATTTCCATTGTATGGATATATCACAATTTATCTGTTTACCAGCTAATGGACATTTGGGTTGTCTCTGTTTTAGGCTATTACCTATAGAGCTGTTATTAATATTATATGTACAAGTCTTTTTATGGACATATGCTTTCATTTCTCTGGGCTAAATACCTACAGTGGAATGACTGGATTATATGGTATTTGTATGTTATTTGTATGGTATGATTTGATGGTAAGTTATGTGTGGTATTTGTATATAACTTTTTAAGAAACTGCCAAATTGTTTCACTAAGTGGTTGTACTATTTTGCATGCCTATTAGCAGTGTGTGTGTGAATTCTGGTTGATCTACATCCTTGTCAATATAGGTTTGTGAAGCCTTTTTAAAGATAACAATTCTGATAGTTATATAGTAGCATGTCATTGTGGTATTTAAAAAAATAAATTTTATTGTGTATATTTGTGGTATACACATGTTATGGGATACATATAGATAGTAAAAAAAAGTTTACTACAGTGAAACAAATGACCACCTCTCACAGAGTTACCCTTTATTTTTTGTTTTTGTGGCAAGAGCAGCTAAAATCTACTCACGTAGCTGAAATCCCGTATACAGTGCAATTTTGGTACCTGTAGTCTTCATGTTGTACTTTAGACCTCTACACTTGTTCATCCTACATATTTGCTACTTTGTATCCTCTGATATTTATTTCCCCCGTTCTACTCCCCCTACCAATCTTTTGTTCTCTATCTCTGTATATTTGATTTTTTTTCAGATTCCGTATATTTTCAGGCAATATTTTTCTTTTTGTGTCTGGCTTATTTCACTTAGCATAATGTCTTCCCGGGTCATTCATGTCATAGAAAATGTTTAGATATAATTCTTTTTTAGGGCTGAATAATATTTTATTGTATGTATATATATCCCCTGAATTTGGAATCTGGATGTGTGATGCCTCCATTTTTCTTTCTTTCTTTTTTTTGTTGTGGGGGTGGCAGGGTCTTGCTCTGTTGCCCAGGCTGGAGTGCAGTGGCATGATTATGGTTCACTGCAGCCTCGACCTCCCAGGCTGAAGCAACCCTTCTACCTCAGCCTCCTGGGTAGCTGGGACCACAAGTGTGCACCACCGCACCTGACTAATTTTTTTTATTCTTTATTTTTAGCAGACATGGAGTCTTGTTATGTTGCCAAGGCTGGTCTCAAACTAGTGAGCTTAAGTGAACCTCCCTCCTCAGCCTCCCAAAGTGCTGGGATTACAGGCATGAGTCACTGAGCCTGGCATACAACTTTGATTTTCTTTCTCAGAATTGTTTTGGCTATTTGGGGTCTTTTATGGTTTCATATGAATTTTAGAATTTTTTTTCAATTTCCTAAAGAATGCCATTGGGATTTTGATAGGGATTGCATTGAACCTATGTAATGTAAGTAAGTCAGAGACTTAAGATTTAACGTCTGCAAACTAGGAGTCATTGTTTTCTCTCCATCCTGCATTGTCTTCCCTGCAGCAGATTTTGCTCTTTTTTTATTTCACATCTTAGTTAATATTGTAATTTTTTCTAGTCATGTAAGCCTAAAGTCTGAGTCATCTCTAGACTACTGCTTCCAGTTTCCCACCTTCTTCCAATTGATCCATGTGTTTCATTAATTCTTCTTTTAATTAACTGTCAAATAAGCACATTCCATTCATTTTCATTGACCCACCTTAGTTTAAGTCTGCCATGACCCCTTGTTTGGAATAGCTATTCATTCTCTTTTCAGAGATGCCTGTGTGCTGTCTGGTACCTTGATTATCTTACCACTTTGTAATTATTAGCTTGTGTGTCTATCTTTTCCATTACACTATGTTCTTGTAAAGAAGGACCTTGAGTTACGATTTTGTGCTCCCAGTGCCTAGCTCAATATGTGACATACAGTTGGTGTACAATAAATGTTTTGTGAATGTGTGAACTAGTTTATCTTTGATAGTTTTGATATCACTATGACCATCAGATAAAGCAATTTTTTGTTCTATTTTTGGAAAAGTGTCTTTCAGTGCCTTATTTTCCAAAAGTTAAAAAGAGTTTCCTTAATTGTAGTTATCAAAAAAAAAATAGACTCTTTTATATAGTTACATGTTATCTCCAGAATATATTGCATAGTAAAATCAATGATGACTGCAAAATTGTTAGGATCTTCTCATGGTTTACAACAGTCCAAATCTTCAATTTTATTTTCAAGTATGAAATATTGATTACATTTTCCTGGTTGCAATTGAAGAGCAAAAAGACTTTATATTCTTCCCACAATGCAAAAATATCTTATAACTTATATAAATCACCGGCACCTCAGAAGGAGTGTGTTAACAGGCATGAGGCAGGTCTCATAAATCTTTATTCTTTGGTATGGAATATAGTAGCTGAATGTTAGTTGCTTCTAATATTTAAGTAACGATAGAAAGTAATAGGGAATTTTTGGATCCAAACTTCAGTGCACGACCATGGACACACATTTGTTAATAATTTCTGAAGATATTAATAGTTGCATTCTCTATTAGTTTCCTTTTATCAAATAAATGAAGTTGATGTTCTGAGGGGAATTCATAGAAGATGGCAATCATTTTCCACATGGCTAAAATTTTTATCTACAACCTGCTGCTGACTGTGGGGCTACCAGCCTTCTTTTTGTTTTTCAAGGCAAGATCTGGCTTCACTGTTAACTCTGCGCTTGTGCTTTATTTGCAGCATCTGGCGAGGCCCCAATGTGAACTGCACAGACAGTTCGGGTTACACTGCTTTACACCACGCAGCCTTAAATGGACATAAGTAAGTGCCACTTATTTGGACGGAATCGTGTGTATTTAGTTACATGTGATGAAGTTAATTATGTCTTGACGATACCTTTCTCATGTCTCTGTGAGTCCAATGGGCTTAGGTGAATTTGGAAAGGGACCAGGTGACAACACTGACAAGTTAGACTTGGTAGGAATGTTGCTGAGTATAATTGCGTGCAGAGTGTAAGCTGAAAGAAATGCTCTAAAATACTCAACCTATCACACTGGGAGAATGGAAAAATTGACAGGACCATGCTAGTCATGTGTATCTTTGGGGGAGAGAATGGGATAAAACCACTTGATAACACCCCTTTACCTTTTTTGGTGTCTCCTTGTATTCACCCAACATAGGAGTGTTTACTAGGAGTGTAAACTTAGCATGACTCCCACTATTCTGAGCCCTGGTCACTTATATGAACCACTTCAGAATCCTTATTTAGCTAAAATGTTTTATCTTTGTCATTCATGATTGTCTTTCTAGTTTTAGATTTGCCAACCCTAAATTTTTTTAATAAGTAAAACTGTTTCAAATAATGTAATAGTATATGTTATGGAGAGTGCAAGAGTGTGTAGCCGTAACAATCTCTATTTCCAGTATTTTAGCTAGGTATCCTAATGGTTTAGTGACAGAGTTAAAGTGTGATGAGTCCTCCAAATGATTCAGATGTTCTGTCCTCCCCTACAGAAAAAAAATGACCCTCTTCCTTTATCTCCCCCTCGTCTCTGTTTTCCCTTTGTGTGAATGATCCAAGTTAGTTTTCCCAGATCTGTATCATTTCATTTCACTTTTTTTTTTTTTTTGAGACAGAGTCTCACTCCTTCGCCCAGGCTGGAGTGCAGTGGCACAATCGTGGCTCACTGCAACCTCCGCCTCCTGGATTCAAGTTATTCTCCTGCCTCTGCCTCCTGAGTAGCTAGGATTACAGATGCCCACCACCACGCCTGGCCAATTTTTGTATTTTTAGTAGAGACGGGGTTTCACCATGTTGATCAGGCTGGTCTTCAACTCCTGACCTCGTGATCTGCCCGCCTTGGCCTCCCAAAGTGCCGATTGTGAGCTACCACGCCTGGCCCTCACTTTAGTCTTTTAGATGTGGTAATTACTGCTTTAAAAGTGCTAGTTACAATCTACAGATTCCGTACTATTCCTATCAAATTACTAATGTCATTTTTCACAGAACTAGGAAAAAACTATTCTAAAATTCATTTTGAATTTAAAAAAAGAGCTCAAATAGCCAAAGCAATCCTAAGCAAAAAGAGCAAAGCCAGAGGCATCATGATAGCAGATTTCAAACTATTCCATAAGGCTACAGTATTAACTAAAACAGCATGGTACTGGTACAAAAACAGACACATAGACCAATAAACAGGTTAGAGAACCCAGAAATAAAGCCATACACCTATAGCCATCTGGTATTCAACAAAATTGATAACAAATAAGCAATGGAGAAAGGACTCCCTCTTCAATAAATAGTGCTAGGATAGCTGGATAACCATATGCAGAAGACTGGAACTGGACCTTAACCTTTCACCATATACAAAAATTATCTCAAGGTAGATTGAAGATTTAAATGTAAGATCTCAAACTATAAGAATCTTAGAGGAAAACCTTGGAAACACCATTCTGGACATAGAACTGGGCAAATACTTCACGATAGAGACTTCAAAAGCAATTGCAACAGAAAGAAACATTGAGGCCAGGTGCAGTGGCTCATGCCTGTAATCCCAGCACTTTGGGAGGCCGAAGCAGGTGGATAGCTTGAGGCCAGAAGTTTGAGACCAGCCTGACCAATGTGGCAAAACCCTGTCTCTACTAAAATTACAAAAATTAGCTGGGCACGATGATATGTGCCTGTAATCCCAGCTACTCAGGAGGCTGAGGCAGGAGAATCGCTTGAACCCTGGAGGCAGAGGTTGCAGCGAGCAGAGATCTCATGACTGCACTCCAGCCTGGGTGACTGTCTCAAAAATAAATAAATAAATAGATAAAATTGACAAGTGGGACCTAATTTCATTAAACTAAAGCACTTCTGCACAGCAAGAGAAACTATCAATAAACAAACTATAGAATGGGAGAAAATATTCATAAACTATGCATCTACCAAAGGCCAAATATTCAGAATCTATAAGGAATTTAAAGAATTCAACAAGCAAAAACCAAATAATCCCATTAAAAAGTACTCAGAAGACGTGAACAGACACTTCTTAAAAGAAGATATACAAGTGGCCAACAAGTGTATGAAAAAATGCTCAACATCACTAATCGTCAGAGAAATGCAAATCAAAACCACAGAGAAACCATTTCACACCAGTCAGAATGGCTATTATTAAAAAGTCAAAAAATGACAAATGTTGGCATCTTTTATAGAGTGAAGAGAGTGCTTATTCACTGTTGGTGGGAATGTAAAAATTAGTTCAGTCTCTGTGGAAAGCAGTTTGGAGATTTCTCAAAGAACTTAAAACAGAACTACCATTCTACCCAGCATTCCCATTACAGGGTATAAATCCAAAAGAAAGTAAATTGTTCTATCAAAAAGACACAAGCACCTGCATGCTCATTGCAGCACTATTCACAATAGCAAAGACATGGAATCAATTGAAGTGCCAATCAGTGGTGGATTGGATAAAGAAAATGTAGTACATATGCACCATGGAATACTATGCAGCTATGAAAAGAATGAAATTGTGTCCTTTGCAACAACAGATGCAGCTAGAAGCTATTATTCTAAGTGAATTAATGGAAGAACAGCAAATCAAATACTGCATGTTCTCACTTATAAGTGGGAACTTAATACTGGCTACTTGTGGACATAAAGATGGCAATGATAGAAACTGGAGACCACTAGAGGGGGTAGGGAGGGTTGAAAAACTATTGGGTACTATCCTCAGTATCAAGGTGATGGGATAAATTGTATCCCAAACCTCAGCATCATACAATATATCCCCTGAATCTAAAATAAAAGTTGCACATGTGTCCCCTGAATCTAAAATAAAAGTTGAAATTATTTTTTAAAAAGTAGAAATGGTAGTTACCTTTTGTTTTTTCACCTAACATTTCTTTTATTCTGTGAATGGTGACTCAAGGGTCTTCTTCATACTTAATCTTAGGTTTGGTGGTCATAAAGCTCTTAATGCAAGACATTTTTTTTGTCATTATTGATCACTGACATTTTTCTCTTAAAATGTATAAATTTAATGCCATCAGCCTGTTTAGAGAATCATTTGAGTTACATAAACTATTATAAACTTTGTTTCATTATTTAGATTTTTAGAATTGGAATTCCCAAATTGTATTTATTTTTATTCAGTTCCTATTCTATATTGTCTTATATCATCTCATTTAGAAATATTTTGCCATATCTTCTAATTTTTTCTCTTCCTTTATAGAATGGAAAGTATGTCCAGATATCTAAATATTTTAAAGGAGAATGTTGTTATTCTTTTTTTACCTGAGTCACCAGGAACAAAGACAAATCAGCCCAAGTAATATAATCCTGATGGCTTCTTGGCTATCTGAATTATGGATTCAGGCTACTATCATATTTTTTAGTTCTAATTGGGAAGATAAACTCTATTACATCTAATGGGCAGGATATCTTGGGCCTGACCTTTCATTTGAGGCATACTACTTTTCTTGTTCTTTCTCAGATTGGCATTGGTAGGTAAGCACTTCTTAAAGTAATATTGTCCCAAAATGGATTAGCATTCATATCCCTCCTTCATTTTCAGTGAAGTATTTAGTAAATGCTGATTTATACATGACAGTCTATGAAGTTCTAACTGTTGAGATATGTTTTTCTATGGCCCATGGCATAATTTTTTTTTTTTTTGGTGATTTAGAAAATAAAGATAATTTAAGCAAATTGAATAGCAATCATTAAGATTCTCACAAACAGATAATTTGATTAGCTATTTTTAAAGATCCCTTTAATTACAGATAGTCTGTGGGAATTATATGTCTGTGCTTTTGTCTGAAAGATCTCATTTATCTTTTCTTTTTAATTTTCAGTGTCATCCTATAGGCATTGGAAAAAGCAGGAAGATTCTAACCCCATCTCCCCATCTCTGCTAGTTGTGTGACCTTGAACCATTTACTTAACATCTGTAGGCCTCAGTTCAATAGCTTGAATAGATTGGCTTGATATTCTCCATTGTTTCTTACAATGATAACATTGAATGATACACTGTGTTGGTATTATTTATGGCTCAGTTATGCACTATGATGCTACAGTTCTGAAATTGGGAATTTCATATAGAGTGTATGTTTCTTGATTTTGCAAGTTTAAATAATCTATGAACTTGTACAGTTAGAGATCACTTTTTCTACCTGACACCCCTCAGCTCCCTCATTTTATAGATGGAGAAACAATGCCCATTTAGTTAAGTGACTTAATGGCCACATAGATATTAAAGTGGGGTTGTGTCTAGAGCTTAAGTGTTCTGGTTCTAAGTCTATGCTTTTACCAGTACTCTGCATTATCTCCCCTTTGTTGTTAAACTCTCCCTGGCTCTTCTCTGTCACATTATATATTTCTGGCCTGCCTCCCATAATCATTTGTCATATGTTTACATGGAATGCTAATTTTAATATTGGCTTAAAAGATATTTGAGGGAGAAAATAATGTCATAGACTGTATCTCAGAGCCAGAGAAGAAGGTTATTTCTTTTATTTGCATTCTCACTTAGCAGAGGTAACTAACAATGATTATATTGTATTCTTCCCAAGCAAGCCTTAGCAGTCTGCACAGAAACACATCATTTCCATGTTTGTCGCTGTTGTTGTATCCATCTGCTCTAGATTTTTTCCATAAACATTATAATTGGTAGGCTAAAGTTCATAGAATCATAAAGCCAGCAGTAATGTTTCGGGATCATATAGTTTATTCTTTTGCTTTGAACACAAACTGTCCCCCTACCCCCAACATAAAATCTAAAGCCTTCATACTGAAAATTAAACCAGTTTCCCCAATTTTGTACATTTTCATTGGGAGCCATTGTTTATCAATGCTAGTTAATCCACAAATGAAGCAGCATTTTGTACCTGAAATGCATTATTTCATATTCATCTTCAATTAGCCAGATCAGGACACAATGGAAAATGTACTCTACTGGTGATTTCTTGGGTTATTTGTAATCACAGATTAGAAAATTATTACCATCAAATGATAGGAAAAAATCATGGTTAATAAAACAAAATTTACTGCAAGTATTATAAATTATTTCCATAGATAGAGTAGAGAGCTATTTCTTTGTATCTTTTTCTCTTTTTAAAATATGGAGGATTCATTGTCACATGTATTTCTACTGCAAATTCAAATCCCTTAATTCTCCTCTGAAAAGCAATTGGCTGGCCTGACTACCTGCCTTCCTCTCTACCTTCCTTCCCTGCCTCCCACTTCTTCTCATCCCTTTTTTTCTTGTTCTCCTCTGCTTTCCTTAGTCCCCTCATTCCTTTTTCCTTTACTTTTCCTTCTTTCTGACTTTTCTCCTCTCTTCTTTTCATCCATTATTTTTAGTAATAATCTTATCTTTCCCTGTGAGGTTATATTAAACCTGTATACTCATATTTCAATTCAATTTTTCTTCTCTACTTAACAAATAGTTCCTTATTTTCTTCTTAAGTTTAATGTTATTAAACTATATTTGGTATATTGTGACACTTGCATGCTGTTTTGAAAAATATCAGCAGATCGTTATTGTATTTCTGAAATATGTATATTGTTTTATATACACATAAGATATTTTCTATTCTTCTACCTTTTAAAGTATTTAATGCATGCTAGATCTCATTATCTGTAATCCAGATTGCGTATCAAATTGGATCTAGAATCCATATAATAAGCTATCTGTATGATTTGATCTTTCTTAGGTTTTCTAATAAAAGAGGCATACCTCCTCTAAAAATTGTATAATCTGGTCTCTGAAGTTGCTCTTTGAATAACTAGAAACATCTTTAGTCATCTTGCTTTTTTTCCTGGATAAGGATACAGACTACTTAAAATTTGCCTTTATTCACTCTGTAATCTAGAAATCTATGAGAGTGAATTCAACATGTAAAGAAACTTCAGTTAGAAAATGGGACGTATTGTCCTGAAATCTTTTGACCATCTTGAACACATCTGCAACTTTATTCCCATTAAAGAGAAGTAAAAGTGTCAAGAAAATCTGAAATCAAAAGGACCTTATTAAATTTGAGAGTTTCATTAGATGTTAATTCTGCATCCATATGAAGATGATTTGCATTTATTTTGAAATTCTTTGGACTCAATCAACAAGCAAGAGAGGATGGTATGAAATAAACATCTTTGGTTGTGATTTAATTACAGGGAATCTTGCTGTTGAGGCAAAGAAATTTGAAGGTTGACTCTTCCCAATTTATTTAATTTTGCTCAGAGCATATGCTGAACTTACCGAAATACATTTTTTATTAATCAGATGTGTATTTATATCTTTCAGAAAATGGATGTGAATTAAATATAGCAGCAAAAGTCAATACTTCTAGAATTCCTGTTTTTAACTGAACTTACATGTATTAGCTTAAAGCTGCAAAATATTGCAGCTATTTACATTGGATATTATTAAATTTAATTTGATGTTTTACTTTGTTTTTGGGAAATGGAAAGTATTTTTCCATTTCTATTTCCATTTTCCAAAATATTTTTTCTATTTTCTTGTCAACCACATTTGCTTTAGGATTTTAGAGTATTTGTTATTTGTCAAATGCTGGATATCAGAAAATGCTACTTTACATTTAAGACATAGGGATTATTTTGCTGCTTGCTATTTTACAGATATTGATTAGCAATGTAACTTAATATTTCTTTTTTCACAGTCCCAATGAATTTTTTAACATTAATTTTTCAATAAGTTATTGTGGTCCAGGTGATATTTGGTTACATTAGTAAATGTACTTGAACACGCATGTTTATAGCAGCAGAATTCACAGCTGCAAAATCGTGGAACCAACCCAAATGCTCATCAATCAATGACTGAATATTTCATGCCAGTTGACCAAGCACAGGCGATGTGTTCCTTTGTGGATACCTTAAAGTAAGCTATAAGGCTCAACCTAAATAATATTTAAAGAAATACTGTGTAGAAGCTTTTAAGCTTGATGTAATCCCATTTGTCTATTTTTGCATTTGTTGCCTATGTTTTTGAGGTCTTACCCAAATATTATTTGTCCAGACCAATGTCCTGAGGTGTTTTCCCCTACTAGTTTCATAGTTTTAGGTCTTAGATGTAAATATTTAATCCATTTTCACTGAATTTTTGTATTTGTTGAGACACAGAGGTCTAGTTTCATTCTGCTGAATATGGTTATCCAGTTTTCCCAGCTTCAACAACTGACAGAATGGGAAAAAAATATTTGCAGACTATCTATCTAGCAACAGATTAATAGCCAGAACATATAAGGAACTAAAAAACCCAATAGCAAAAAACCAAATAATTTCATTAAAAATGGGCAAACGATTATAGACATTTCTCGAAAGAAGACTTACAAATGACCAACAGGCATATGAAAAAATGCTTAACCTCACTAATCATCAGGGAAATGCAAATCAAAATCACAGTATCATCTCACCTCAGTTAAAACGATTTTTACTGAAAAGACAAATATAATAGCTACTGGCAAGGATGCAGAGGAAGGGGAATGCAGGTACACCATTGATGGGAATGTAAATTAGTACAATGACAATGGACGACAAGTATGGAGGTTCCTTAAAAAACTAAAAATAGAATTACTATATGATTTCACAATGCCCCTGCTGGGTACATATCCAAAAAAAAAAAGGAAATCAGGGTATCAAAGTGATATCTGCATTCCCCAGTTTATTGCAGCACTATTCCCAATAGCTAAGATATGGGATCAACCTACTTATTAACAAGTGAACAGATAAAGTAAATGTGGCACATATACACAATAGAATATTATTCAACCATAAAAAAGAATGAAATCCTGTCACTTGCAGCAACATGGATGGACATGAGATCATTTTGTAAAGTGAAATGAGCCAGGCACAGGAAGACAGACATCACATGCTCTCACTCATATGTGGGAGCTAAAAAAAAGGGGATCTCATGGAAGTAGAAAGTTAATTGGTATTTATAGGAGGCTTTGAAGGAAAGGGGGGGGGGAGAAGAGATTTGATTAAAATACAAAAATACAGTTAGAAGGAATAAGATCTAGTGTTTGATAGTACAGTAGACTGACTAAAGTTACCAATATTGTATAGTTCAAAATAGCTAGAAGAGAGGAATTGTGATGTTCCCAACACAAAAAAAAGATAAACCTTTGAGGTAATGGATACCCCAATTATCCTGATTTAGTCATTACACATTGTATGCATATATAAAAATATTACATGCATCCCCAAAATATATACAACTATTATGTATCAATAAAAATACTAAGTTGGTACTACACTATATTAACTGCTCTTCTAATTTAGATATTATATATGAAATTTAAATTGTTCTAATGAGCCTGGATGAAAATGGCCTATTTAGTTCATATTACTTTGGATATATATGGATATATCATAAGAATGATTAATCATAATTTGCTGATTAACACTTTATTCTACTTATAACTTAGTAAAACTGACAGATACTTATTTGATCAGGGATACAACTTTATATTTCACAAATATGTTTTAACACTAGAAATCTGAGCTCAACCAATTCATTAGCTGGTATCTTTGAATAAGATGTAAAGCTCGATTTAAACAAAAATTTGAAAATAAATTTTAATTTTAATTTTAATTTTAAAATAAGCACATTTAAACAAAAACGAAAATAAATAAATGGGACCTAATTAAACCAAAAAGCTTCTGCACAGCAAAAGAAATAATCAGCAGAGTAAACAGACAACCCACAGAGTGGGAGAAAATATTTGCAAATTAGGGCTAGTATCCAGAATCTACAAAGAACTTAAACAAATAAGCAAGAAAAAAAACAAATAATCCCATCAAAAAGTAGGCAAAGGGGATGAATAGACATTTCTCAAAAGAAGATATGCAGACAGCCAACAAACATGTGAAACAGTGCTCAACGTCACTAATCATCAGGGAAATAAAAATTAAAACCACAATGAGCTACCACTTTACTCCTGCAAGAATGGCCATAATTAAAAAGTAAAAAAAGAAAACAATAGAAGTTGGTGGGAATGTGGTGAAAAGGGAACACTTTTACGCTGCTGGTGGGACTGTAACTTAGCACAACTGCTATAGAAAACAGTATGGAGATTCCTTAAAGAACTAAAAGCAGATCTATCATTAGATCCGTCAGTCCCACTACTGGGTATCTACCCGAAGGAAAAGAAGTCATTATATGAAAAAGACACATGCACACATGTGTATAGTAGCACAATTTGCATTTGCAAGGATATGGAACCAACCTAAGTGCCAATGAGTGGATAAATAAAATGTGGTATATATATACACCATGGAATACTACTCAGCCATAAAAAGAAGGAAATAATGTCTTTTGTGGCAACTTGGATGGAACTGGAAGCCGTTATTCTAAGTGAAGTGACTAGGGAATGGAAAACCAAATACCATGCGTTCTCACTTCTAAGTGGGAGCTAAGCTATGTGGATGCCAAAACATACAGAGTGATATAATGGACTGTGGGGACTGGTGGAGGGAGGTTTGGAGGGGAGTGAAGGATAAAACACAACACGCTGGAAACATTGTGCACTACTTGGATGATGAGTGCACTAAAATCTCAGAATTTACCACTAAAGTGTTACCCATCCATGGAACCAAAAACCACCTGTGTCCCAAAAACTATTGAAATAAAATTAAAAAAGAAAAAAATAAGCACATTTAACAAAATATTTATTTATTAAAATAAATACATTTTTCAAAACTTAAAAATAATGTGTAAATAATGTGTAGTTAGGATCTTAGTGTTTTCCAAAGGCAATTTTACAAACTTACAGATTATTCTTTTCTGATTTAGATATTAGATGGTGGTAATACTAGAAAATACAAATGATTAGTAAGTCAGTTTTCAAAATAGACGTTTTTTCACTTGTCATAAATCTTCCTGATAAATGAAGAATGAATGTATATCACTTACATTATTAGAAAATGTCAGTAAAATTTGAGCCAAAGAACAAATGAAATTCTAAGTGATTGGAGCAAGAGTAAAAGGAAATAGAATTGATGATCCCATCAATCTTTTTTTCGTCTTTACCCCTTGAAAGGAAATGCTTTATAGGAGAAGTTGTTTCAGAATATATTTTTTATTTCCTTAGGTATTAAGAAATGAAATTTTTCTCTTCTCACAGTTGTCTTTGACAGTAACTTGGAGAAGTCTATTTTGTAGTAGGCTAAATTCTACATTTTAGATCCAGGTATTTAATTTGACTAACTTCTTTTGCTATTATTTTGCCTTTTAAATGCTGAAATATTTTATTTAAAAAGCAATCACTGGAATTGTTTAACATTGCAACAATCTGCCTTGAGAACAACTTTTGATTGTATATATAATTTTACAATTACATCTGTTTCTCATTTGATTCACACCATAACTGTTTGAAACTAGCACCAAGATGTAATCTCTAAATTCTATTTTCACAATATCTGAAAGAGAGACAGAGGTTACTTAATTTCCTCAAGGTAACCAGGTTTGTAAATAGTAGAGAGTTGGGACTTCAGATCTTTCCTTATCTGCTTTTGTTATTCATAGGTATTGAATTCTCATTACCTCACTGAAGTTATGTATTTATTTATGTCAGAATGGAAGACCCTATATAACAACCCTTGCTTGGCAGGGAAATGGGGAGAAGCGTGTGAACTGGATAACCTTTAAGTTTCCTTCTGATTTTCTGATTCTGTTTTTCGAAGGTGACTTTCTATAAGCATTTCATTTCACTTCTAAAGTATTTTATTTTTACTTGGGACAAGTGCTATTATTGGTATAGTGCTTTACTATTTATTGAGTGAATTCTTTTTTATGATCTTATTTAATGCTATTACCAGTTTTGAGTAGACATTATCATTATAGTATCTCCTGAAGAAAAAGAAAATGAGACTAAGTACAGTCATGTGTTTCTTAATGACAGGGATACATTCTGAGAAATGTCTAATTACGTGATTTCATCATTGTGTGAACATCATAGAGTGCACTTACACAAATCTAAGTGATATAGCCTGTCACACACCTAGGCTACATGGTATGACCCGTTGCTCCCGAGTTACATGCCTGCACAGTATGTTACTGTACTGAATACTGTAGGCAATTTTAACACAATAGATACAGAAAGTATTTATGTATCTAAACATATCAAAACATAGAAAAGGTACAGTAAAAATGAGGTATGATAATCTTTTTGAACAACCATTATATATGCGGATGGTCTGTTGTTGATCGAATTATCATTATGTGGTGTGTGATTATCATTTCTCCGGAATCACAGCCTCAGGTAGTTTGCATAGCTGGGACACAAATCCAAGTCTTCTAAATTCAGATTTCGTAAAATAATGCTGGTTTTTCAAAGAGAAATGTTAAAATTTAATTCTTAATTTCTCAGAAATTATATCATTAGACAATTTAGGACTCCTTGGATTCTAAATATTTCTACAACATATTCTTGTTTTTTTAAAATCATGATTTCTTACATTTAGCAATTAAGTCAAATGTTGTGACTTTAGGACACATTCTGGACAGTATGTTTTACCATTTACCATAATTTTGTATCATATCATATCTGTTTTTCTTGTGAGCTATCAAAATTCTAATCTTCCTTCTATTAAAATTTCCTCCAAATGTTTTCATTTGTTACTTGCATCTAGAGTCTGATTTTATGAAATGTTTAAATGTAAATCTGTTATGTTCACCCTCCCCATTAGTGATTTGTTGTATGTAAGAAACAACTTTATTATATATTGTAATTATATATATATTTTTATTTATGTGTGTCTGACTAGCATTTCATTTAGTGAGTTAATAGAATTTGCTTCTTAAATGCATCCAAATGAAAATACAGTTTTGTTTAGAATTACTGCTTTTGATTGTTGACATATATTTTGATATAATTTATGCTAATAATTATTAATTAATTCTTTCTAAGGTTGAGTAATGCAGGTCAGGATTTTTACTTTGAAAACCTGGTGGGGATTAAGTTCAAAATTTTTGAGGTAGGATATATTGAATATGTGTTGAAATTGCATTAATGGTGGAACTTGTCTTTTAAATGAGTTTCCCTTTTGAAATAATTTTTTATGCTTGGAGAAGAAAGGTGAAGGAATACAGAAGTAGGAACAAGGAATACTCAAAGTGTGTTGTGTGCCATCACTGAGAAGTTATTAAAATTTTTTTATTATTATTTTTTAACCCTGGGCTAGTACTACAGTTAGCTTGTCAAGGGTCCCTTACATACTGCACTTTCTTTCTCTTTTACATACCCCTTAAATCTCTTATTCCAATTATCTGTAGGAATGATGTGTAAATTTTATAAATGCCTCCTTGGTATTATGATAACTTTTTGTGTGTGTGTAAACAAGGAATATACTTGTAACTTCAACTTTTCCTTCAAACTAAATCTCAGATATGGGCTATCTGGAAAGAGCTCTTTTTTTAAAAAAAAAAATGGGAGTTGGTATCCTCTTCATTTTACTTAGCTCATCTAATTAATGAAATAAGTTAAGTTTTGCTTATATGAATTCTATTAAGTAGTTTAATTGGTTAGTCAATGTGTGCTCTCGCTCTCTTTCTCTCTCTCTCTCTCTCTGTGTGTGTGTGTGTGTGTGTGTGTGTGTGTGTGTGTGTGTGTGTGTGGCATGGGGTGATGGTTTTCCAGGTAAGTAAAATAGCCAAATGTTGAGTAGGCAAAAACTTTGAAACCCAACTTTATATCTTAGTACCTTGAATGATTACTCTAAATTCCCACCCAGCATCTAGTATTCTTTTAAAATTACCTATTTAATACAGTTTGTCTTGCTCAGCCTATTTTGTTGTTGTTGTTTTTTCCTTTTTAGGGACATAGTTCTCAAACTACTTCAGTATGAGGCATCAACAAATGTAGCAGACAACAAAGGGTATTTTCCTATTCACCTGGCTGCCTGGAAAGGAGATGTGGAAATTGTGAAGATTCTTATTCATCATGGACCATCACATTCCAGGGTCAATGAACAGGTGCACTTGCCAAATGTTTGCTCATGATGTAATTTTTCTAGTTTTACAAGGCAAAGCCATATTGAAAATGTGATTTTTTTATCTTTACCTTGCCCAAAGGCCTTTCCATTGCTGAATTTCCTAAAAGGAGAAATTTGAAAAATTCTTTGGTGTTTGGATATGATATGCAGGGACTAAGTTGGGCATTTGTAAAGATACTTTGTTAATGGGAAAATCCTACATAAAGGAAGTAGCTGAAATATTTTTGCCTGTCTTATATAATCAGCCATTTTATAGCCATTGAATATTTAAAGATAGAACAGAATTCATATGTGTAATGAGAATTACAATGTTTCTTAATACAATTTTGAATGCTAAAACAATGATATGCCTATCATTTGCATAATGCTTTACCATTTACTTAGCACTTTCATGGTTAAGTACTCTTGTGAATCAAAATGTGAAATATAGCATATACAGTTGCTTGTCACATATTAAGTTAAAATTTTTTGATATATATATATACAAACACAAACACATATGCCCAGAATAAGTTGAATAAAACACAGCAGCAGTATGATTCTGACAGTTAATGTATTTGTAAGTACACAATATCTATATTACACATAATGGACATATTTTAAAAAGAAAACCAGTGTCAGTATTCTAAACAGATAGGACCACAGATTCTAGAAAGTAAAATATGGTCCCCTAATACAGTATGATAACAAACATGTTGATCTCTGCATGCCCCCTACTGTTCCCATTTTGTAAAACTATATTTGAAAACCAGCAGACAGTCCAACAATTGAATTACAATCACGGCATTAAGCTGCAGGTTGGCAGTTGTCCAATATCAATGCAAGTAGGTTACTTTAGGGCAAGCATATCTAATAAAGCACAATTAGCATATTGTTCAAATGGATGCAGACTTTGCCGGACTTTGAAATTCAGACTGAAGGATAAAAAGTAACAATTGCTGTAAATAGCAAAGGGAAGAAAAATACATATTTTTTCAATGAAAATATATATGCAGTTGTTGAAAGGACTAATCAGGAAAACATTTTATTAATTGGAAAAGTATCTTATTAATATTTATCACAATAAAAATTTCCATGTTTACAGGTTACAAAAATGCAGAAATTTTAATAAGAATGCACCCAGTCTTTAAAACATGACAGATATGGCTATCTTTATCATCATATCATGCTAAAAGGAAATTTATGACAATGCTCTTCTCTTCCACAGAAAACCAACAGTTAGATCATTTATGAGATGAGCCATCTGGTGGTTATTCTTAAAATTGTCTGAATACTGCAAAGCAAACCTGAAATAATAAAATGGAAAAACAATCCAAGGTTAAACAAGAGGATGTTAGTTTTTACAAACAAGATGTTTTTAAATGACATGAAAATAAGAAATAACATATAGTATTCACTTACATTTGAAAGTGAAAAGTTGCTATATGTTTTAAAGAGAAATACTTGTTTTTGGTAATGTTGAATAGATCAATTAAATTACAAAAAGTGTCTTTTTAAGGAGACCATATTCAAAGTCCTTTGTTCACCTCTGTTGCTTTGTGTTGCGGTTTCTATTGGCAAGAAGTTGCAACTTTCTTACGATTTTTAATACCATAATTTTAGTATTTTTTCATTGTTATATGTATACTCTTTTGATGCTGATCATAGTTTTCCCATTCTATGCCATTTCTCCTAAATTTTTTGATGTAGGATTTTTATTTTTATAGATAACTTTTAATTTTAGCTTTCTTTTTTCCTTCTGAATAGGACAGAATCTTCTTGTTAATTATAAACTTTTATGTATTTAAACAATAAAGGAAATAAAAATGGTAATTAGCATTTATTGAGACATAAGGTAAAGCGGGCACTGTTCTAAACACTTTCACCTCAAAAATACGATTTAATGAATTCTCACAATAATCCTCTGAATTGATAATATCACTCGCATTTTATAGTTGAGAAATCATGCTCTGTAAAACTAAACAACTTGTCGAAGGCCACGTGTTACTGAGTGACTGAAACTGAGACTGAGACTCAGGACTTTGACTCCAGAGCCTTTTACACAACAGCGCATTGGTATTGTCATCCTAAATCCTATCACTTAATGGATTGTTTACTGTGTGCCAGGCATTGTGCAAAATACTTCATCCCCGTTATCTTACTAAGCCCTAGATTACTGTTGCTACTATATATATGGAGTTACAGCCTTAGAGAGATAGAGTAGATTGACCGTAACATCACAGCTACTAAGAAATGCAGCCAGTGTTTGAACGCAGGTTTTTCTGATCCAAAGCCTAAGCTCTCAACCAGTAATACATTTATGTTATGTTAAAATTATGCATTATAGTCAGGGCTTCATTCTGATTTCTGAAAGTTATCTTTGGTTTCTAATACAGCTTTCTTTAAAAATAATTCTATTCTACATTTTAATATTTAAAGTTTACAATGCATTTTAAAAATATGTTATCTCTTTTGGTTTATAAACTATATTATAAGGTTTATAGGGAAAATAATATTCTCATTATACAGATAAGATAGGTTTGGAGAGATGAAGTAATTTACATGGTAACACTTCAACCTAGGTCTTGTTCACCATTCTAAACAAAGTGGACTCTACCCGGATTATGGTTTTTATAATTGCCACATCCTTCTCTTTTATCATCTGATTATTTCCTTTTTGCAATTTAAATTTCCTTTAAATTGAAAATTTTCAATTTCTTTAAATTTCATTAATCCTTTCTTCCCTTTACCTTCTCTTCCTCTTTTTTTTTTTCTTTATTTTAACATTAGGGCAAAACCCAGAGGGGCCTTATCTGAAAAACACATTGCCTTTGCCATTCACCGAAACTCGAATCCAACTCTTGTTAGATGTTTTACTCTGAACCAAGAGTTTTTGGTAAATGGCTTTTGTTAGCCAGTTTTGTTCTATCATCCATTATCTGGAAGGGTCCTAATGTTTCAGAGAATACCCATTTGGTAAAAAAGAAGGAATTAAAAAACTTTTAAGAATATTCTGCATAGCCATACTAGGAATTATTAATCAGTGCCTCATCACAGCCTATTTATTTCAAATTAGATTATTTTAGATCACTTGTGAGCATACACAAATACACAATCATGCTCTCGTAAAAGTACCACCGTTGTGGCGTCCACTGAGGTGACGATCCAAGTATGTGATGATCATGGATAAAATCTGTGAACTTTTTATCCTGAGTAGGTCTTGAATGATTGATATATTTTCCCTTGAGATCTGAACAGTGCTAATTGGTGTTACTAGAAAATTTTTCGATTTTGCTCTTGTAATTTCCTAGGCTCAGGGCTCTGGACCAGTAGAGAGGCCTTTGAGGAATCATTATTTCATAACTGGCCTTTCTCTTTTCTCAAAGAGATACTGTATTTTGAAAACTGAGATTGAATCCCTTTCAGACCAGGGGGAAATTTGGGTTGGTCAGGAGGTATATATCTGTATAATGTTTTCATGGTGTGAAGTAATAAGATTGGCTGTTTTATAAGCCTGATAAGAAAAACAGATAAGAAGACCAGGGAGTCTAAACCTGTATGTGATCATTGTTTATGAAGAAGTAGATTATAGTAATACTTTCAAACCAAGTAAAGAAGGACTCCTGACAAATGATGGAAGAAACAGTACCCTCAGCTGGATTCCCCATCTAACAGGTCTTAACTTTTCATTGATTGTCTTGAAAGAGTAGATTTTTCCCTGTGGGTTTGACCTTCAAATGCTCTCTCTTGATACTTATTTGCAAGGTAAAGTAGTAAGAAGCCTTTCCTAGTGCTGTTTTCCCCTTGTCACTCTACTCCTTTTTAAATTTTCAAATCTTCCCTCTAGACTCTCAACTTACTTGCATTCTTCTATCATCCAGGGCAAACTTGAGTTACTTTCTAGAACATTAAGATTTGTTTGGGTCTGAACACTTCTTATCCTTTTATTTTCATCAGAACAGCTATCTAAACAGCTACTCCCTATTCTCGGTTGGTATTTTTCTGAGCAAAACCTCTAGAAATTCTGCTTTCAGATCACTAATTCCCAGCTCTTCTTTGACAATATAGCAACACATGGCAGACAACATGGTATAGTGGAAAGAGCATGGGTTTTGGATTTGTCAGATCCAGCTTGCAAAATATCTTAATTCTACTTGGATGTGTAATTTAACCTTTTTGTATTTTAGTTTACTTGTCCATGAAGTAGACAATTTTAATATAAATTTTGGAGAATTGTTGTAAGAGTTAAATGAGACAATATATATAGTTTTTAGGCACTCAACAAGTAGTAGTAGTAATAGTTCCTATTTTGGAAGGTGGTATGTGTGATGGTTAAGAACACCCACTTTGGGTCTTGGCTACTTGTGTTCAAATCCCGGTCCTACCACTAAATGGCTGTATAACGGAAGGCCAGTTATTCAACTATTCAGTGCCTCAGTTTTCTCATCTGTAAAATGGAGATAATGATAATAGTATCTATCTCATAATGAGGATTAAATGAGTAAACATATATAAAATGCAACTATGTCTAGTACATAGTGTTAGCTATGATGATAACTCTGATGGTGGCAGCTGCTCTTTCTTTCCAGAACCCTCATTTACGGTTATTGCATTTTTGTTACTAAAATTTCTTGTTCATTTTTCTCCTGACCCTTCCACCTCCTGACATACCTATACACCATCTACCTATATTGCTCAAATAGTCTGAAGGGTCCCTCTGCCTTGCAACTGGGTTCAGTTTTCTGTATCTTAACATTTTTAAAAATCTTGATACATTTCTAGGAAAATCTCATTGATTTTCAACTGAACCCTTATAAGCTGCACATGTTGTACTGTGATACTCCTAGTAACTTGTCTGGGAACTGATCTAGGTCCATCCTCACAACCCATGATAACATTTCAAAAAGGTACTTTTATATCTTAAGGCCAAAATCTTTTCATTTTCTTTGCAAAGGAAGCAATGATTTGTACTTACATGGAAAATAAAATGAAACTTAATTTGGGAAACCTTTCTATAAACCTTTTGTTACCAAGAATTTACCTTCTTATCTGTCTTTTGGAAAGCCAGTCTATTAAAAGTCTGTTATAATTGTTTTGATCTCTCTTATTAATAAATGTCTAAAGATGTGATGCACCATGCAGATATCACTGTCCTTCTGGACCCAGGAGGGCCTCTGACAAACATGGCTAAATCATTTGTCATTTTTGGAAGTTGGCATATATGATTTAGGGAAATGTTGGATTGTTTTCGATTAAAGTGATATAAAAAATTTTTTTTTGATTCAATGAATCCTAGATACTTTTATCAAATATAAAATTCCATTAGGCATACTTGTTAAAATGGATAAATCTTAACTTACATTTCAAAGCATTGCAGGTTTTAAATTACTGTGTTAAGATTTTGATAACAAATTGAATTTCTGAAAATGTGCCTTTTTAAAAATCTTTGTCTTAGAACAATGAAAATGAAACTGCCCTACACTGTGCAGCTCAATATGGACACTCAGAAGTAGTTGCTGTTCTCCTAGAAGAGCTCACTGACCCGACAATTAGAAATAGCAAGCTGGAAACACCTTTGGACTTGGCGGCACTCTACGGACGGCTTAGAGTGGTAAAAATGATCATCAGTGCACATCCTAACTTAATGAGCTGCAACACTCGCAAGCACACGCCACTTCACCTTGCTGCGCGCAATGGCCACAAAGCAGTCGTGCAGGTGCTGCTGGAGGCAGGAATGGATGTGAGCTGTCAAGTGAGTGTGCTTTTAGCTATGCTTTAAAAGTGATGATGCTGTTGCTTGGCTTTGGGATTCAAATGTGAAAACCTGTATGTAGAAATCTTTTAATCAAATTGTTCACAAGTACTTTTGTAACTACTGAGTTCAAGGTACTATGCCACCTACTTTTGGGAAATATGAAGAGCTACAAGGCATAATCTCTAACCTCATTCTAATTTGAGGGCTATACACATGAGAAGTTAGTAGATGGCAGTTGTGTGTGGTATCATTAGTAATTGTTTCCTTTGTCCCAATATCTAGCACACAGCCTAACATACAGTAGGAATCCAGTCAGAGTTTAATGAATGAATGGAACAAAATTCACTTTAACATTGTTGAGTATGTACTTTGTGTTTAGCATGTTGACACATTTAGAATTCAATTCTCACAACTGTCCTTTGGGATTGAGAACTATTAAATTTCAGTTAAGAGATGAGGAATCAGATTCAAAGATTTAAGAAATTTGTCTAAGGACACATAGTTGATAAAACCGGGATGTGAATTTAGACTTACTGATTAAAGTCCAGGCCTCTTTCCACCGTAATGTACTGTTTATACATAACTAATGAAGGAATGATCACTATGCCTAAGGACACTCAGAAAAAAAAAAATGGAAAAGGTGTGATTTGAGGTGAGCTTTGTAGGAAGAATAGGATTTGGATAGGTTTTGTTTCTCCACAAGGAATGGTCAACCTACTTTAAAAAGTTTAATTTAATTTAGTATATTTTATTATTATTATTATTTTCAGACAGAGTCTTGCTCTGTTGCCCAGGCTAGAGTGCAGTGGTGGGTGGCGTGATCTCAGCTCACTGCAGCCTCCACCTCCTGGGCTCAAGTGATCCTCCTGCCTCAGCCTCTCCAGTAGCTGGTGGGACCGCAGGTACACACCACCATACCCAGCTAAGTTTTGTATTTTTTGTAGAGATGAGGTCTTGCTCTGTTGCTCAGGCTAGTCTTGAACTCCTGGGCTCAAGCAATCCTTCCACCTTGGCATCCCCAAGTTCTGGGATTATAGGTGTGGGCTACTGGGCCTGGCCACAGCCTACTTTTGATATCTTGTCTTAAGTTAGCCCCAACTCCAGGGTTAGTCTTTTTTTTTTTTTTTTTTTTTTTTTGCCTTTTCCTCCTTTCATGGTTATTTCTTGGCTTCCAAGTTAATGGCAGCATTCTTATCTTCCAGAGACTTTTTTGCTTTCTGTCATATTGTGACCTTCTCCCCTTATTAGTAAGCCATTGATGTGCAACAAACTATCCCAAAACTTAATAGCTTAACACAATAACTCTTTATTTAGCTCATAATTCTGTGATTGGCAATTTAGTCTAAGCTCAACTGATGGTTCTTCTGGTCTTGGCTGTGTTCTCTTGTGTGTGAAATCAACTGCAAATCAGTTATGTGTTTCTGTTTCAGAGGCTGGCTGGATGTTGTCTAGGGTGATAGGTGAGACTGCCACTTCTCTGTCATGATTCAGCAGGTCAGCCTGGGCTTACTCACATGGCATGCATGGTTCTGAGAGAGAGAACAGAATTGTACAAGGCTTCTTGAGGCCTAGGCTTGGAACTAGTACACCTTCACTTCTGCCATGTTTGCTTGGCTGAAGCAAGTCATAAAGGCAACCCATATTCAAGGAGTTGGAAAATAGAGTCTACCTCTGTATTAGAAGAGGGCGTGAATTGTAAAAGGGTGTGAATACCCAGAGGGACTAAATGTGGCAAATGTTGCAAATAATTACACACTCCAGGTGGAATGCGTGCTCACAGATGGGGTTATATTTCCTAGGAATTGTTCAGAGATTGAATCCTGTATTTCCAGAGTTTTCTTTATTGAATTTAGAAAAATCTCAGGCCTTCCAATCTCAGTTTTAAGGCTAGCACCCTGAACCAGAGCTTGCTTTAGAGCTTTGCCTGCATTATTTAGTAGTTTAGATATTTGTAATATCTTTTCTCAATTTCTTATTTATTCAACTTTGGCAGCCTCTCAAAAAAGCATAAGAATTTTTTCTAACAGTCATATTAAGGAAAAACAGTCTCTCTCCTCAAAGGGGTATTGAAAATAAGTAGGTATGCTTACTATTGTAGGTGACTCACAAAGTTATTTTCCTAAAAGTTGTTTAATGATAAACTAGATGTTTATTGTATAAATGTTGAATTTCTCTAATCTGGATGTACTGCTTTCACACTTCTGTAATATTTTTAAACTTGATTGCACAGACTGCAATATAACCAAGGACTTCCCCTCTGACTGAGGTCAGTAAGCTTCTTGGTATCCCTGACCAAGATCCTTTCATGTTTTGTACTAGATGACATGACCAGAAGGGAAAGAGTTTAAATTCAATTTTATAAATGTATATGATGTGTCCTTTTTTTCTGCAAAACACTGTATTTTGTGCTTTTGGAGAATAAAAAACCAAAACTATCTCTGCCCCACGCTTAGTGGAGGAGACAAAAAATTTGCAAGAATAACTCCCATCCATGACATATAATAAATGCTAAAACAAAGAGCTGTGGATCTACGGGTGAGGAAAATATGGATTTTAAGAGGGAGAACATGAGAAGTCATTGATGGAAGTGACATTTGAAGGGGACCTTTGAAAGTCCAACACGACTTTGAATTTTAGGTGGCCTTTAGCTTGCATATGTGCATTATTTGGCTAAAGAGTATTTTAAAATATTGAATTTGAGTGCTTTTAGATGGGGTAAATGCTTTCCAAGGCTCCGACCTCATTCTACCATTTTATATCATTGCCATTGTCATTCCTTTAGATTGTCTGCTTGGTCCTCACCACATTTAGATTTGTTCTTCACATATCAGAAGAAAGGCAGACAATATGCTTAGATCACTTTGAACACCTAATCAGAAGTATCGGGGTGATGTCTGAGTAAGGTGGACAACTTCTGTGTTGCTATAACCTCTTCTATTGACACTCATTCTAAGAATTCTAGGAAGTAGAACTGACAACATCTTTCTAAAATATATCTCAATGAAATGAATCTTCCATAATATATTTAGCCTTAGTTGATATTTTGCTTTTGTTATTGTTGCTTTGTTCATAGAAAATATGTTGGTTTTTTTTTTGGTCTCATTGCCTTTTTTTTTGGGGGGGGGTGAATATTTAATTTTATTACTCAAATTAATTGTTACCAAGTTTTTCCCATCAGACTCAGTGCAAAATTTTTGAATATCAAGTAGGTTTGTTGATATTCTCACTGGCTGAGAGTGAACAATGTAGCTAGTAGCCTCAAATTGTTTCAGTAGATTTAATATTCATTAAACTGCTCTAGCTAACCTGTTGGGAATTAGTATTAAAAGTAATCCCATTTGGTAAATTATAGTATTGTACTTTTAGACTTCAATTACATTCAAGTTATTATGAATAAATCTTTAAAACTTATAGATGGCTTTTGAGGATCTTGTCTTTTCCTAGTAGTTACATGTGATTTTATTTTATTTTACTTTTTTTTTTTTTTTAAAGGCAGGGTCTTATTCTGCCACCCAGGCTGGAGGGCAGTGGTGCAATCATGCTCACTTCGGCCTAGAACTCCCAAGCTCAAGTGATCCTCCTGCTTCAGCCTCCTGAGTAGGTGGGACTATAGGCATGTGCTGATGTGCTCGGCTAATTTTTTTAGTTTTTGTAGAGAAAAGGTCTCACTATGTTGCCCAGGTTGGTCTCGAACTCCTGGGCTCAAGTGATCCTCCTTTCTTGGCCTTCCAAAGTGCTGGGATTACAAATTTGAACCACTGCACCTGACCTACATATGTTTTTAAATGCAGCATTGATGTTAATATTTGCTCTAGAAGTTTATTTTCTGCATCATTACTCTCTGAGTAATTTTAAATTATAACACATATTTAAAATAGTAAGTAATACTTTGGGCAAATTTCATATCATCTTTACTTATAAACCCTTTAGTCTTTAAATATTTTTTTAATAAAGAGAATCAGTCAAAGTAAGATATTAAGAAAGTAGGGTTGAATGGGCAGTTTTCTCTTGAAGTTAGCAATTATTTTTATGAATTTTGAACTTGATTTTGGGTAACCAGATAGCGATAGTGCCATATCATGCTAGTGCTTTCATTGTGTGAGTTTCTTATAAGTTTCTCTCATAAGACTTGAAGAGTTAAAGAACTAGTACAACCTTAAGCCAATTAGACTTTATGTGACTATTAAAGGAAATGAAAGTAAAATTACAGAAAGTTAATAATAAAAAGTACAAGTTTCCATGCTAAGAGCTGTTAAGATGCAAAACTAAGTAAGATACAGCTTTTGCTCTCAAAGGCTTATAGTGGCACCAGAAATAAGATATGTACATAGGCGATAATTATCCATTATAATCCATTTACTCTCTGATTTCCCTAGATGATAATTTCACGACATCTCTATTCCAAAACTTCAACACCTCCTTCTCTATCATCCCTCTCTGATCATGATACTGCTTTTATTTCACTGAGGAAACCACAAGCAATCACAAATTTCCACCACCACATCTGCCAATGTACCTGTGTCTACTTTCCTTCCTGGTGCTTTAAATGAACCTTTTAGGTTTGTATCTAAGGCTAATTCCTCTCTACTTGTTCATTGGATCCTATCCTTTCTTGTCCACGTGGGAACTCTGACAAATATTTTCTGTCTTTAATACCATACGTTTTTTCTTTCTCAACTGTACCATTTCCATAAGGATGCAAAGATGTAATATTTCTCATCTTTTAAAAACTCTCTTGATCTCACATTTCCTTCTCCTTACCATCCCCTTTCTCTGACCCCTTTGTAGCAACGTAGTTAGAAAAGCTTGTTTTTACTCATTGTATCCAATTTCTTTCCTCCATTCTCTCTTGAGGCCACTCTAACTCCCTCACTTTTAAAAGTCCTTGTTTTTGCCTTTGTCAAGTTGTCTAATGACTGACATACTTTTAGATCCAACAGTCAATTCCTGCTTCTCCTCTTACTTGATTCATCATCAGCACTGACAAAGTCAGTATCTGTCTCTTCTTTGAACCACCGTTTTCTTTTGACCTCTGAGATACGACTGTCTTTTGGTTTTCATTTAGTTCACTGGTGACTTCTTGAAGAAGCTGGGGGAAGTATGTTTGATGCTGTAAGTTAGCCTGGGAATCTCTGCTGCACGTGTCTATTATCTTCCTCCTGGGACTAGGCAGGGGGGCATTGATTGTGCATAAGAGAGAAAGCTCAATCATGCAAGCACAGTTTGGGCCTCTGCTTGCATCATGTTGGTTACCATCCATTGGCTAAATCAGGTCACAAAACCAAGCCTCAAATAAAGAGGAAGAGAAATATACTCAACTCATATAAGTGGAAAGAAGTACAAAGTCATACGGCAAAGAGCATATAAAAGGAGAGGCCAATAATGTAATCTATCGTGTCCCTATTCCATAGTTAACTGCCCTCATCTTCTTGATCTCTAAGCATCGGAGTGTCCCAGGGCTTAGTACTCAAACATCTTTTCATCTCTGTCTATACCTACTTCCTCATTGACCTCATCCAATCTCTTGAGTTCCAATATCATCTTTATCTGACAATTACCAAGTCTATTTCTTCATCTCAGACTCCACCCTAACTCTAAATTTGTGTATGTAATTCCCTACTGGACATATCTATCAGATGACTAATAGGCTTCTCAAACTCAGCATTTCCAAAGCTGAAAATCTAGCATCTGTACCCCTTTCTTCAAAAATTTGCATATCACCAAGTCTTTCCCATTTTGTCAAAAGGCAGTGCCATCCTTCTAGTTGTTTGGCCCAGAATTTTACGGTTTCTTTCAGATTTTACATTCAGTTCTTCAGCAAATCCTATTGGTTCTGTGCTCAAATTGTATCCAGAATTTCACTACTTTACATTATCTTCAAGATTAACACCATAGTCCAAGACCTAATCATCTCTTGCTTCCTGACTAGTTTTCCTCCGTTTTTTTTTTTTTTTTTTTTGGCTTCTGTATTGTCTGCTTAGGTTGCCACAGCAAAATATTATAGGCTGAGTGGCTTAAGCAACAGAAATTTATTTTCTCACAATTCTGGAGGCTACAAAGTCCAAGATCAAGTTCCGGCCAATTCCATTCCTGAGTGAGGGCTTTCTTCCTGGCTTGTTAGATGGCTGCCTTCTTGTTATATCCTCACACGGCCTTTCTTCTGTGCGTGAATGGAGAGAGAGTTCCCTGATGTTTCCTCTTTCCCTTATAAGGACACCAGTTCCATTGGATTAGGGCCACACCCTTATGACCCAATTTAACCTTAACTACTTCCAGAAAGGCCATATATCCAAATACAGTCACACTGGAGGTTAGGGCCTTAGCATGTGAGTTTTGGGGCACACAGATATTCAATCCATAACATATTCCCTTCAGTCTATTTTCAGTCAAACAGCCAGAAGTGATCCCATTCAGTCAGGTAATTTCATTTTCCTACTCAAAAACACTTCTATTGGTTTTCCATTTCACTCAGAGGAAAAGCCAGAGTCCTTATAGTGTCTGATAGGGTTTTATATTACTTAGTTTCACTGTCTCTCTAAAGCTACCACCTACTCTTCTTTGCCCTTCTTCACTTAGCTTCATCCACAGTGACCTTGTTGTTCTTGTTGGAACACATTATGTACACTCCTACCTCCAGGCCTCTGCCTTACTAACCCTCATGACTTTCTTCCCCCTTCTTTCCTCAGGTGTCTTCTCCAATGTCACCTTAATAGTGAGGCCTTCCTTTACTTACCTTACTCACTACCCAAGCAACTCCCTTTCTTTCACTTTTAACTGAACCCTGGCTTCCCTATGAGGATACCCTAGCCCCTCCTGACTTCTCATGCCATGCTACCAGGCACTATGCTCCAGGAGGAAGAAAATTTGTTTCCTGCTCCCATGGAGTTATAGACTAGTAGGGATGACAGAAAATAAGCACATAAACAACATAAAAATGATAAATTGCAGTGAGTGCTATAATGGAAACAAACTGGGTGCTGTGATTGAGACGGAAGGGTCAGAGAGGTCTCTCTTTGGATGTGCTCCTTAAATGAGGCTAACTTTCTAAGAGGCTAGCCTCAGAGGAGTAAGAGATGAAGCCATGAGATAGAAGGGCTTACAAGAAACAGAATGTAGGGAGACAGAAGAGGCTGATTAAAGAATATTCAGGGAGTTTCTGGAAAAAGGTCTGTAAAGAAGCAGTTAAAAGAGGAATGCCAAGACAGCACAATTTCATGTAATCAATTCATTTATCATATATTTATTGAGTGCCTACTATGTGCCAGAGGATATAGCAGTAACAAAACTAGGCAAAAATTGTGCCTAAAAGAGGGAAGATGACTTTTCATAAAGCGTGGAATAAAGAAAAGTAAGATAGCGGATAGAAGCTTGAAGTGAAAGCAGGTTCACAGGAAGTTTCTTTGGTTGTTTGTTTTGTTTTTAAATAGTGGAAAGGTGTGTATGTTTATGGAGAAAGATTGCCTTGAAGATGCAAGAGGCAGAGATGATCAAAATTCAAGAAGCAGCAGAAAGTGATAGAATAAAGAGCACAAGTGGAGAAATAATGTTAATGAAAAGAAGGGTGCTTCCTTTGATATGAAGTGAAGGAAGAGAGAATGAGTAAAGACCAAGACTTGAAGTCCCTAGTTTAATAGAGGGAGATTTCTTCTTTTGAATAGCAACAATGGTATTCTGAATTATTTGAAGACATGTCATATTTCTCTTGTGCCATTTTCCTCCCAGTTTAAACATTCTTATAACCTTTATTCTTCACACGATGTTTTTCTAGGTCCTTTATTCTTTGGCACTCTCTTCTCTGGACACATTGTATTCTGTCATTGGTCCTAAAAGTTAGATACCCACAATTGAACATACTCCTCTAGATATGGTCTAGATAATGCAAAAGAGCTGCTGCCTTCCAACTTGTTCAGACATCATATGTTTGTTGTCAAACACTAAGTTGAGTTGTTATCTTTTGTTTTTTTTTTTTTTTTTTTTAATTCCAAGAGGTGCCCACGTGGCTAAGTACCAAACAGGGTACTAGGGAATTTTATTTCTGAGTTAAATGCCATTCTAGTTGTTTTTTCTTCATCTCCAGTAAGGTTATCTTTATTTACCAGTTGTTACAATAGTTGTGGGTCTTGCTTCTCACAGTTTTATGCTATCTGTGCTATTTTCTCTGCTGATCGTCACCACAATCATTATTGCTTATCATAATTGTTATCTTTATTTTCTCCTTTAATCAAGAATCGGTCTTTATCTCATTATTCTCTTTCGCAGGCTTCAGGATAATTATGGTTGGAGTGCTAAATTTGGAAGGGGAAACCAGTGCAGCTAAGCTCTGACATCTTTGCATCCCTTTTCCATCTGCTGTTTTGGCACTCTGGTAGAATAGATAACCTAAAAACGACTTTAAAACATCTAGAAATTTTGGATAAAATATAACAAACATCCCTTTAAATGCACAACTGAGCTTCCATGGAAGTCACAGAAATATATAACGCCAAAAAGAAGGGAAGCTGAAACCCAGGGCTGTAAACATGAACGTCATCTTCTCTCCCTTTTGCTTGCGACTTATCTTGTTTTTCTCAGCTTTGGTGCTACCAAGGCTTGACTTTAACAGGCATTTCCAATCAATGAGAGAATTTCTTTTGCTTTCATCAACAATTCAGTTATTGATGTTAACATATATATCATTTCAGTACTTTTCGCTCAGCTGTTTTCATCACTGTGTTCAGAGGTTTGTCTTTTTTTTTTCCCCTAAAAGGTGCTGAGATGTTATGAGTGCTTTATGTGTGGTTACTGGATAAGTTTTGAAATGTCACTGTGTTATAAACTGCATGATTATCGATTTTGGAAATTTTGTTTTTTTTAAATGATTAATTTAAATAAAATGGAGAATTTTGATCCATAAGAAAAGCAGGACTGAAATCTCCAGGGATGGGAGCCTTTGGGTTCACCTTGTTCAGTGTTGTTTCTTTGTAGACTTCCTACTTTCTTGTAAAATGTTTTGGACTAAATATTTCACAAGAATAGAATTTTTCAAGGTCTGGCCGGTTATGGGTTGTAGATTTGGGGCAGAATGCTGAGATGTACAGAATAGTGCTCATTTGAGTGAGAATATTAGACAATTAGACACGGACTCTGTCTAGGGTGTGATAAGCCACAAGGCACTTGATTTTTTTTTAAATCTTACTTTACACCTTGGCAAAATATTCTTAAATTTTTCTAATCTCTGATGAAAAGAAGGAAATTATTACAAAATTAATCTATATTTTGAAAAGTCCATGGGTTTGACATATTTACATTCTGTACACTATGTGACAACATTGTGATAGCAGTAAATAGTTCTTGGTACCATTGTTTACCTTAGAATTATGAGACCAATCCATTCCATTTGACAGTTCTCATGTTCTCTTACCAAAGAAGCTAATTACAGCAACCTTGAATTTGTAAAAACAGATTCATTTTTACAGGCTAAAAATATGTTTATCATCTACTAACCTTTTCTGTTTTTATTGAAGAATTCTGTGTCTTCTTATTGTATGAAAACATTAGTTCTACTTAACATAGCATTTTTATCTTGGAATAATGTAAAGGATATACATGTATGTAATTAATATTAACATAATTGAGGTTACTTTTAAAATAGGTTTTCTAATTGCTTTTTTAATAGAAATATTATTGATAATACTTGTCATTACTTTATAGTTTAATAAAACACTTAAAAAATCTTATTTGTTGTATGTTTATCTTATTTAACCTTCCCAATAACCATATTAGGTTTTTAAAATTTGTATTTTATTTTTAATTTTTCCCACACAACATGGATGTATCTGTTAGGTTTTTAATATGTTTCTCATAGGATATATGAATTTTCAGAGATACTAAAAGCCAAGCTGCCACTGGAACCCAGGTTTGCTCCATCTGCTTTTTCCAGAAAGAGATTTGTTTATTTATGGTGGAGATTATGTATTTTCATTGTCTAGAATATAATAGTTCCCCCTACCCCTGCCGCCCACCCAACCTTTATCTGATGTTTAGTTTTCTGCTGTTTCAGATACCTGCAGTCAACCATGGTCTGAAAACATTAAAAGGAAAATTATAGAAATAAACAACTTATAAGTTTTAAATTCCATGCCATTCTGAGTAGCATGATGAAAACTCTCACCATCATACTTTGTCCTGCCTGGGACATGAATCATCCCTTTGTCCAGCATCTCTGTGCTGTAGACACTACTTGCCTATTGGTAGCCCTCTTGATTATCAGATCGACTGTTCTGGTATTGCACTGCTTGGGTTCAAGTCACCCATATTTTACTTAATAATGGCCCCAAAGCACAAGAGCAGTGATGCTGACAATTTGCATATTCCAAAGAGAAGCTGTAAAGTGCTTCCTCTAAGTGAAAAGGTGAAAGTTCTTGACTTACTAAAGAAAAGAAAAACTTGTACACAGAGGTTGCTAAGATCTATGGTAAGAATGAATCCTCTATCTGAAGTTGAGAAGAAAGAAAAAGAAATTTGTACTAGTTTTGCTGTTGCACCTCAAACTACAGAAGTTACAGCTATAGTGCACGGTAAGTGCTTAGTTAAGATGGAAAAGGCCTTGAATTTGTGGATGGAAGACATGAACAGAAATGAATTCTGATTGATGGCATTCGGGTTCAGTACTATCTTTGGTTTTAGACATCCACTGGGGTGCTTGGAATATATTCCCTGTGTATAAAGTGGGACCTTTTCCGTGTCTACAGTGTGCATCATCCTTTATCAAAGTATCTGTGAAGCCAAATCAGTGCCAAAAGTAGACACTATCATATTTTTAAATATTTGTTTAGATTTAGCCTCATATTAACCATTCTCTTTATTTATCATTACTTCTTGCATCTCAGTTCCTTTTCTGAATTATATCCTATAGAAGTTCTTTCAGTAAGAGTTGTAAGTAACCACTCATTTTTAGTCTGTCTGAAAATGTTTTTATTTTACTCTCATTTTTAGAAGGTAGTTTGACTGAATGTAGAATGCTAGGTTGATAGATTTTTTTTCTCTTGTCACATGAAGGTATTATACTTTCTTCTGACTTTATTATTTATTTTTGTTGTGAAGTCCGCTATTGATCTAATTATTATTTCTTTTTAGGCAATTTTTTCCCTCAGAGTGTCTTAAAGTTATTATCTTAGTAGTTTTGTAGTTTTACTGTGATATGTCCAGGATGTATTCTTTTCATTTATCTTGCTTGCTGGTCCTGGAACTTAGTGTCTTATCAATTATGTAAAGTTCTTAGCCACTGACTATTATTTACCTCTATCTTCTTCCTCTAAAATTGATTAGACATATGTTGAATCCTCTTATTTTATTCTATCTTTCATATTTTCCATCTCTTATTTCTTTTTTACCTTCTTTGCTTATTTGTTTCTGTAGTCATTTAAAAAATTTTAAATGTAAAATTTTTGTGGATACATAGTAGGTATATATATTTATGGGTTCATGAGATATTTTGGTACATGTATGCAATGTACAATAATCACATCATGGAAAATTGAGTATCCATCCCCTCAAGCATTTATCTTTTGTGTTACAATTATTTATTTTTAAATGTACAATTGAATTATTATTGATTATAGTGCCCCTGTTGTGCTATCAAATACTAGGTCTTATTCATTCTTTCTATTTTTTGTACGCTTTAACCATCCCCACCTCCCTCTAACCCCTGTGCCCCCACTACCCTTCCCAGCCTCTGGTAACCACCCTTCTTTATCTCTGTGAGTTCAATTGTTTTGATTTTTAGATCTCACAAATAACTGAGAACATGTGATGTCTGTCTTTCTGAGCCTGGCTTATTTCACTTAATATAATGATCTCCAGTTCCATCCATGTTGTTGCAAATGACAGAATCTTATTCTTTTTTGTGGCTGTATAGTACTCCAAGAAAATGTGTGTGTGTGTGTGTGTGTGTGTGTGTGTACCACATTTTCTTTATCCTTTCATCTGTTGATGGACACTTAGGTTGCTTCCAAATCTTGGCTATTGTGAACAGTGCCACAACAAACATGAGATTGTAAATATCTCTTCAAAATACTGATTTCCTTTCTTTGGGGTAGATATCCAGCAGTGGGATTGCTGGATCATTTGGTAGCTCTATTTTTAGTTTCTTGAGGAACCTCCAAACTGTTCTTCATAGTGGTTGTACTAATTCACATTCCCACCTACAGTATATAGGATTCCCTTGTTTTCACATCCTCACCAGCATTTGTTATTGCTTAACATTTGGATAAAAGCCATTTTAACTGGGGTGAGGTGACATTTCTTTGCAGTTTTGATTTGCATTTCTCCGATGATCAATGATGCTGAACACCTTTTCATATACCTGTTTGCCATTTATGTGTCTTCTTTTGAGAAATGTCTATTCAAATGTTTTGCCAATATTTTAATTGTATTATTAGATGTTTTCCTGTAAAGTTTTTTTGTTCCTTATATATTCTGGTTATTAATCTCTTGTCAGATGAGTAGTTTGCAAATATTTTCTCCTATTCCGTGGGTTGTCTCTTCACTTTGTTGATTGTTTCTTTTGCTGTGCAGAAGCTTTTTAACTTGATATGATCCCATTTGTCCATTTTTGCTTTGGTTGTTTGTACTTGTGGGGTATTACTCAAGAAATCTTTGCCGAGACCAATATCCTGGAGATTTTTCTCAAAGTTTTTTGGTAGCAGTTTCAGAGTTTGAAGCCTTAGATTCAAATGTTTAATCCATTTTGATTTGATTTTTGTATATTGTGAGAGATAGGAGTCTAGTTTCATTGTTCTGCATATGGATATTTAGTTTTACCAGCACCATTTATTGAAGACTGTCTTTTCACCAGTGTATGTTCTTGGCTCTTTTGTCGAAAATGAGTTCACTGTAGGTGTGTAGATTTGTTTCTAGGTTTTCTATTTTGTTCCATTGGTCTATGTGTCTGATTTTATGCCAGTACCATTCTGATTTGTAGTATAATTTGAAGTCAGGTAATGTTATTCCTTCAGTTTTATTCTTTTTGCTCAGGTTTGCTTTGGCTATTCTGGGTATTTGGTGATTCTGTATAAATTTTGGGATTGGTTTTCCATTTCTGTGAAAAATGTCATTGGTATGTTGATAGGTATTGCATTGAATCTGTAGATTGCTTTGGTTAGTATGGACATTTTAACAATATTGATTCTTCCAATTCATGAGCATGGAATATCTTTCCATTTTTGATGTCATCTTCAATTTCTTTCATCAGTATTTTACAGTTTTCATTGTAGAGATTTTTCATTTATTTGGTTAATTCCTAGGTATTTAGTTTTATGTGTGGCTACTGTAAATGGGATTTTTAAAATTTTCTTTTTCACATTGTTTACTGTTGGCATATAGAAATGCTGCTGATTTTTGTATGTTGATTTTGTATCCTGCAACGTTGCTACATTTGTTTATCAGTTCTAATAGTTTTTCAGTGGAGTCTTTAGGTTTTTCCAAATATAAGATTGTATTATCTGCAAACAAGGATAATTTGACTTCTTCCTTTCCAATTTGGATGCCCTTTATGTCTTTCTCTTGTTTAATTGCTCTAGCTAGGACTTCCAGTTCTATTTTGAGTAACAGTGGTGAAAGTGGGTGTTCTTGTTGTATTCCAGGTCTTAGAGGAAAGGCTTTCAGTTTTCCCCCATTCAGTATGATACTAGTCGTGAGTCTGTCATATATGGATTTTATTACATTGAGGTGTTTTGACTATTTTTTTTTAAAACAGGAAGGGATGTTGGACTGCATCAAATATGTTTTCAGCATTAGTCAAAATGATAATGTTTTTTGTCCTTCATTCTGTTGATACAGGGTATCACATTGATTGATTTGCATATGTTGAACCATCCTTGCATCACAGGGATAAATCCTAATTTGTTGTTGAATTTGGTTTGTTGGAGTTTTGTTGAGGATTTTTACATCAATAGTAATCAGAGATATTGGCCTATAGTTTTCTTTTTTTGGTGTGTCTTGGGGTATAGTATCAGATTAATACTGGCCTTGTAGAATGGGTTTGTAAGTATTCCATCTTCCCCTATTTTTCAGAACAGTTTGAATAGGATTGGTATTAGTTTTTTAAATGTTTGGTAGAATTCATCAGCAAAGTCATCGGTCCTGCACTTTTCTTTACTGGGAGACTTTTTATTATGGCTTCGATCTTGTTACTTGTTATTCGTCTGTTTGGGCTTTGGAATTGTTAATGGTTCAATTTTAGTAGATTGTATGTATGTAGGAATTTATCCATTTCTTCTAGATTTTTCCATTTATTGGTATGTAGTTGTTCATATCAGCCACTCATGATCCTTTGAATTTCTGTGATATTAGTTGTAATGTCTCCTTTTTCATTTCTGATTTCATTTATTTGGGTCTTCTCTCTTGTGTTAGTCTGGCTAAAGGTTTGTCAATTGTGTTTTTCTTTTCAAAACAACTTCTTGTTTTGTTGATCTGTTGTCTTTTTTTAATCATTTCAAATTCATTTATGTCTGCTCTGATCCTTATTATTTCTTTTCTTCTCTTAATTTTGCATTCAGCTTGCTCTTGCTTTTTAAATTCTTTAAGATGCATCATTAGATTATTTATTTTAAGTTTTTCTTCCTTTTTGATGTAGGCATTGATGGCTATAAAGTTTCTTCTTAGTACTGCTTTTGCTGTGTCCCATAGGTTTTGGTATGCTGTGTTTCCATGAACTTATTTCAAGGAATTTTTAAATTTTCTTTCTGATTTCTTCATTGACCCACTTATTCAGGAGCATATTGTTTAATTTTTGTCTGTTTGCATAGTTTCCAAAATTTCTCTTGTTATTGATTTCTAGTTTTATTCCATTGTGGTCAGGGATGATGCTTGATATTTTTTCATTTTTAAAAAATGTTTAAAAATTTGTTTTGTGACCTAACATGTGGTCTGTCCTTGAGAATGATCCATGTGCTGAGGAGAAGAATATGTATTTTGCAGCCATCAGATAAAATGTTCCATTTTTTCTAAAGTGCAGATTAAGACCAATGTTTATCTGTTGATTTTCTGTCTGGAAGATCTATCCAATGCTGAAAGTGGGGAGTTGAAGTCTCCAGCTATTATTGTATTTAGGTCTATCTTTCCCTTTAGCACTAATAATATTTGCTTTATATATCTGGGTACTCCAGTGTTTGGTGCATATATATTTACAATTGTAATATCCTCTTGCTGAATTGACCCCTTTGTCATTATATAATGACCTTCTTTGTCTTTTCCTACAATTTTTATCTTAAAACCTATTTTGCCTAATATAAGTATAGCTACTCTTGTGGTTTTTTGGTTTCTGTTGACATGGAATACTTTTTTCATCCACTTATTTTTAATCTGTGTGTATCGTTATAGGTAACATGTGCTTCCTGTAGGCATCAGATCATTGGGTTTTGTTTTTTATCTATTCAGCCACTCTATGTCTTTTGATTGGAGAGTTTACTCCATATACATTTAATGTTATTGTTGATAAGTAAGGACTTACTCCTGTCATTTTGTTATTTTTTTCTCTCGCTCTCTTTTTTTGGCGGTCTGCTCTTCCTTTTTTCCTTTCTTCCTGTCTTCCTTTTAGTGAAGGTGATTTTCTCTGGCAGTAGGCTTTAATTTCATGCTTTTTAATTTTTTTGCGTACCCATTGTATGTTTTTTTATTTGAAGCTACCATGAGGCTTGCAAATACTACCTTATAACCCATTACTTTAAACTGATGATGACACTGATTGCATAAACAAACAAACACACAAAAAGAAAACTAATAAAAACTATACAGTTTAACTTTGCCACCTAACTTTTTAACTTTTTGTTGTTTCTCTTTATGTCTTATTTCATTCTCTGTGTCTTGAAAATTCATTGTAGTCATTATTTTTTGGTTCATTGTTTAGTGTTTCTACTTAAGATAAAAGTAGTTTTCACACCGTAATTACAGGGTTATTCTGGATTTTCTGTGGGCTATTACCAGTGAGTTTTGCACCTTCAAATGATTTCTTATTGCTTATTAATTTCCTTTTCTTTCAGATTGAAGAACTCCCTTTAGCATTTCTTGCAAGACAGGCCTGGTGTTGATGAAATCCCTCAGATTTTGCTCGTATGGGAAGGTCTTTATTTCTCTTTCATGCTTGAAGGATATTTTTGCCAGATATACCATTTTAGGGTAAAAGTTTTCTTCCTTCAGCACTTTAAATATGTCATGCCACTCTCTCCTGACCTGTAAGATTTCCATTGAAAAGTCTGCTGCCAGATATATTGGAGCTCCATTGTATGTTATTTGTTTATTTTCTCTTACTGCTTTTAGGATTATTTATTTATCTTTGACCTTTGGGAGTTTGATTCTTAAATGCCTTGAAGTAGCCTTCTTTGGGTTACATCTGCTTGGTGCTCTATAACCTTCCTGTCTTTGAATGTTAATATCTTTCTCTGGGTTTGGGAAGTTCTCCAATATTATCACTTTGAATAAACCTTCTACCCCTAACTATTTCTCAACCTCCTCTTTAAGGCCAGTAACTTTTAGATTTGCCCTCTTGAGACTGTTGTCTAGATCTTGAAAGCAGGTTTCATTGCTTTTTATTCTTTTTTTATTTTGTCTTCTCAGTGTGTTTTCAGATGAGATTGGGTGCGTTTGGGGCGGTATGGCTGTAGACTCTCAGTGTGTCTTCGAATACCTGTCTTCAAGCTCGTTAATTTTTTCTTCTTGACTAATTCTGCTCTTAAGAGACTCTAATGCATTCTTCATTACATCAATTGCAATTTTCAACTCTAGAACTTTTGCTTGATTCTTTTTAATTATTTCAATCTCTTTGTTAAATTTATCTGATAGAATTCTGAATTCCTTCTCTGTGTTATCTTGAATTTCTTTGAGTTTCCTCAAAACAGCTATTTTGAATTCTCTGTCTGAAAGATCATATATCTATTTTTTTTCCAGGACTTGTCCCTGGTGCCTTATGTAATTCATTCGGTGAGGTCATGTTTTCTTGGATGGTCTTGATGTTTGGGCATTGAAGAGTTAGATATTGACTGTAGTCTTCACAGTCTGGACCTGTTTGTATCTGTCCTTCTTAGGAAGACTTTCCAGGCATTTGAAGGGACTTGGGCCCCAAACCCACTAACACTGTGGTTTTTGCAGACTCATAGAGGTATTGCCTTGGTGGTCTTGGATAAGATGTGGAAGAATTCTATGTATTACTAGGCAGAGACTCTTCTTTCTCCTTTCTCTCAAAGAAACAGAGTCTGTCTTTCTGTGCTGAGCCACCTGTACCTGGGGGTGTGGTGATGCAAACACCCCTTCGGAAACCACCACTGGGATTGTGTTGGGTCAGACCTGAAGCCAGCTCAGCACTGTATCCTAATCTTCAGGGCAGTGAGTTCCCCCAGACCCTGGGCATGTCCAGAGTAGCTGTCTGGAAGCCAAGGATTAGAGTCAAAAACCTTAGCAGTTTACCTGATGTTCTAATTTACTGCAGCTAAATTGGCACTCACACTTCATTACAAAGTCCTTCTTACTCTTTCTTCCCTTTTCCACAGGCAGAGGAGACTCTCCCTGTGGCCACCACCACTTCTGGTCCACGAGGGTTCTTCTAGGTCACTGCCAATGTTTACTTAAAGCCCAAGGGCTCTTTTGTCAGCTTATGGTGAGTCCTGCCAGGCCTCAGACTCACCCTATAGGGCAGTAGGCTCCCCTCTGGTCCAGGACAGATTCAGAAATGTTGTCCAAGAGCCTAGGCCTGAACGCAGAGACCCCGTGTGCCTGCTTGTTTTTTCCTACTGTGGCCGAAGTGGTACCTTAGGTGCAAGGCAAAGGCCCCTTTACTTTTCCCTCTGCTGTTTTCAAACAGAAGAAGTTGTTCACCGTAGCCACCACAGCTGGGACTGTGCTGGATGACCCTTGAAGCCAGCATTTCTCAGACAACAAGGCCCATGGTGTACTCCCAGTTATTGCTGCTGCTTATTTAGGCTCCAAGAGCTCTTTAGTCAGCAGGTGATGAATCCTGCCAGGACTGGGTTCTTTCCTTCAAGGCAGTGGGTTCCCTTTTGGCCCAAGGTACATCTAGAAATGTCCAGGATTTAGGGCTTCACAACTCTGCCCAGTGCCCTGTCCTACTATGGCTGAGCTGACATCTAAGATGCAAGACAAAGTCCTCTTTACTCTTCACTCTCCTCTCCTTAAATAGAAGGGAAAAGTTACTTTTGTTGTTGTGAATTGCACTTGCACTGCCTGAGGTTGGTGGAGGAATGGCATAGGCACTTCGTTAGCCATATCTGCCGCTGTCTCCCTAGGTCATGCGCCAATCTTGTCTACTGGCTCTAAGCCTAGCCTAGCACTAGGATTTGCCTAGGAATTGCAGTCCTTGTGTCCTAGACTGCCTTTCAAGTTTACTGAGGATCCCAGAGCACTTCAGCCTGCAGTGCAGTGGTGAGGCTTGTTGAGAGACTCACATTCCATGGGTGATTCCCTTCTGGCTGGGCTGGTGCAAATGTCCCCTCAATGTGTGGGCACTGGCGGAACCCCACACAGCTTTATTGTCCACTCTGGCAAAGCAGCACTGAGTTCAATGTAAAGTTCCTCAGTCACTGCTTTCTCCCTTCCTAAAATGCACAGATTTTCTATCTGCACAGCATGGCCACTGCCATGGAATGGGAGAGGGGCAGCGCCCGTGATTCAAGACTTTCTCTTCCACCCTCCTCAGTGTCTATTTCAGCAGTAGGAAGTTAAAACCAGATACTGTGATTGTTCACTTGATTTTTGGTTCTTGTGACAATGCTCTTCTGTGTGCAGATAGTTGTTAATATTCGGTGTTCCAGTGGGGAAGACAAATGATGTAGGCTTATATTCTGCAATTTTGCTCTGTCCTTCATCTCTTATTCTTTTTATTGCATTATTGTATTAGTCTGTTCTCCTAATTAAGTCTCCTATTAGTATGTCTCCTAATAAAGACATACCTGAGGTTGTAATTTATAAAGGAAAGAGGTTTAATTGACTTATAGTTTCACATGGCTGGGGAGGCTTCACAATCATGGTGGAAGGTGAAGGAGGAGCAAAGTCACATCTTACATGGTGGCAGGCAAGAGGAAGTGCCGAGCCAAAGGAGGAAAAGCTCCTTATAAAACCATTAGATCTTGTGAGAACTCACTATCATGAGAACAGCATGAGGGTAATTGCCCCCATGAGTAAATTACCTCCCAGCCGGTCTCTCCCATGACACATGAAGATTATGGGAACTAAAATTCAAGATGAGATTTGGATGGGGACATAGCCAAACCCTATCAATTATGTACTTAAAAAAATCTATCATCCAGTTTAATACCCCTTCAATAGCTATTTATATGTTATTAAGCCATTGATTTTAAATATTATATTTTCTATTTCTAGAATGCTATTTGATTCATTTTCACATCTGGTCAATTTTGATAATTATTCTTTTGTTCTAGTTCTTTCATCTTATTTATCACATATGTATTATATTCTATACCTGACCATTTCAATATGTGAAATTTTTGTGAGTTTTATTCTTTTGTATTTTTATTTACTAATCCTTGTTCATGGTGGGATGCTTCCTTTCACATTCAGTAATTTATAATTTTGAATTTGTATTTCTTAGAGCTTCATCTGCTGGAATATTTGGAGGCCTGAGTTGAAAGTGTACTTTTACAGAGGGGATTTATATCTGCTTTTTTCTAAGCATTTATATCTGCCTGTATTACTAGAAACCCAGGACCACTTTATTCTACATTTTGGATGAGGATCTGGAGTTCATAGAGATTGTACAATTTTGCCTTAAACTTACCATGTGAGTGTAGAATTGTGGTTAGGCATTCTTAGGGGGATTTACTTTTTTCACTCTATCTACAACTAAGACCTAGTTAGACATCCTTTCCCCTTCTGTGCAATGTGTTGTTGTTGTTGTTTTAATTTTCACTGAGGATGTTCTTTAGAAGTTTTAGAGTTTTGTAGGGGTCCCTCATTTAAACTTTCAGCTTGCTTAGACTTCAGACTGTCTTCTGCCCCACTGCCACTCGTACCTTGAGTGGCTGGTTAAAGTCCAGGCACTAGTCTAGCATTGGTTGACAGACTCCCTGGAACAAATACCTGTTCCAAAGCTAACCCCCTGGGGTTCATACTTTCTGTCCTCGCCTTTCCCTAAGGCTGTGGGGAATTCTATTTCTTTCCCCTCGCAATCCTGAATTAAAATATTCTTTGGTTTGTTTTCAGAATGAACTGAAGTATGCTATATCAGGAAGGATTTATCTGAAATCAAGTCCAAAATTTTGTGAAAAGTGTAAGGGAATCAAATTAGTAATCAGAAATCTGGTTGAAAAACAGCATGAGAATGAGCAAAATTAGATTATTTCAAGGAATATTTTTAAGGAAGGGAAAAAATAAAATGTTCATGCCCCACATTGAAATATTTTCTTAAGAGCCGAATCAGTTTCCAGTTTCTCATTTCCTTCAAAACTGTGCTGTATATTTACAAATTATTTTTTTGTTTCCATTTTTTTCAGTATCTACATATCATGCCAGTCAGATTATAATTCAAGGGCATTTCAGTCATTCCATCTTGAAGATACAGTCAGATCACATTGATATTCAGTGTTCCTCAAGCCTGCTTAATAATGTACTTATCTACTTTAGATTGGGTTAATTATATAATAGACTTTTATTAAAGAGTTTTGGCCAGGCGCAGTGGCTCATGCCTGTGATCCCAGCACTTTGGGAGGCTGACGTGGGCGGATCATTTGAGGTCAGGAGTTCAAGACCAGCCTGGTCAACATGGTGAAAGCCCCTCTCTACTAAACATACAAAAATTAGCTGGGCGTGGTGGCGCATGCCTTAATCTCAGCTACTTGGGAAGCTGAGGCAGGAGAATCGCTTGCACCTGGGAGACGGAGGTTGCAGTGAGCTGAGATCATGCCACAGCACTCCAGCCTGGGCGAGAGAGCAAGACTCCATCTCAAAAAAGAAAAACAGAAAAAAAAAAGAGTTTTTACATTGTATGTTATTTTATAGTGATATTTCTATTTCAGGTTGAGATTAGAATCCCACTTTAGAGATCACATTTAGTATAGGGCAACAAAATTGCTACCTTGACACTATTCAATTGAAAACACACACAGACACACAGACACACACACACACACACACACACGACCTACTGATACTTGTTAGATTCTTGAGAGAAGAAGAAAAAGAATGAAAAAAAAAAAAAAGAGACAACTAACATTCGTGTAGCTCAAAAAGCTTCATCTTTGGAATCTTCCTTGAGCTTCCTGAAGGCAGAATCAGTCTTATCCTGCACTACTCACAAATTGTCCTAGTTTTTCATCCTGTGTTCTTCCCTCCCTCCACTTCTTGCCCTCAGAAAAATTCCTAAACATCTATATTTTCAAAGTACTTTGCTAGGCATTGGGGATACAATGGTGAAAAAATAGATGTGGCCTACATTTCCGCTGAACTTACAGTTTATTATGGGAACCAGACAATTACATAAAATTATAATGTGGTATATGAGTGCTGTGATAAGGAAAATATAGATTGATGTGGAACATCCAGGAAAAACACTAAACTTCAGGGGTCAGGGATGTCTTTATAAATGCAATTATTTTAAGCTAAGATTCGAGATATCGTACATGTTTATGGTTCTTAAAGCATACTCTTTAGACCTACAGAATCACAGGGGAATTTGTTAGAAATGGAAATTCTATGGCCTAATCTCAGGCGACTGAATCAGAAACTCTGGGGATGGGGCCCAGAAGTATGTTTTTAAGACAGTTTCTCCACATGGTTCTTATTCATGCTGAAAATTAACTAGTGGTAGGTATATCTAGATGGCTAGATTAAGAGTGCTAGGAGTTAGATCCTGCCAGGCAGAGAGACCAGCCTTGGAGACCCCCTGTGGAAGAAAGCAATATGAAATGATTATGAAAGTGTTCAGGGGCCAGGCGCGGTGGCTCACGCCTGTAATCCCAGCACTTTGGGAGGCCAAGACGGGTGGATCATGAGGTCAGGAGATCGAGACCATCCTGGCTAACATGATGAAACCCCATCTCTACTAAAAATACAAAAAAATTAGCTGGGTGTGGTGGCAGGAGCCTGTAGTCCCAGCTTCTCGGGAGGCTGAGACAGGGGAATGGTGTGAACCCTGGAGGCGGAGCTTGCAGTGAGCTGAGATCGTGCCACTGCACTCCAGCCTGCGCCACAGAGCGAGACTCCGTCTCAAAAAAAAAAAAAAAAAAAAAGAAAGTTCAGTATGCCTGGAGCATAGGGTATGAGGTTTGGAAGAGGGTTGTGATGGGCAAAGGATGGGACGGAGAGGAAAGCAGGGAGAAAATATCATCTGGGTTTCTTAAGCCACATTAAATTTTTTTTGGCTTTTAAATTTATTTTTATTTTTAATTGCATGTCATAATTGTACATATTTAGGGGTACAGAGTGATATTTTGATACATGAAATATAGTATATAATGATAGGGTAATTAGCATATCTATCACCTTAAACATTTGCCATTTATTTGTGTTGGGAACATTAAAAAATCCTCTCTTCCAGTATTTGAAAATATATAATCAATTATTGTTAACTATCATCACCCTACTAAAGAATACTAGAACTTCTTCCTCCTATATAGCTGTAATTTCGCAGTCAATCACCAACCTCTCCCTATCCTCCTCTCCCTGCTCCCCTGCCCAGCCTCTCATAACCATAATGTTACTCTCTACTTCTATGGGTCCAACTTTTTTAGCTCACACATATGTGAGAACATGTGGTATTTATCTTTCTGTGCCTGACTTATTTCACTTAACATAATATTCTCCAGGCTCATCCATGTTGCTGTGAATGACAGGATTTTATTCTTTTTTATGGCTACATTAAATTGTTTAGATTTCATTTATCATAAATATTTACAGACAGCCCCCAACTTACAATGATTTAATTTAACAATTTCTCGACTTTAAAATGGTGTGAAACTGTCGCATTTTTGATATGCTTCAAATTTTGAATCTTGATCTTTTCTCAGGCTAGCGATATGCAGTATATGAGATAGTCAATGCTTTATCATAAAATAGGCTTTGTGTTACATGATTTTGCCCAACACTAGGTTAATGTAAGTGTTCTGAGCATATTTAAAGTAGGCTAGTCTAGGCTATGATGTTTGGTGGTAGGTTACCTGTGTTTAAATGCATTTTCTTTTCTTTTTCTTTTCTTTTTTTTTTTTTTTGCGATGGATTCTCACTCTGTCACCCAGGCTGGAGTGCAGTGGTGCGATCTCGGCTCACTGCAACCTCCACCTTTCTGGTTCAAGCAATTCCCCTGTCTCAGCCTCCTGAGTAGCTGGGATTACAGGTGCATGCCACCACGCCTGGCTAATTTTTTTGTATTTTTAGTAGAGATGGGGTTTCACCATGTTGGTCAGACTGGTCCTGAACTCCTGGCCTTAGGCAATCCACCTGCCTTGGCTCCCAAAGTGCTGGGATTACAGGCATGAGCCACTGCGCCCAGCCTAAATGCATTTTCAATTTAAGGGATACTCAGTTTATGGTGGCTTTATCAGGAGGTAACCCTATTGGAAGTCAAGGAGCATCTGTGTTTATACATCTGTCTCTTCAAATAGAATGTGAATATATGAGGGCCAGGATGATATTTCCATACCTCAGAATATCCATCAGCTACTCTTGGCCTATAATTGGTGTTTAATAAATGCATGCTGATTAAATGAGCTTCTTGCATAGTCACAAAAGCCTTGTGAGGTGGGCATTACTTCTCTTATTTTATACTTAAGGAGAGCTAAAGCTAAGAGAAGGTGAAATACTCACATAAGAAAGTCAAATGGCTATTTATTTATTTATTTTTGAGATGGAGTCCCACTCTGTCACCCAGGTTGGAGTGCAGTGGCATGATCTTGGCTCACTGCAACCTCTGCTTCCTGAGTTCAAGCGATTCTCCTGCCTCAGCTTCCTGAGTAGCTGGGATTACAGGCACATACCACCACCTGTGGCTAATTTTTGTATTTTAGTAGAGACGGGGTTTTGCCATGTTGGCCAGGCTGGTCTCGAACTCCTGACCTCAGGTGATCCATCCGCCTCAGCTGCATCTGGCCCAAATTTCTATTTAGAAGCAGAGGTATTTTACAATCCCCAAGCCGATGGATTTTGCTTTTAGAATCTCTTCTTTATTCCACATGACCTTTCTGTTAGGGAGAGCTGAGATTACAGCAAATATGTATGAATATGTAAAATGTGAGCATTTTATTTCAACCTGTAAGCATTCCAAATGCAACCGTGCTTTCTTTTTTCTTACTTTTTTTTTTCCAGACAGAAAAGGGGAGTGCACTTCATGAAGCAGCTTTGTTTGGAAAGGTGGATGTTGTACGAGTTCTGTTAGAAACAGGTAACTATTGTGATTCTGCATGGAGCTTATCCTGACAGATAACATTTCTATTTTGGGAATAGACAAAGGAAAATGACACAGTTTTCTTCACAAATCACCCTCTTGCCTTTACTCTAAAATGCAGATATGTATTCATATTATGTAGAACTGAGTTTCAGTATTTAGATAACATTGATATCAATGTGCAACTTCTTTTATGCAATAGATGTTTTAAGTACAAACCTCTTTGTTATTACAATTTTATGCACTTAAGTACTTTAGAGATGAACTACCAAAAGAAAAAGGAAATTTCTGCCTTCTGTAAGAGAGAGGAATTGATCCTTGAGAAATTTTCACAATTGCTTGATTTATTGAAGAACATAATAGTTTTTCTGTGTTTTATATTGTGGACTACGGTAAACAGAGATTTGAGTTCCCTCTCTTTAAGGTAAATTGTCCTTCTAGTTAGTTCATTAACTGAGTAGCTATTGTTAGTAGGCTACAGAAACTTATTTTAAAGGGAACCTTTTAAAGGGAGTGCTTTGAAGGAACAATAAAGTTGGCTTATTTATTTTCATATGTGCATTCTGATTGAGATGAAATAGAGCTAGAATTAAGGTCAGATTTGTTTTAAAGATCAAAAGGCATGGGTACAAATTCATGCTTGTAAACAACTGATGGAATTTTTCATGTTATGGACTATAGTGTGTTTATTTTCCTCTGTAAAAAAAAATGAAAAACATTGGCAGACTGTTGTATTGTGATTGTATTTGTACACAATTTAACAAAGTTAAAATTTCATTTATATTTAACTTTGTCATGCAGTGTGGTGATATAACAAATGATTTGAGGAAACCACCTAAATATTAATATGTGCTGGTTACACATTCCTATGCAAATTTAAACATGTATTTAATAATCTTACAATGAACTAACATTTGGGACCAGATCCTGTAAACTGGCTTTTTTTTTTTTTTTTGCAATTATGTGTTTGGAAAATTCATAATATTTTTAGGGCAGTGAAAGCTATTTGCTGTGTTAAAATAAGTTCTTTCTTACAATATATATTTCCACAACTAAAATAATAACAGGTGTTTTAGTTACACACTTCAGTAAGTTTGCTCGTCAGGTGGATGATTAGTGTGACTGACAAATACAATCTTGCATAAATAAATATCATAGAGTATTTGACCTTGTATTTGGATAAATTCTTTGTGGACAACAATTCAAAATAATCATGCTTTTTCAACTTTGTGAATATTCAAGTGTTCTAAGACTGTTCTTATGTTACTTACATGGTACATGATTATAATTTACTAAATATTTTTACCATATTGTACAGAGAATATAAATCACATGACCATTATACTTTAGGAATTCACATTCTAAATCAATAATATTTTTCAGTGTGATAGTGTGCTGTTGAGTTAAATAGTTATAACCCAAAGATACCATAGGGTCAGCCGGGCGTGGTGGCTCAAGCCTGTAATCCCAGCACTTTGGGAGGCCAAGGTGGGCAGATCACGAGGTCAGGATATCGAGACCATCCTTGCTAACACAGTGAAACCCCGTCTCTACTAAAAATACAAAAAAAAAAAAATTAGTTGGGCATGGTGGTGGGCACCTGTAGTCCCAGCTACTCAGGAGTCTGAGGCAGGAGAATGGCGTGAACCTGGGAAGCGGAGCTTGCAGTGAGCCGAGATCGCGCCACTGCACTCCAGCCTGGGCAACAGAGTGAGACTCCGTCTCAAAAAAAAAAAGATATCATAGGGTCCTGAAAAACAATCTTAAACATTGGGTCAGTGCCCTTTAAGAGTTAATTGATGATCAAGAATGTTCCTAATCTTTGGTAGCAACAGGCCCCTGCCTTCTTTCTTGCTAAAATCTTGTGTGAGTGTGTGTGTGTGTGCGCATGTGTGTGTGTATGTGTGTGTGTAGAACTTAATTTTTTAAAAATCACTTTCAATGCTTGGTCTGTATATGTCTGAAATTACAGCAGTTAGATAGTGATAGTATCTTTTGAGGATACTTCAGTGGTGTATATCTAGTGAGTTTTTCTTTTTCTTTCAGGAATTGATGCCAACATAAAGGATAGCTTAGGTAGAACTGTCTTGGACATTCTGAAAGAACATCCATCTCAGAAATCTCTCCAGATTGCAACACTCTTACAAGGTAAACAGTATTGAATGATGGATGAGTTTGCCTTAAAGTTAAGATGAGATTAAAACTGTTACAGTTTTCTTTTGGATTTTGAGTTAGTGTTTACTTTTGAACAAACTTACTAGTTTTATTTTTTTCTGGTAGACTTTTAAACTAAATAATAATACCTTTTAATGTTTTATTTTTGTTTTTCAACTACTCAGTAAGTATTTTAAAGAAGTTAAGGTATTTATTTACTCATTTGATAATAGAAATATTTTTAAAATTCATATTTATGTAGTAAATATGTAGTTATGAGCTGGAAGTTAATAAGGCTATAAAGTAGTGATGATTAAGTGTTATTTCACATTTGAATAATACTTTCAGCATTTTCAGGGATTTGCTACTACTTTGGTTTCTATGACCCTATGAAGTAACATAAGTCAGATATTATTTTACTTTTGCACATAAGGGAAACTGAGGCTCTGAGAGATTTGATTTGTTCAAATTCATGTATCTTAAGTGGCAGAGCTTGTATCTAAATGCTAGATTATCAATAATAACAAAAATTGTATTTAGCCAAAAGAATACAGATTATTTCCTTCCTAATCCAATGGTATAAAATAACTCAGTCTTACCAGCCTTAGTTTTTGGTAAAAGTCATTTAAGTGCATTTGTTGTTAGTGGCAGTCATTAGCTCTATTGAAAGTTTGACAACTGTCTAGGTACGACTTTTGTTATTTGCAGCTTGCATACTTCTCCACTTGAACTAAAAGTTTTATAACAAAATTAGACTTAAATGCTTTCTCTTCCTGTTTGGTGATTAGGCCTGACATGTAGCATGTTACTTAAAAACCCCAGATGTTTTTCTCTCCTTTAGCTCCTACCCTGTTCAGCAGTGATTATCTCCTACACTTGTTATGGATTGGCTGCAAGTATGATAGAGGAGGGTGGTGAGATAGGTTTTATTAGGTGTCAGTTGGGAAGCTGAAGAACAGCATTGTTTTGCAGGGAGATAAATGAATTAAAACCAAGTCAGGCAGGGAACATGTAGATACAATAGTCAACAAAGGCCAAGGAGGAGTAAAAGGAATAGATGCACTATATGTGGCCATTATGCTCTCTTCTCTATTTCCAAAATATTTCAGGGAAGTTCATGCCCCTACAATTTTCTTATCAATAAAGAAGTTAATTACAAGTCAAATGCATGCAGAGATGAATCAGAGAAAAATCCCATCATAGCCTTTTATATAAATTAAAATTAAAATTAAATTGAATAAAAGCTAAAAAATAAGAGTGGCACATACTATTTTTTATTAGTCTTCTCCCTCTATGCACTTTGTATTTCATGTTGGACTTTTGACTCTCACTGAATTTTTTTTTTTTTTTTTTTTTGAGAAAGAGTTTTGCTCTTATTGCCTAGGCTGGAGTGCAGTGGTGCAATCTTGGCTCACTGCAGCCTCCGCCTCCCGGGTTCAAGTGATTCTCCTGCCTCAGTCTCCCAAGTAGCTGGGATTATAGGCACTTGCCGCCATGTCTGGCTACTTTTTGTATTTTTAGTAGAGAGGGGGTTTTACCATGTTGGCCAGTCTGGTCTCCAACTCCTGAACGCAGGTGATCCAGCCACCTTGGCCTCTTAAAGTGCTGGGATTACACGCATGAGCCACAGCGCCCAGCCTCTCACTGAACTTTTTTTTTCTTTTTGAGAGGGAGTCTCACTCTGTCACCCAGGCTGGAGTGCAGTGGCGCCCTCTGGGCTCACTGCAAGCTCTGCCTCCCCGGTTCACACCATTCTCCTGCCTCAGCCTCCCGAGTAGCTGGGACTACAGGCACCCGCCACCATGCCCAGCTAATTTCTTTGGTATTTTTAGTAGAGACGGAGTTTCACGATGTTAGCCAGGATGGTCTTGATCTCCTGACTTTGTGGGCCACCCGCCTTGGCCTCCCAAAATGCTGGGATTACAGGCGTGAGCTACCGTGCCCGGCTGCCTCTCACTGAACTTTTAAAAACTGAAGCATGGGCCAGGCGCGATGGCTCATGCCTGTAATCCCAGCACTTTGGGAGGCTGAGGTGGGTGGATCACGAGGTCAGGAGATCTAGACCATCCCGGCTAACACGGTGAAACCCCGTCTCTACTAAAAATACAAAAACTTAGCCGGGCGCGGTGGTGGGCGCCTGTAGTCCCAGCTACTTGGGAGGCTGAGGCAGGAGAATGGCGTGAACCCAGAAGGCAGAGGTTGCAGTGAGCCGAGATCGCGCCACTGCACTCCAGCCTGAGCAACAGAGCGAGACTCCGTCTCAAACAAACCAAACAAAACAAACAAACAAACAAAAAAACAAAACTGAAGCATGTGTGTAATATGTCTTTTGGGAAAAGCAAAATAAATGTCACCCACTAGAAAATGGGGTGTGACATAACCATGGACTTTTTAAAAACATACTGCATTGGTTTATATAAGATGAAATGTTGTTACATGGGAGTAACTATCTTTGCTCTCCTAAATGGTCAAGATTAATTAGGTATGTTAATTTGTGGTAGGGCATACAGTACATCTTTGAAGTTCTCTAATTACTGGCAAATTTCAGAATGTGAACACGTCATCTCTGTTCTTTGCATTCCTGGATTTCCCTGGTAGAAATTATTTGAATGGTATGAGGACATACTTGTTTGGCATGAGAATACAAATTTTCTTTATTAGATTTTAAGAAAAAGGTTCTTGAATAAAGAAGTATAAGCAAATGCTCTGTATGAAAAGGGATCTGTTCATTTAATCTTTATACAGAGGCTACAAACTAGCCACTTGTGGGCTGAACGCTTTGGCAGATAGCACACATGCTTTGTATATATCACATATTTTGAGCCCACATTGTGTTTCCATAAAAATTGAATTAGCTGTTAACATTTAAAAATCTAGAATTTGGCAGGGTGCGGTGGCTCACGCTTGTAATCCCAGCACTTTGGGAGGCCGAGGTGGGCGGATTACAAGGTCAGGAGTTCCAGACCAGCCTGGCGAACATGGTGAAACCCTGTCTCTACTAAAAATACAAAAAAAAATGAGCCGGGTGTGGTGGCACATATCTGTAGTCTCAGCTAGCTTGGGGGGCTGAGGCAGGAGAATTATTTGAACCTGGGAGGCGGAGGTTGCAGTGAGTCAAGATTGCACCACTGCACTCCAGCCTGGGCGACAGAGCGAGAATCCATCTCAAACAAACAAACAACCAAAAAGAAACAAAAAAAACCCTAGGATTTTAGCTCAAACTCTGGAGTTTTGGTTTCTCTAAAAGAAGTTTTATTTCAGGGATGAACTTTAGATTGGTCATTTGTTCTCTGGTTCAACATGGTCTGTGAGGCTGAATATTGGTTAACATTTATTTCTACATTCAGATGCTGTTTTCTTTATGGTTAAGAGAAAAGTGAGATGTTTTCTTGTCTTATATTTATTTGGCTTTGCCACCTATTAGCTGAATGAACATGGACAAGTTAATAATACTCCTCCTTTACTTGTAATCTTTAAAATTTAGTGCATGTGTCATAGTTTTGTAAGGATTACATGAGTTAATTTATACAAAACACTTAGAACAATGCTGGGTCCATAGTAAGCAATATTTAAGTTTAAGCTGCTATTCCTAATATTATATCTGTATCAAAACTAGAAAAATGAAAAATAGGCTGAGTATAGGACATTACTTCAAGAATAATGGCAATGAACATTATTTCTTTGTGGAAATAAAGTTAATATGCAAATTATGCTTATGTTACAAGATTACAGCACCATTTTGAAATGAACTTATTCCATTTCATTCGTTTATGTTACCTGGCTGGTTGTGGTATCCATCTGAATTTGACATTCCTGTTTTGGGGATTAAATCTATTCAAAGCATCTTTCAGACAGTTTAAAATCTTCAGATGGAAAATAAGGAGACCAAGGAGTTTATTGTATCTTCAATAGGTGAATTTATTTTTAAGGAAAGAATGTTTTAAGTTTAGGTTTTAGAAGAAAGGGGTTCAAGAGTTTCTCCCAAATAATCCAGTGTCTTTTTTTAATTACAACTTTAATTAAATAGCTCATCATGGCGTTCTTTTGATATGTTTGGTTTTTTGAAGTTCTTTTGAAAACTTAGGATATATTTAGGATATGAAAAAATAAATGAAAAACTGATTACCAGAAGTAAAACTTAAAATTTATTGATTTTAAAATAAATGAATTCAAGTATGTAATCTCAAAAATGTATACACACAGAGTATTTAGAAGGCGTGGGAAGATCTACAGTCCTCGAAGAGCCTGTACAGGAAGATGCAACACAAGAAACACACATTTCATCTCCTGTTGAGTCTCCTTCCCAAAAGACCAAAAGTGAGTACCTAATTATAAAGCCCTGGAATCTATACTAGACTTGTATGTACAGTTGTGAAAATTTCAAGTCTAATAGGTTATATCCTATACTCTATATTTCATCCATTTATAAGAGCTCCTGTTACTGATTAGGGCTTCTCAGCCCTGAGATACAGTAGTGAGCAAAGCAGAAAACTATCCCTGCTGTAATGAAGTTTATCTGGAGTATATGTTTCTTAAATGTGTTTTTTTCTTAAATGTGTTTTTCCCCAGCTTTATTGAGGTATACTTGGCAAATAAAAATTGTATATATTTACAGTGTGCAACTTGATATATACTTTGTGGAATAATTGCCAAAATCAAGCTAATTAACATAGCCATCATCTCACATAGTATTTTTTATTTTTTATTTTGGAGAGAACACTTAAGATCAACTCTCTTAGCAAGTTTCAGGTATACAATAGAATATTATTAACTATAGTCACCATGCTGTATTTTAAATCTCCAGAATTTATTAATCCCCCATAACTGAACCTTTGTACCCTTTGATCAACACTTTCCCATCTCCTCCACTCCCCAGCCCCTGGCATTCACCATTCTACTCTCTGTTTTATGACTTTGACTTTTTTAGATTCCACATGTGAGATCATGCAGTATTTGTCTTTCTGTACCTGGTTCATCTCACTTAGGATAATATCCTCTAGGTTCATCCATGTTGTTACAAATGGCAGGATCTCCTTTTTTAAGGCTGAATAATAGTCCATTGTTTGTGTAGTGTGTATATAAATGTATACACACATTGCATTTTATTTATCCATCCATCTGACAGTGTATACTTCAGTTGTTTTCATGTCTTGGCTGTTCTGAAGAATGTTGCAATGAACAGAAGGGTGCAGATATCTCTCCAAGATACTGGTTTCATTTCCTGTGAATAAGCACCCCAAGGTGGGATTACTGAATCATATGGTAATTCTATTTTTAATTTTTTGAGGAATCTCCATACTGTTTTCCATAGAGCCTTTAACATTTTACATTCCCATGGACAGCATACAGGGTTCCCTTTCTCCACATCCTCAGAAACACCTCCTATCTTTTGTCTTTTTGAGAATAGCCATTCTAATAGATGGGAGATGATACCCCATTGTGGCTTTCATTTACATTTGCCTGATTATTAGTGATATTGAGCACCTTTTCATATACCTTGGGTCATTTATGTGCCTTTTTTGAAGAAATGTCTATTCGAGTCCTTAGCCCATTTTAAAATTAGGTTATTTGTGTTTTTGCTATTGAGTTATGTGAATTCCTTATGTATTTTGCACATTAACCCCTTACCAGATCTATGGTTTGCAAATATTTTCTCCCATTCCTTAAGTTATCTTTTTAGTGTGTTGATTGTTTTATTTGCAGTGCAGAAGCTTCTTAGTTTGATCCAATCCTGCGTGTTCATTTTTGCTTTTGTTCATATCCAAGAAATCATTGTCCAAACAAATATCAAGTTTTTTCCCTATGTTTTCTTTTAGGAGTTTCATATTTTCAGGTCTTAATGTTCCAGTCTTTATACTGTTTGCATTGATTTTTACATAGGGGATGAGATAAGGGTCATATTTCATGCTTTTGCATGTGGCTATCCACTTTCCCAACACTATTTATTGAAGAGACTATCTTTTCCACATTTTGTGTTCTTGGAAACCTTGTGAAGAGCTACAGTAATCAAAACAGTATGGTACAGGCATGAAAACAGACATATATACCAATAAAACAGAATAAAGTCCAGAAATAAATCCATGCATCTATAGTCAGCTGATGTTAAATATGTTTTTATGTCAGAATAAAAATATTAAAATCTGGATTGTAACTGCTGGGCATTTTTTTCAGAATAAATTACAGGTATAAGGTATCTTTCTGAGACTGTTTAGAAATGTGCATATTTTCATGTAATCTACAAAATCTTCATGTTTGACAGATGATGCATATTGTTTGTTTCTTTTGTGTTTTTACTTTATATCATATACCATAATTCTTAAGGTACTGATTACCTATGTTATTATTTGTTTAAATAACTTGTACTATTTCTGTTTATTGAACCTAGGAAGAAGTTTCTCAGCACCGTTTCAAATTTGCTAATGAATTCTGTCAGTGAAGTAAAATACCAATGAAATATTATGGAAATTAAATCCTATAATAAGTGAAGCTTTGGGAATTGTAATTCCAGATGCTTTTATGTACTATGTATACATAACCTTACAATAATTATTTCTATTTTGAAAAAGAATAAAAATAGGCAAAATTATAATCTCTTTTGCCCATTAATATTGTTGTACTAATTATGGTTGAGTACCTTGTTTTCAGCAGAATAGTGTCTGACTGCTTAATCTTGTTATATTTTGAGTTCTATCACCATAGCAGTCATATTTTTATTGCTTAACATTAAGTTTTAACAATAGCCTTTCTTGAAACTTCTGAAAAAATTATTCTCATAGGTGAAACCGTCACTGGAGAATTATCAAAACTCTTGGATGAAATAAAACTCTGTCAAGAAAAGGATTATTCGTTTGAAGACTTGTGCCACACAATATCAGACCACTACTTAGATAATTTGAGCAAGATTTCAGAGGAAGAACTTGGGAAAAATGGAAGCCAGAGTGTAGTAAGTAAGGCGGGGGGGAATGAAGATAATGTGTCTGTCTTTGCCAGTTCAGTGTGTACACTTAAGAGGTATGGGATGTGGTGCATTATCAGATTCCGCCACTCTAAGATGTCAGTTTCCTTATTGCTCTTTTCCTGACGTTCTTTGGGGTTTTACTCGCAGTGCATGTGTAGGGGAAGGAGTGCTTTGACAGATCACTTCATGGTCTCTCTACTTTTAGACTCTTTCTTAAAAACATGGATTTTTGGTATTTGTTGTTGTTGTTGTTGTTGTGTTCCTTTAGTTTTACTGGGCATAATGATGTTGGTTCCCAAAAAAAGACAAAAACCTTCCTTTCGACTGTCTTCCCCATTTTCTCTATGAACTCAGACTAACAGAGCAGAGCCACACGTATAGTTTCCTCACTTCCTCCTGAAGTCATAGTAGGAGAGAAATGTGGAAAGTTCAGTCTGCATATTTTTATAATATTATGCAAATCCCAAGAGGTTTCTCTTTGATAAGCTCAGAATCTTAAGCATGAGTTAGTTCCTGTGACAACGCCTTTATGATAGTGTTCTTTGAAAATATTGCCATATAAAATATTAAAGGTTATGTGAGGCAGAAAAACAGATGATATAGTTGAGTAAGAGCAAGTATTTCTATTTATTAGGAATGAGAGTTTACAAAGAAGAAAGAGGGGAGATAAGATTAGAAGGATAGATTGAGGTCAGGCCATGGGTGATTCTCACTCATTTGGATTTTTATATGAACACAAAAGCAAGAAAAACTATAGAGAATAAATCAGTTTAATATTAAGATATTTAAACCTACTTTTTGTCCTGTAGAGGAAGGACTTATAGTATATACTGGTATTAAAGGAAATACATTATTCTGATAAGAAATCTGTAGTCACTTTTAGAACTTAATTTGTTACAGATATATCATACTTTATTCAAAAGCCAGTAATAGAGTGAACTGTGTTAAGTATGTCATATTATTTGTGAAAACTAAAAAAAAACTTGCTAAGTATAGTGACTGTCCATTATGAGAACATTTACTTAATTTAGTTACTTAAAGTAAGCTGTGACACTGTTTCCTGGGATAGCACTTGCTAATCTAGTTCCATGGCTAGTCCTACCTCCTTGGCCTGCTTTTTTTGTTTCATTTTGTTTTTGTGCTTCACTCTCTTTTGTAAAAACATCCTATTATTGGCCCCAATAAAAATTCTTTATGAATAACTATGAACAGTTGTATATGTACTGAAGTAAATACCTGTAAGTTTTACCAAATGAAATTTTTATATTAATGAAATAATTTATAATAGTAACTTTAATGTTGGGACAAAATCCTCTGTTAAAAAATCTGAAATAGGTGTATGCTGTCTCCAGGTTACCAATCAGTTACATTTTAATATTTCCTTGAAAGTTAGTTAGAACTTAAAACATATTTGTGCTATATAAACAACACATAGTGTTTATATTTTTAGATCCATCCTCAAAGATTTATGTAAACTGGCAGCTTCTGGCCTTCTACTTGTAAAACCACAGATATTCTGAAAGCCCTAATTTTTTAGACCAGGGTTTCCAAACTTTTTTGTTGTACGTACCATTAGTAAACAAATTTTGAGCAAATATCCCTGATTATTTGTAAATTATATATATATAGACTGCATTTCTAGTAATATTTGATGTAAATTATGAGACATACACAACAAAAGAAATTCAAATTGAGGAAGGTAGAGAATAAGTGTAAAACAGAAGCTCTAATTATTTTTCGTTTACCCAATGAATATCTTATATGCCCTGGGGTCTGTATGTGCTGCTTGGAGACCATGATTCAAGCTTCTATCTTTCAGGAAGTTACGGCAAAGGCTTTTGACTTTGAGAGAGTGATAATAGTTTGGGGAAAAGATGTTCAATTTTTTTTGTAAGCCAAAGACTGTATTGTGATAGTGGCAAGAAAGAAATTAATGCTCATAAATTGAGCGTTAAGGTTTTGAAATCTGAACTCATGCTTTTCTAACACCACTCTTCGTTCCTGTGACAAACCTTTACAATAGTGTTCTTTGAAAATATTTCCCTATAAAATATTAAAGATTATGTGGAGGGAGAAAAGCAGATGGTATATATGAGTAAGAGCAAATAATTCTGTTTATTTGGAAGAATAGAGTTTACAAAGGGGAAAGATGAGAGAGTAGAAGTGTAGTTTGAGGTCAGGTCATGGATAATTATGAATGTCAGGCTAAGAATTTTGGTTTTTTTTTTAAGAAATGAGAAAAATCTAAAGGATTTTGGGCAGATAAAAGACATCATTGGAACTGACCTTTCAGAAGATGAATCTGATAGAAACCTGTTAGCGAATGTTTAAAAAGTAATCAAATTACTTTGACCCTTTTCTGTAGCCTGTTTTATTTGAATTCATTCCATGTTTTGTTGAATATTTGTTTCTATTCATCAAAAAAGTTTTTTTTCCAGAATATTGCTTCAATTATACTCTTACATGTTGCAAAAAGTTTAGTCAAGTACAGGTCACCTAATATAGGTCACCTAATACAGATGGTTCTTACCATGTTTTGAGTTGTGGGATTTATAATAGATATGGTTCTTGATTTCAAGTGTTTCAAAACACCTATCCTAAGGAGACTTCAGTCACAGTGTGTAGACTATAACTGAAGGCTAACATATAAAACACTGAATAAATAAGAACTGACACTTACTCAGTTTTTGCTATTTGCTACTCTAATGCTTTACGTGATTTAAGTCGCTTATTAAGTAATCCTAACAATATGGATTTAGAAAATGACTTAGCTGCCAAGTGGCAGAGTGAGGATTCAAACTCTGAGCCAGTGTTTTTAATTCTCAGCCACATTTCTCATAGTATGCTACCTTGTGGCCAAAGGAATTTTTAAAAGGGAGAGACCAGTGAATATTTACAGATACTCATTGAAGTCTTTGTGGAGGTAGGGAGAGACTAAGCTGTGTCCTGGTGAAAGGGGAGCTGTGCTTTTCACTTTTGTTGGGACAAATGATTGAGAAAGGATTCCAGCCTGAAGAAACAGTAAGTGCAAAAGCACAGAGATGAGAATTAGTGCATAATTTGAGAATGATTTATGATGAGAGTTTGTTTTGGAAAGTAGTAGGAAATAAAGTTGGGTAAGTAATGATAATACCTCAATTTATGGAACACTTTACTTGTATTAACTGATTTAATCCTCACAATAACCCTTTGAAAAGGATAGTATTATTTCTCCATACAGGGAGCTTTTATGACTTTCCCAGTTTCATGCGGTAATTACAGAGCCAAGAACACAGACATTCTGGAGCTGGAGCCATAACCCCTTGCCACTCAACTCTATTGTCAGAGAACAAAGGCAGCTAAGTAGATTGGGAGGCTAGCCAGAAGTTTAAAATTGATCCTGAGAATAAATTCTTGTGTAGGAGAGTTCTCCTGAAAGTGACATTTTTGGAAAATAAAAGTGGTAGTTGTATGTTGCTTGATCTGGGGAGAGGCTCAAACAATGGTTCTCAGCCATAGTTGTATATTAGATTTACCTAGAGAGGCTCTAAAAAATAAATACTGATGCCCTCAGATACCAGTCCAGACCAACTAAATCAAAATAATTTTGGGTAGCTCTGAGCATTGCTCTTGGAAAAGCTTCTCAGGTCTAACATCCATACTACTGGTCTAGGGAGCCAAAAATCAGCCAAGATCTTTCTGAGGTAATTCAGGTCTGAGATGATGAGTCAGAACTGAGGTCTTGAAAACACCACAAAACTAGAATTTTTTGAGATGGAACAAATCTCGTAAATCTTAATGTCCAGCCTACTTCTGCAATTCCCCAGTGTAAGAGCTTCTAAAAGTCTCTTGAATTAGGGATTATCTGTGCTATAACAAATTAGCGTAGATTGGGTGGCTTGGAAAAAAAAAAAAGCATTTATTTCTCACAGTTCTGGAGTCCGAGAAGCCCAAGATGAAGGTACCAGCAGAGCTGGTAGCTGGTGAAGGCCTGCTTCCTGGTTTGCAGAGGGCTGTCTTCTGGTTGTATCTTCATGTGGCAAAGAACAGAGGGGAAAAAAGCAGGTTCTCCTGATGTGTTTTTTTTTTTTTTTTTTTTTTTCTGAGACGGAGTCGTGCTCTGTCGCAGGCTGGAGTGCAGTGGTACAATCTCGGCTCACTGCAACCTCCGCCTCCGGGGTTCAAGCGATTCCCCTGCCTCAGCCTCCTGAGTAGCTGGGACTACAGGCACGTGCCACCACACCTGGCTAATTTTTTGTATTTTAGTAGACACGGGGTTTCACCATGTTGGCCACGATGGTCTCGATCTCCCGACCTTGTGATCTGCCTGCCTCGGCTTCCCAAAGTGCTGGGATTACAGGTGTGAGCCACTGCGCCCAGCCCTCCTGATGTTTTCTTATATGAACACTAGCACATCATAAGGGGTTATCATCTGATGACCTCCCAACACCCCCTCCTTAATACCATCACATTGGGGTTTAGGATTTCAACATATAAACTTGGCGGGGACACCGACATGAGGTTCATAGCAAGGAGGCTTTCAGTTTATCATCAAGGAAAATCCAAACTGCAGTCAAACCACAGTCCTCAATTATAACATTTCTATGTTATATTGGACTATTAAATGTGGAAAACATTTCTGTATGTCTGTTATTTATATTACTGGTTAAATGATGAGCATTTGGGTTCAGTTAAAATTTAATTTCATAGGATATGAAACATCCAACTTGCTGATTGTGATATGACAAGTAATTCCAAAAGTTATTTTGGAGAAATAAAAATGTAAGGAAATATGTTTTGTAGCATCCATATTTTTAATTAATGTGTTTTACATATTAATGATGTGGCTTGAGTTTTGGAAGTATTTTACCTATATTCTTAGTTCAGTTTAGCTTTTGTTGTCTCTTTTCTTCCAATAGAGGGCACTCTGATTCAGTAATTTCAAATACAAAACCAGCCATCTTATGTAAGAACTTTTATTTTTGAATCGGAGATTTTTGTTTCTATTAAAATATTAGCTATAATATGGTAGTTTGAACACTTTTACTAATATAAGTTAAAAATTAAATTCTTATTATGATTGAATGTATTCAATTGGAGGTTTTGCATGTAATATAAAGGCTAGCTCAAGTTAAAATTGCATTTTGTCTTGCATACATTTTAATTCAAAAGTCAGTCTGTTTTATATACTCTTATAATATGCATCTGAAACCATTTTCTAAGTTGAATTAGGACATTATATAATCTAGAATGTAAATTTTGAAGAAATATAAATATCCTAACATTCTTTACCAACTCATGAAATTTAGGTTTTCGAAAGAATGTGAAATCATCTGAAAAAATTTTCTATTCTCTTTATGTTTTCCCAAGCCTTATATTCATGTTTTTTCCTCCATGTGTATAAACAATCTATACAATTCTTAAATGTGAACACAGCATGCCATAGAGAAATTTGATGATAAAGATCATTAGAGCAGATTTCAGAATCCAGGTACCAGGAAAAGTTTTTTTGTTTTTTTTTTAAACATTTGTAATAGAACATTACCTCATCAGCGTATGTCTTTAAGAAGTAAATAAGAAGCTTAAGGGATGAAACGTGTTATGTATTTTTTTCTCTTGACACAAGCAGCATCTAAAGCTTTTGGTTTGAAAGGGGTTGCATTGGCAGGTTTTGTGCAATTTTGTTCAGCAACTATGCCTCTTTTCTGTTATTTTACTTTCTTTTCCAATGCAAAATATTTAATTACATGTCAGCCTTCTGAAGTGTGAGGTATTTTATTTTAGTATTTTAAGATTTCAAGATTTACCTTGAAGGATTTTCAGTTTTTTTTAATGCCAAGCTATTCTTGAGAATACTCTCTGGGAGTGAGGTCCCTACTTTTGGAAAATATACTTAATTTAGTTCTAAAATTCATCAAGTTTTAAAGATCAGTAGAGTCAGATTAGATTGCCTAAAAACCAAATGGTGTTTCTGAAACAAAGTTTACCTTCAAACACATTCTAACCCAATTTCTAGAGCTTATTATCAGGAATGCATCAATTTCAGAATTTGGAGAGAGCTTCGTGGCTATCTTACCCAATTTCCATCAGATTTAGAGAATCTTGGGAGGCAAATTTTTTGAAATGTAAATAGAGGCTTATTATAGGAACATAACTGATTCTTTAGCATGTATAATTTTTTATAGTGGTGCTAAATCTTAAGCAGTGGTATACAATGTTCAAAAGAACATTCTAACCTGAACAATCTATTTCTTATGTAGTTGAACAGACCTTTTGGATGTGGTGACTCAAGGTGATTCAACTAAGGTTGGAAATCTCCTAACAGGTTTTGCAAGAATTAGGGAATGTAGAACTAGGATCATGTTGACCTGCATTTATATATTGAAAACAATACCATTAACCACACGTATGTACTGTAGGTACATTAATGGAAAAATCCAGAATCAGAAGGGTAAGTTTTTGTTCCTACCCTCACCTCAGGAAGAACTTTTTGTAACCTTAGGGAATCTAGGAAGTCCTTGAGAAAATGGCTAGTAGAATAAAAGAGTCATTTTTCTGAACTTCTAGCACACTTGCTTTTTACCATTCTTGATACATCTCTTTCTGCCTTGCCTTGTAGGTGTATATGTTTTGCATTACTTCTTATATACCCCTTTGACAGTAGGTTCATTATTAGATTGATCTCTGTAGTCACATCCTGCCTCACACGGTGCCTTGAATGTAGTGGTCTCTCAGTGAAAGTTCATTGACTGAATAAATGCATAAAAAGGCAAAGACTGCATATAAAAGTGTATATGTTCTTGCAAATGAACCATTATCATTGCAAAATGCATTTAATTATTTGGAGATGAATTCCAGAGACCAAAGTGGAGGTTTTTCCCAGCAATCATGATGGGAATCTCAACCATCTTTCTTAGGGAGATAACTTAGTCTAGCAGTTAAGAGCATGAGATTGTGAGTCCTACAGATTTGGTTGTACAACTCTGTTCTGCAATTTACTAGCAGGGTGACCTTTGGAAGTTGCTTGATATTTCCAAGCCTTAGTTTCTGCATCGGTTAAAAAAATTTTACTCTGGCTTTCTGTCAGCCATAGAAAAGAGCTATTTTGTTCTCTTTTATGTTGCTGAAGAGATCTTGATTTTTATGTTTCACAGACTTTGTCCAATTTTGTCCAGACGTTCTAAATAGTCACAAAATGTCAACGTAGAGGGGATTTCTCTAGTGAAAGTGAAATATTTTGTTCTTGGATTGGTCTGAGTCAATATTTTACTTGGAAAAAGCCATATGTATTCTAATCAGCTTTGTAGAAGTTAGGGAGGAATAGCAAATATGACAAATAATTGAACTTATATGAAAAATTATCTCAATAGGCTGAAATCTTGGCTCAAGGTAAAAACATAGAATTCAGTGGGAGTTAGTATAAAATCTTATATTTAGATTCCTTAAAAATCAATGGTATAAATACAAGGTGGGGGAGATTTAATGTCAGAGAGTAGTTCACACAAAAGTTTTAGGGTATATAGATGACTACAACTGCTACGTGAACCAGCAGTGAGATGTAGCTACTAAAAAAATCAGTAAACAGTGACCAAACTATAATATCTCAAAATAATTGTAACACTAGAAGCTAGCATTTATTAAGTACTAAATTTTCACTACATGCTAGGCATTGTGTAAACATGTTAAAAATCATTATCTCCTTTATTCCTGACAACAATCCCATGAGGTAGGTTTTATTATCCTCAACGTGGGAATCAGGAGTAAAGTCAGTTGCCCAAAAGGTAAATCTTGGATCTGAATGTATGTCCAATGTCTTACAAGTAGATCATTCTGTCTTTCATTACTGTCTTCCAGATTGACCTCTCACCTTTTCATCATTCCTGCCAGTTTGTGGGTTCAGACCATCATTTCCCCTCACCTGAGTTATTTCAAGAGCCTCCTACCCTGTCCACCCACTTCTAGTCTCTCCTCTTCATCTGCTCATATTTATTCTGAGCAATGCTGCCAAGTCAGTATGCCTTAAGTGCCATTCTGGTCATGTCATTTTCCTACTCAAAACTAGCCCTGGTCCTCACTGCAAATGTTAAATAGAAACGTTTAACTCAGGCATTCAAGACCCTTCATTTCTAGCTTCATCATATTTTTCCAGCTTTATCTGCTAGTAATGTCTTAGATAAATATATTTTAGTAAAATGGATTATTCTTGGCCAGGCACGGTGGTGCATGCCTGTAATCTCAGCACTTTGGGAGGCTGAGACTGGAGGATCACCTGAGGTCGGGAGTTAGAGACCAGCCTGGCCAACATGGTGAAACTCCATCTTTACTAAAAATACAAAAACTAGCTGGGCCTGGTGGTGTGCACCTGTCATCCCAGCTACTCAGGAGGCTGAGGCAGGAGAATCACTTGAACCCGGGAGGTGGAGGTTGCAGTGAGCCAAGATAGCTCCACTGCACTCCAGCCTGGATGACAAGAGTGAAACTCTGTCTCTAAATAAATAAATAAAATGGATTACTCTCAAACACGTCTGTCTTTCTTATTGTCCACGTTCATGTTTTGTCTATATATATTATCCCTACCATCTCTACTTATTGAAAACTATTTTTGATCCTTCTATTTAGATCTAACTATTTGCATCATTATGCTGCTTTGTATTAATTATGCATGAATCATCTTTTTTGACTTTGCCTATAAGCTCCTTGAAGACAGGGAAAATATTAATCTGTGTGTGTGCATGTATTTGTCCTTAGCATAGTTCCTCACTCACATGCTTAGCAAACATTTATTGAATTGATAGAACAGGTCATGGGCATAAAAACATCTGTTTGATAACCTGTATTTCGGTGTAGGCATATGAGAAAAATTCTAACATGGAATATTTATGATCTGAGAAGAACTTCCCCTGTTGGGTGATTTTTCAAATAATGAATACCTCGCCAGTTTCTTTGAGGATGAAATAAAATACCCCTGTAAACTATATTATTGACTTCACAATATATCGCTAGGATCTTAAGTCAAATTATATTTTTCTTAGGTAATAGTACATCACTCTCACTGATGAGAAGGATATCCTGTATTACAAATACCATGTTTAATTCCTGATAACATATACGAAGGAAGTATATAGTATATGAATATAGGAAATATGTCTGATTACATTATTAATTTTTGAATTCCTAAATATTTATGTGATAAACATTTTTGAATTAATCCTTGTTATTCTTTCTGTATTATTGAGATGGGGCTATTTTGTTTTTTTTTTTCCAGCTTTTATTTTAGGTTCAGTGAGGTACATATGCAGGTTTGTTACATGGGTAAACTGTGTGTCACTGGGATTTGGTGTACAAATGATTTATTCTCCCAGGTAATGAGCATAGTACCCAATATGTAGCTTTTTGATCCTTACTCTCCTCCCGTGCTACACCCGCAAGTAAGCCCCATTGTCTGTAGTTCCCCTCTTTGTGTCCATGTGTGTTTCCATGTGTATTCAGTGTTTAACTCACACTTACGAGTAAGAACAAGTGGTATTTGGTTATCTGTTCCTGTGTTAATTTGCTTAGGATAATGGCCTCCACCTGCATCCATGTTGCTGCAAAGGACACAGTTTTATTCTTTTTTATGGCTGCATAGTATCCCATGGTGTATATGTGCCACGTTTTCTTTATCTAGTCCACCGTTGATGGATATCTAGATTGATTCCATGTCTTTGCTGTTGTGAAAAGTGCTGCAATGAGCATACGTGGATGTGTCTTAATGGTAGAATGATTTGTGTTCCTGTGGTCATACACCCAGTAATGGGATTGCTGGGTCAAATGGTAGTTCTGTTTTAAGTTCATTGAGAAGTCTCCAAACTATTTCTATAGTAGCTGAATTAACTGACATTCCCACAAATAGTGTTTAAGCGATCCCTTTTCTACACAACCTCACCAACATCTGTTTTTTTTTTAACTTTTTAATAATAGTCATTGTGACAGGTGTGAGATTGCATTCAATGGTTTTGATTTGCACTTCTCTAATGATTAGTAATGTTGAGGATTTTTTTCACATACTTATTAACTGCATGTATATCTTCTTTTCATGTCCTTTACCCATTTTTTAATGGGGTTGTTTTTTGCTTGTTGACTTTTTAAGTTCCTTATAGATTCTGGATATTAGACCTTTGTCAGATGCATGGATTGTGAATATTTTCTACCATTCTGTAAGTTGTCTGTTTACTGTGTTTATAGTTTCTTTTTCTGTGCAGAAGGTTTTAAGTCAATTTTTGTTTTTGTTGCAATTGCTCTTGAAGTCTTTATCATGAAATCTTTGCCCAGACCTATGTCCAGAATGGTGTTTTCTAGGTTTCATTCTAAGATTCTTAGAGTTTGAGGTCTTACATCTAAATCTTTAATCTATCTTTTCTTAATTGTTGTGTATGATGAAAGGTAAGGGTCCAGTTTCATTCTGCGTATGGCTAGCCAGGTATCCCAGCACTATTTATTGAATAGCTTGTCCTTTCCCCATTGTTTATTTTTGTGGAAGATTAGATGGTTGTAGTTGTGTGGCTTTATTTCTGAGTTCTCTATTCTGTTCCTTTGTTCTATGTTTCTGTTTTTGTACCAGTACCATGAAGTATTTGTTATTGTAGCTGTATAGTATAGTTGGAAGTTGGGAAATGTGATGCCTCTGGCTTCATTCTTTTAGGATTACTTTGGCTATTCGAGCTTGTTTTTGATTCCATGTGAATTTTAGAATAGTTTTTTTCTAATTGTGTGAAAAATGATATTGGTACTTTAATAAGAATACATTCAATCTGTAGATTGCTTTGGGTAGTGTGGACATTTTATTGATATTGATTCTTCCAGCCCATGAACATGGCATGTTTTTCCATTTCTTTGTATCATCTCTGATTTCTTTGAACAGTGGGTTTTGTAGTTCTCATTGTAGAGATCTTTCACCTCCCTGGTTAGCTGTATTCCTTGGTATTTCGTTTTTTGTGTGTTTATTGTAAATGGGATTGCATTCTTACTGTGGTTCTCAGATTGAATGTTATTGATGTATAGAAATTATAATGATCTTCATATATAGATTTTATGTTCTGAAAATGTGCTGAAGTCATTTATAAGTTTCAACAGCTTTTTGTTGGAGTTTAGGGTTTTCTAGGCATAGAATCGTATCATTAGTGAAGACAGATAGTTTGAATTTTTGTTTTCCATTTGGATGCCTTTTATTTATTCCTCTTGCATGATGGCTCCAGCTAGGACTTTCAGTACTATGTTATATATGAGTGGTGAGAGTAGCCATACTTGTCTTGTTCTAGTCCTTAAGGAAAATGCTTCTAGTTTTTGCCCATTTATTATAATGTTGGCTGTGAGTTTGTCATAGATGGCTTTTATTATTTTGAGTTGTGTTTCTTTGATGCCTAATTTGTTGAAGGTTTTTATCATGAAGGGATGTTGGATTTTATTGAAGGTATCTTTATTGCATCTATTGAGATGATCATATTGATTTTGCTTTTAAATCTGCTTATGTGGTAAATCCCATTTATTGGTTTGTATATGTTTAATCAACCCTGTATCCCAGGGAGAAAGCCTCCTTCATCGTCGTAAGTTTTTGATGCACTACTGCTTTTAGTTTGTTTGCTGAGGATATTTGCTTCTCTGTTCATCAGGTATATTGGCCTGTAGTTTTCTTTTGTGTGTGTGTGTGTGTGTCTTTGCCAGGTTTTGATATTAGGATGATGGCGGCTTCATGAGTTAGGGAGGAGTTCATTCTCCTCAATTTTTTGGAATAGTTTCAGCAGAATTAATACCAGCTCTTCTTTGTATGTCTGGTAGAATTCAGCTGTAAATCCTTCTGGTCCAGGGTTTTTTTTTTTTTTTTTTGGTTGTTAGGCTTTTTATTACTGATTCCATTTCGGAATTCATTATTGGTCTATTCAGGGTTTCAATGTCTTCCTGATTTAACCCTGGGATATGGTGTATTTCCAGGAATTTATCTACTTCCTCTAGATTTTCTAGTTTGTATATATATGGTGTTCATCATAGTCTCTGAGGGTTTTTTTTGTATTTCGGTGGGATTGGTTTTAATGTCACCTTTGCCATTTCTGATTGTGCTTATTTGGATATTGTCTCTTCTTTCTTTGTTAATGTAGCTGCCAGCCTATTGATCTTATTTATCCTTTCATGCCAACTTTTGGTTTTATAGATTTTTTTGTATGAATTTTTGGGTCTTAATTTCATTCACTTCTGCACTGATTTTATTTTATTTTATTTATTTCTTTTCTTCTGATTTGTTCTTGTTTTTCTAGTTCCTCTGGGTGTGATGTTAGATTATTAATTTGAGATCTTTAAAAATTTTTTGAGGTAGGCATTTAGCACTATAGACTTTCCTCTTAACATTGCTTCTGCTGCATCTCAGAGATTTTGGTATGTTACGTCTGTTTTAGTTTATTTCAAAGATTTTTTTGATATCTGCCTTAATTTCATTGCGTACCCAAAACTCATTCAGTAGCAAGTTGTTTAGTTTTCATGAAATTGAAAAGATTTGAGGGATGGTTTTGAGATATGTTTATGGCATTGATTTCTATTTTTATTCCACTGTGGTCCAAAAATATGGTTGGTATGGTTTTGATTTTTTTGAATTTATTGAGACTCGCTTTATGGCTGAGCATGTCATCAATCTTTGAGTATGTTCCCTGTGCAGGTGATAAGAATGTATATTTGGTGGTTGATGACATCCTGTTTTTTTCTAATTGTTAATGATTCTTGCACATTTTTATGGACTTCACTGATGCACAGTATTTCATTGTGCATGTGCTTAAAATGTGTTTGATGTTAAAATATGCATCTATATTATGAGCATTCTATTAAGGGCAGTAAACTTCCTTTCTAAAATATTTTAATTTTTATGTTTTGAACTTTATGACATTTGTGAGGTTACCATTTTTATATACTCTTCAGATATATTATTGGCCAGTTTTTGTTTTGATACTTTTGTTCTTTCTAATCTCTTTATAATCTCTAACTTGAATTAAACTTTCTAGTAGAAGAACTCAGCTGTTAGAATTTTCCTGAGAATCTGTACTTTACACTTATGAGCTAATTGTAATGTTTTCCTGAAAATGTAGTAATAATTCACCTTTCTTTTAACCTCACATTCTGGATAATGATGAAGTTAACTTTTAGTCACTTTTCACATTTACCTTGTTCATTTGTCATAGTGTACCTAATTTGTAATTCTATTTCAAGGTTTACATTTGGGAGTTCTTGGCTCTCTTTTTGAGTGAAGACCTTGGACAGCTTGCCAGTATTTAAAAAAATCCATTTTGCTGCCTAATGCCAAAGGAAATCAGGCGAGAGCCTGAGCTTAAAGAGACATGGCAGTTGCAATAATCACTTAACTCTGTGTCCGAGGAAATGCTTTTCACCTTGAAGAGCAAATTAATTCTGATGGAATAGTAGACTAGTAACCCAGAAAAAATTGCTGAAATTGCTCATGCTTCAACATATTTTATCAGGAGACCATTTGGGCCACAACTAAAGAATATTGGAATTCATTCAGCCTCTAACAGCTGAAGAATTGGGATTCTCTATGATAGAATCAGAATCAATAATCGTAAGTAAAAGATACAGTGTGGCCTGCTTCAATCTCAGGCTTAGATTTTTAAAACTGATGTTATTTTCACATGGCTTTGCCAGAATTCTTGCATCTGCCATCTATGCTTTTTAAAGCTGAAAAGTTGTGTTTGTTTACAGTTTCCTAACAGTTCCATTTAGGTGATAGCTGCCAGTCTGTGCTATCAAATCATTAATAATGAGAAGCAAAGTCTTAATTTGGAGAAAGAATGCTTAGTCAAGGGAATAAATCCGACAGGAAATAAAGACTTTAAAATGAACAAAGAAAATGAACTAGTGAGAAGCGGGATCATTAAAGTGAAAATTGCCTGCCCTCAGAATAAATGAGACAAAAATTGACATGTTATATCTTTTCCTATAATCTATTCTTTGTTACTGAAATAAATCCATTCCAGCTTTGAAAGATTTCCTTTTGCCCTTGAATCTCTAATCCTAGTTTTACCTAGCCTGGTGCCCCTTTCTCAAACATTAAAGTGTTTTTACTGTCATAGTAATTATCATCCTCACTAACTTACATTAAAGAGTCCTTGCATTAAAGAATTACACTAATTTCTTCAATAACATATTTTTGTATTGTATGTGACATTATAGGGTAGAGAACAGGAATTTGAGTTCAAAAGACTTGTGTTTGAATTCCAGTTCTACTCCATAGGTAGATATTTCACTGATCTTTAGATTTCTCATCTGAAAAATGGTAACAATAGTAATAGTAATAGTATCTTGCAGGTATTATTTCCCTGGTAAATATTTCCCTGATGTTTAGATTTTTTTAATATGAAAAATGGTAGCAATAAGAATAATAGTACCTTGCAGGATTGTTGTGAGGATAGAGGTGATAAGTATGGAGTACCTAACACAGTGCTCACCACAGATTACACACTAAACGAATGGTAGCCTGTCATTTCTATTTTATTTGTTGAATCATTTATATGTATTTTTCTCTGTATCACTGAAAGGTTACCCCATAATTATAGCTAACCTTCCCATTTTGTCTTAGTCTCTCACTGTTTCCTATTGAAGTATACTTTGTGTAAAAAGTATTTAGCAGTGTGTTGGACACACAGAAGGTGTCAAACCAATGTTTTTGTTCCTTTCTTTGCAATCAGTCTCTCTTAATTCTAACCCACACCTATATTATACTGCCAGATGAGACTTTCTGAAATGGAGTTTGTATTTCATGACTTCACGGTCAAAAATCAATGAGAGCCTTACTTTTTTTACGTCTATTTTAAGTTCAGGGTTACATGTGCAGGTTTGTTACATAGATAAACTTGTGCCATGGGGGTTTGTTGTATAGATTATTTCATAACTCAGCTATTAGTCTAGTACCCATTGGTTGTTTTTCCCAATACTCTCCCTTCTCCCACCCACAACCCTTCAGTAGACCCCAGTGTGTGCTGTTCTCTATTTGTCTGTGTGTTCTCATCACTTAGCTCCCACTTACAAGTGAGAATATGTGGTATTTGGTTTTCTGTTCCTGCATTAGCTTGCTAAAGATAATGGCCTCAGATTCATCCATGTTCCTGGAAAGGGCATGATCTCATTCTTTTTTATGGTGGCATAGTATTCCAGTATATATATATGCACCACATATTCTTTATTCAGTCCATCACTGATAGGCATTTAGGTTGATTCCATCTCTTTGCTATTGTGAATAGTGCTGTAATGAACATATGTGTGCATTCGTCTTTATAATAGAATGATTTTTATTCCATTGGGTATATACCCAGTAATGGGATTGCTGTGTTGAATGGTATTTCTGTCTTTAGATCTTTGAGGAATCACCGTACTGTCTTCTATAATGGTTGAACTAATTTACACTCCCACCAACAGTGTATAAACATTGCTTTTTTTTCCATAACCTTGCCAGCGTCTGTTATGTTTTTTACATTTTAATAGCCATTTGGGTGAGATGGCATCTCATTGTGGTTTTGGTTTGTGTTTCTCTAATGATCAGTGATGTTGCACATTTTTTTCATATGCTTGTTGGCTGCATGTATGTCTTCTTTTGAAGTGCCTGTTAATGTTCTTTGCCCACTTTTTTATGTGGTCGTTTTTTTCTTGTAAATTTGTTTAAGTTCCTTAAAGATGCTGGCTATTAGACCTTTGTTGGATGCATAGTTTCCAAAAATTTTCTCCCAATATGTAGGTTTTCTGTTTACTCTGTTGATAGTTTCTTTGGCTGTGCAGAAGTCTTTAGTTTAATTAGATCCCATTTGTCAATTTTTGCTTTTGTTGTAGTTGCTTTTGGCATCTTTGTCATGAAATCTTTGCCCATTCCTGTGTCCTGAATGGTATTACTTAGGTTGTCTTCCAGGATTTTTTTTATAGTTTTGGGTATTACATTTAAGTCTTTAATCCATCTTGAGTTAATTTTTGTATATGGTATGAGGAAGGGGTACAGTTTCAGTTTTCTGCATATTGCTAGCCAGTTATTCAAGCACCATTTATTGAATAGGGAATCCTTTCCCCATTGCTTGTTTTTTGTCAGGTTTGTCAAAGATCACATAGTTGTAGGTGTGTGGTCTTATTTCTGGTGTGTGGTCTTATTTCTGAATTCTCTATACTGTTCCATTGGTCTGTGTATCTGTTTCTGTACCAGTACTATGCTGTTTTGGTTGCTGTAGCCCCATAGTATAGTTTGAAATTGGGTAGCATGATGCCTCCAGCTTTGTTCTTTTTGCTTAGAATTGCCTTGGATATTTTGGTTCTTTTTTGGTTCCATATTCATTTTAAAGTAGTTTTTTTCTAGTTCTTGAAGAGTCTCAATGTTAGTTTAATAGGAATAGTATTGAATCTAAATTGATTTGGGCAGTGTGACCATTTTCACGATATTGATTCTTCCTATCCATTAGCATGGAATTTATTTTTGTTTGTGTCATCTCTGATTTCTTTGTGCAGTGTTTTGTAGTTCTTGTAGAAATCTTTTACCTCCCTAGTTAGCTGTATTCCTAGGAATTTTATTCTTTTTGTGGCTATTGTGAATGGGAGTATGTTCCTGATTTGACTCTCCACTTGCCTGTTGTAGGAATGCTAGTTATTTTTGCACATTGGTTTTGTATCTTGAGACTTTGCTGAAGTTGTTTATCAGCTTAAGAAGCTTTTGGGCTAAGACTATGTGGTTTTCTAGATATGGATCATGTCATCTGCAAACAGGGATGGTTTTACTTCCTCTCTTCCTATTCAAATGCTCTTTATTTCCTTCTCTTGCCTGGTTGCCCTGGCCAGGACTTTCAGTACTATGTTGAATAGAAGTGGTGAGAGAGGGCTTCCTTGTCTTGTTCCAGTTTTCAGTGGGAACACCCCCAGCTTTTGCTCGTTCAGTATGATGTTGGCTGTGGGTTTGTCATATATGGCTCTTATTATTTTGAGGTATGTCCTCAAAATAAGGACATTATAAGGTATGTCCTTATTATTTTGAGGTATGATCCCTTTACCATTATGTAATGCCCTTCTTTGATCTTTGTTGGTTTAAAGTCTGTTTATTGAGAGTTTTTAACATGAATGGATGTTGAATTTTATCAAAAGCCTTTTCTGCATCTATTGTGATAATTATGTGATTTTTGTCTTTAGTTCTGTTAATGTGATGAATCACATTTATTGACTTGTGTATGTTGAACCAGCCTTGGATCTCAGGGATAGAGCCTGCTTGATTATGGTGGATAGGGTTTTTCATTTGCTGCCAGATTCAGCTTGTCAGTTTTTTTTTTTTTTTTTTTGAGGATTTTTGCATCCATTTTCCTGAAGGATATTGGTGTGAATTTTTCTTTTTTTGTGGTATCTTTGCCAGGTTTTGGTATCAGGATGATGTTGGCCTCATAGAATGAGTTAGGGAGGAGTCCCTCCTTTTCAATTTTTTGGAATAGTTTCAGTAGGAATGGTACTGGTTCTTCTTTGTACATCTGGTAGAATTTAGTCGTGAATCTTTCTGGTCCTGGGCTTTTTCTGGTTGGTAGGCTGTTTATTATTGCTTCAATTTCAGAGGTTTGGTTTGCTCAGAGAATCAATTTCTTCCTGGTTCAGTCTTGGGAGGGTATATGTGTCCAGGAATTTATTCATTTCTTCTAGATTTTCTAGTTTATGTGCATAGAGGTGTTCATAATATTCTTTGATGGTTGTTTGCATTTCTATGGGGTCGGGGTAATATCCCCATTGTTATTTCTGATTGTGTTTATTTGAATCTTCCCTCTTTTCTTCTTTATTAGCTTAGCTATTTGTTCTATGTTATTAATTTTTTTTTTTAAAAAGCAGCTCCTGGATTTGTTAATCTTTTGGATTTTTTTTGTCGTGTCTCAATCTCCTTAAATTCAGCTCTGATTTTGGTTATGTTTTGTACTCTACTAGCTTTGGGATTTGTTTGCTCTTGGTTGTATAGTTCTTTTAGTTGTGATGTTAGGTTGTTAACTTGAGCTCTTTCTAACTTTTTGACGTGGGCATTTAGTGCTATAAATTTCCTTCTTAACAGTGCCTGAGCTGTGTCCCAGAGATTCTGGTATGTTGTATCTTTGTTCTCATTAATTCCAAATAACTTATTGATTGCTGCCTTAATTTCATTATTTACACAAAAGTCATTCAGGAGCAGGTTATTCAGTTTGCATGTAGTTGTATGGCTTTGAGTGAATTTCTTAGTCTTGATTTCCAATTTAATTGCACTGTGGTCTGAGAGACTGTTTGTTATGATTTTCAGTTCTTTTGCATTTGCCAAGGTGTGTTTTACTTTAAATTATGTGATCAATTTTAGAGTATGTGCCATGTGGCAATGAGAAGAATGTATATTCTGGGGGAGAGTTCTGTAAATATCTGCTGGGTTCATGTGATCCATTGCTGAGTTCAGGTCCTGAATACCTTTGTTAATTTACTGTCTCAGTGATCTTTCTCATATTGTCAGTGGAGTATTAAAGTTTCCCACTGTTATTCTCTGGAAGTCTAAGTCTTTTTGAAAGTCTCTAAGAACTTGATTTAAGAATCTGCTTCCTCCTGTGTTGGGTGCATATATATTTAGGATAGTTAGATCTTCTTAATTGAACCCTTTATGATTATGTAATGCCCTCTTTTGTCTTTTTTGATCTTTGTTAGTTTAAAGTCTGTTTTGTCTGAAATAAGAATAGCAACCCTTGCTTTTTTTGGTTTGTTTTCCATTAGCATGGTAGATTTTTCTCTGTCCCTTTATTTTGAGCCTATGTGTGTCATTACATGTGAGATGAGTCTCTTGCAAACAGCATACCAATGGATCTTGGTTCTTTATCTAGCTTGCCACTTTGTGTCTTTTATTTTATTTTATTTTATTTTTGAGATGGAGTTTTGCTCTTGTTGCCCAGGCTGGAGTGCAATGGTGTGATCTTGGCTCACTGTAACCTCTGCCTCCTGGGTTCAATCAATTCTCCTGCCTCAACCTCCTGAGTTGCTGGGATTACAGGTGCCCAGCACCATGCCCGGCTGATTTTTTGTATTTTTAGAAGAGATGGGGTTTCACTATGTTGGCCAGGTTGATCTCGAACTCCTGACCTCAGGTGATCCACCCACCTTGGCCTCCCAAAGTGCTAGTATTACAGGTGTGAGCCACCGTGCCCACCCTACTTTGTGTCTTTTAATTGTGGTATTTAGCTTATTTACATTTAAGGCTGGTATTGATATGTGTAGATTTGACTCTGTCCTCATAGGCAAAAGAGAAATAAGATCCTTTTCAGACAAGCAAATGCTGAGGGAGTTTGTTACCACCAGACCTGCCTTACAAGAGCTTCTGAAGGAAGCACTAAATATGAAAAGGAAAGACTGTTACCAGCCACTACAAAAACACATTGAAGTATACAGAGCAGTGATACAATATTGAGCCTTATTTTAACTAAATTATCGTGGCCCCTTCCTCTTCTTGGAGTTCAAGAATGTCAAGATCTTCCGATTCTGTTACTACCCCTCCTTATCCAATGATATTTCTTTCTGTTCTCCTTCCTGCCACCAGTATAGCTTATTCCTTTGTTATTTGTCTAAAAATATCATAGGCATTTCTTGCATGGTGTGTTTGCTCATTGTTTCATTCTCTCATCTTTGCTGTTTGTTTAAATCTTGTTCATCTTATGAGGTGTAGTTCAAGTCTTTCTTTATATAGAAACCTCCTTACTTACTCCAGCTCAGACTTTTTCTTTTTCTTTGAACAGATGGAGACTCTCAGAAGAGAAATGAGATCTATTAAAAACATTAATTGGAAATTCCAGAATTTAAAAGTACAGTATCTCATAATAAAAAACACCTGAACTTCAACTGAATTTATAATCTTTATACTATATAATCATGCAGTTTAACAATGAATCAGTCATTGTTTCAAAGTATATTATTTATGAAAGGAGGTTGAATGACATTGTTCCTTTGCCTCAGGGTATGACTATGACTAAGTACAAAGGGAAGTTAATTTGACATATTTTACCTCTTACATTATTGTATTTAATGGCAATGAAATATAAAAGCTAAGCAATTCACATAGTGTCCTACAAATAGTAACTACTCAATAAACATTTTTATATGGATGAAAAAATGAATTCTAGTCATATTTTTAGCAGCATTCCAATAGTAATGTGTTTTCAGAAACTATCAGAATTATAAGTTGTATATATAAGGGTATATTGTGAAGGGGTACTGCAATAATAAAATATTATTACTTACCAATAAATAGTATCAATATCCTACAAAACATAAAAATATAAACATAAAATACACATTATGATATTTTGTATATTTAAAAAATCTTATTGCGTAATGAGAAAACTAAAATGATAGTCTCTTATTTTAAAGCTAATCCATTTTTCTTCATTGCTTTAGTTCATCCACTCAGTAAACATTCGTTATACCTATATTACGTACTAGCTACTGTTTTATGGCAGACAAAAAAAACGACTGAGGCATTTCCATGTTTTATGGAGCTTGGAGTTTGGCAGGTAAAACAGATATATTACCAAATAATTGAAATACAGGGTGGTAAAGTGTATTACCAAGCAAGCAGTCCAGTAAATGATAGTATAAGGTGTTGTAGAAAGTTAGGAAGAACAGTATATCTGAGAGTCTGGGATGTTGCCTGACAGATAGTAGCTCTCTTATAAAAGTGTGTTAAAAAAAGAAATAGCTATATTTTAATCAGTGAAAATGAAAAGTGATTCTGTCCTGTTTGAATATGAGGTGAAAGGCACAGGAAAAAGTGTGATAATAACAATCATCTGATTATGGAATAGGGAAAATGAAGGCATGTCATGAACTTGCTCCTATTTAGGGCTGTGTTGTCATCTCTCATCATTTTCCCCATTATTTATAATTCTATAAATTTACCAAACTCTCTTTCACCAGTCTTTCAGCATGTATAACTATACCTGAGTTCTCACACTCTCCTCTGCCCCAAACCAATTTCATTATTTTTACTTTTCCTCCTCCATCAAAACATTACTTCTAATCTTAGCTCATTTTTGAACCTTCATTCCAATTTGTATTAGGCTTTCTCCCAGTGCCTTTTATAATATAGAGTCCCAATGTCCTGTAATAGTACTTATGGTGGTTGTAATTGTAGTAAGTAGTTATAAATTCTGATTGTTTCTTGTTCTTGAATATATTAGACTGTGAACCCCTTGAGGGCATTATCTATATATTTCATCTTTGTGATATCACAGAATCCTGGTATGGGGCCTGCCACATAATACCAATATGCAATTTTTGAATCAATGAACAAAAGAAGAATGAATGGGTGGGTGGATGGGTAGATGTTAGAAAAGTGAACACAGTTTGACTGGAAATTGAGAAAAATTTTTAGTTCAGTCTTGCCTGGGGTAGTTCTTTTTTGTTTTCATCTGTTTCTTCAGAAGGACTGCACATTCATTCTTACTGAATAAGAGCTATGCTGGCGGGACCATTCTTCTTTTAAATATTTTAATGTTATTTTATGGTAGTTTTCTTGAAGCATTTTGTTACTTTCGAGATGCTTTATAGGAATATGGCAAAACTGATGTATCATACTGATTTTTATTTATTTTTTGTTTATTTTAATAAGAGGTTACATTATCCTGATTTCAAAAAAGAATTACAATTAAATCTTTTGGCCAATTAAATCTTTTTAAAGAAAGATCTAATTGATTACTAAAGCCATGAATAAGTTTAATTATGTTAATTAAATGTTAAAGAAAGTTTAGAATCTGGGATTAAGCAAAGAAATAAATTTCAAAAAATAGTTTTACTGAAGATGTAGACTACTTATGAATATTAAAATATTTTATAATTTGAAGTTAATGCATTTGTACTGAGTTCTAGGGATATTAAAAACTTAAAATTAGTGGAAAAATAAAATGAATCATGAATATCAATGATCACATATTAGTGATATAATCATAAGCTATATTAGTTAAGGTAATACTAGCTATTTTAAAAAATAAAAATTATATAATGAATCAAATATAATGGAAGTTTATTTCTTAACAATTTAAAGTCTAAAACAGGTATTCTGGATCAGCAGGTGGCTCTCCTCAAAGGGGGAGTTCAGATTTCTCCCATCTATTGACTCTGCCCTTTTGAGCACAACCTTTCAAGGTCACTTGGCTTATCTGTCAAAAGGTGGTATGGGTAAAGATGATGGAAGATACAGGTGAGGTAGGAGGTTAAAGGGGATGGGCCTGGAAACAGTAGACATCATTTCCACTTATCTTCCACTGACTAGTACTCAGTCATACAATCACATGGCTGTCCCAAACTGCAAGACTAGGAAATATGGTTTAGCTAAGTGCCCAAGAAGTAGAGAAAACAGGTTTGTTAAAAAGCTAAGTAGAATTGGCTATACAATATCTTTTATAATTTAAATAATTTTTCTCCATATACATGTTGATTTTTGTAGTTCTCATTTATACAAGCTTTTCCTATAGTTATAGGTAGTAGTATAAACATGAATTTATTAATTAAAATCTTCCTAGGTAAAATTGTGAAATATGTTTATATAGCAACAATTAGACCTTTATGCAATGCAATTTCAAGTTTTACTTTTTTCCTAGGAATATTATAGTGACCTCTAAGCATTTGCTTATTATATATATAGCGGGTCTTTTACTTCTGTTTAGAGTGGTTATCTTGAACACTTACACATAATTTTTGATGCATTCACTCACATAAAAAGTTATAAATTATAAGTGCCTCACTCACAAATTTACATATTTAAAGAAATAAAATCAGTAATTCTAATATGCTTGAGAGAGAATTTGAGATCTTGTTCTTTTTGTGATTACAAAATTCAACTGTGAGATAGAATGTTATTGATTATTTGTACTGTCTGGTGGACAAGTCAGCAATTACTTTTAAGAATCCTAGCTAAAACTTGGATTATACAACTATATATCTGGTTGTACTATTTTTCGTTTTTTTCTTTATCTTTTCTGACAGTGAACTATATTTGCTTTCATTTGATTTGCTTTAGAATTCCTTTTATTTTGTGTACTGGATTTTCCCTCAAAGTAATATTTTTCATATGCCAGAATCTTTAAACCCTGAGACACTCTTTCTGAAGCACTAGCTTCTGATGGTCACCAATATAGCCCTGGACCTTCTTTTGTTTATATTGACTCCCTTAAGGAAAATTAGATTTTATTCCTTTGAAATGGCCTTGTGTTCAGACTTTAGGTCCGGTGATAAAACCTTGTTTACTTCCATCAAAGAGGTAACACCCATATATCCATATTTAGAATATACCAGTTCAGTGTTGAAAATGGGAAGAGAAAATTTCTGCCATATCTTATTTTCTGATTTTCCATGTATCTCTTCAAAACCAATTCAAACTGATTTATGCAGAAAAGGAATGTGTTAGCGCATATAAATGAAAAATCTAGGCTTTTATGGATCCTAGTACTCAAACAATGTAATCTGGAATCTGCCTTTCCCCATTGGTCAGCTGGATTTTCCTCTACACTGGTTTTGTTCTCAGGCCAGCTTTTCCCATATGGTGGCAAGGGATATAAGTAGCCCAAGGTTCATTGTGTTCTTTGCTTAATAATCCTGGCCAAAAGCGCTTCTTTCCCCAAATTCAAGCAAGATTTCTAAGTTTGATCACATTTTGACTGCTGAGCCAATCTCAGTTGTCAAAGAGATGGATGTATTGATTAATTAGCCCCGGATTATGTATCCAGGTCAAAGCTTATAGGAGGTAGGGGTAGGGCCAGCCCTACTTGAACAGAAATGTTCAGTTACATCTCAGTGGTTCTTTTCAAGCTATAGCCAGCAGCCTTGAAATGGGCTTGTGTCCCACAGGGTCAGTACAAATCAGCTTTGAGTAACGAATATTTTGCTGATGGAGGGAGCTTAGAAAACTATAGTGTCTATATCAGATGATTGAGGGTGGTTGCAGCCTAGGCTTTTACAAATATTTTACTCCCAGGATTTGTTAATTCAGTAGGACAGAATATTTAAGTAATGTAACTAGGAAACATTAGGTTACTACATCACAGTATTACCTGAATTTTGGCTATGCTGGTATTCCATATTTTATGAATAGCTATAATCCTTAAAATATCTGTCCAGATATCACCTTGTCAATAAAGTCTTCTCTGTTTTCCTTCTTAGTGTTCTCTATTTCCATTACCCTGTTTTATCTTTCTTCAGAGAACTTACCACGATTCAACGTATTATATATTTGCTTGTTTATTTTCTATCTCCTTCCACTAGAATGTAAACTTGAGAGCAGCAGCTTTATCTACTTAGTTTATTGCTGTATTACTGGTGTCTAGAAAAATTCTGGCATAAGTATATACTCAGTATTATTTGTTAAATGAATGAAAATTGAAAAATTAGTTTGATAAGAAACAAAATAATGTTTTCTATTTTTTTATGCTGCAAAATTGGAAAGATATTCCATGAGGAATATTTTTCTGAAAATCTAAAAAAAAAAATCTCTTCAGATAGTTCTCAAGCCAATTTTAGGCAGATTTACTTGAAGTATGTTTTTGTAAATATCAATAATATTCAAAGTAACTAATAATAAAATATTCTATTTCAAATCCATTTTAAGGAAATAAAATCAGTTGGGTGTTCACTTTAGGCTGTTTTTACTTTCATCTGGCCACAAACATTATCTTGGTGTTCATGGTAGATATTAATAGACTTCTGGGAAGGGTCAGGGTTGCAATTTGTGGCACCCAAATAAATGAAGTTTTCTATTCCATATGGATATTTAAACTTAACCCAGTACCATGATACTTTCTCTAACAAGATGAGCTAGCTAGTCGCAATCATAATAACTGCATTATCAGCCTTTAAGAGCTGTAGAAAATAGAATTAAGTCTCTACCTTTAAGAATAGAAAGTGAACACATGAGGCCAAAAGTGCTTCAATATAGAAGGAAAAAGAAATTTGCATTCATACATTATTCTTCTTCTCCTGACTTTCAGATTTTAGGTGTACTCATGTGTTTCTTTTGGATGGATTCTTTAGGAGTTTAGATGTTGTTTTTTGGCAAGGATTATGAGAAAATGGTTCATTTTTCACATGTGTTTAATAAGAGAGATTTGAGATAGCAATCCAATTTTGAAAGGTAGGGCTTAGTTAAGTGTAGGAGAGAAAGGAGAGCATTCTAGGCGTGAGAAATTTCCAACCAACATCACGTAAGTGGGACTGCATGTTTTATTTGGAGCAATTTGACTGGATTGGATGACTGATGTATAGGAGAAGAGAGAGAAGAGGTTATAGAGACAGGGATCCAACAAGAATTTTAAATAATTGGATAAATAGTATGAAAGATATTTTATAGGCAATGGGGATCCATTAAAGATTTTTTAACAGGAAGTGAAGTGTGAAATATAGTTTGAGCAGAGGGAGAGGAAGAGACAGTTTGTGTAGAAATCAGTTAGGAAACAGTTGCATTTCTCTGGGAAAAAGGGCTGAGATGAGGATTGGGGTGGTCAGGAAGGAAACTTATGAAGGCTGAATTTACAAGACTTGGTGGCTATAGGTTGCAGGAGAGAGGGAGAAGAGAGGAAACCAGGGATCACTCTCTTCTGCAACTCAGAAAACAAGAAGGGAAACTGGCTGTGTTAGAAAGAGGATAAGTTTAGTTTCAAACATGTTAACCTTGAGGTGACTGCAAAATTCCAAGGTGGTGATGCCTAGCAGGGGGAGGTTTGAAAAAGGAGCTTGGGAAAGCTTTTAGGGCAAGAGATTTGATTGTGGAATTATAAACACAAAGGTATAAGCTTGATATATTGAAGGAGGAGAAAGGGGTTCAGACCTGAGCCTTTGAAGGGTCCCATTTTTGGGAGTGTGAAGAATATAGGGAATATGGGGTATATGAAAGAAATTAGAATAGATTATATAGCATGACTCCCAGGGATTTGTAGTTCCAGTTCCATGACACTGAATTTAGTAATTTATAGGGACTAGGCTTTATCAGACTAGAGAGAGTCTGAGGGTGAGGATTAAGGATTTAAAAAACTGCTTGAATGTGTTATGTATAGTACTCTTGCAGTCATGTTACATGTTATACAACTTGAAGTTAGAAAAAAATACACCTGTCTCAGATGCAGGCTGGATTGCTTCTGTATGTAAGACTATGCCCAGATGGGACAATACTGCCTCCTGAGGTCTGAACTGATGTGACTTTCCAATACAGTCATTTACAGCCATCCATCCCTTAGTGAGAATTTTGGGATCTAGAAGTTTATACCTCTCTCTGTCCTAGTTAATGTTACTTACTCTGTCATATTTTTTGTTGCACTGATATACTTTTGTTAATATTTGTACTTATGTCATTACAATGATTGTATAGAAGCAAGGGAATGAAGAGGTAGAAAAAATTCAGGGTAATGTAACATAACAGGAACTAAATGAGAATATTTGAGGGAAAATGACTGACTGCTGAGGCCACAAGCAATGAAAACTGCAAAAGAGTTGACATTAGGAAGTAATTGATGACATTGGTAAATGGAATTTTAATTTGAATTGGTTGATAGCCAGATTGCTAATACATGAGCATTTCATTTTTGAGTACTAAACACTTGGATAGGGACTAGAGAAAATATTTGTTACACTGAATTATTTCCTTAATTGTATCTGTGTTATTATTGATGGCACAATGAAGCCACCTAACAGTGTGTGGAAATAGCTTCTTATTCAGAAACCTTGGGGAAATAAAATTCATTCATTTGTTCATTGATATCATGATTTCATAGAATAAGCTGAGAGTTACACGGCCCTGGTTTAAACCCTAGTGTTGCTGCTCACCAGTTATGTAAACTTGGACACAAATTACTTACATAACTGAGTCTTTTTGTTATTACTGGTAGAGTGGGAATAATCAGGCTTATCTAAGAGCATATTTTTCCAACCGTATATGGCTCATGAACTCCTATTAATGTGGTTCTTTCTGTTTTTTTGAACACCATTAAATATTTAGAAAATCATTGTCTTTTATTTATGGAATGTATTTTAAAAATAAGAAAATATATATTTTAGATCAGTAGTTAAATATTGTATCATAAAATATAATTGAAGTATAATTATTAATATGAAAGGTGAATTTATATTTTCTTATATGACAAATGAAACATGGCATTTAATTTAAATCAATTAGATTTTTAAAAATAATAAAATGACAGGTTATATTTTTTGTTTTCTTAATTAAATTGTAAATTGTAATTTTACTGTTTGTTTATAGCATCAAGATACTTTCACAATCTGATGCTTACAATTTGTGCTTACAAAATAAACCATTAAAAATGATTTTAGTGCTTTTTCCCAAGTGATAAGATAGAAAATTGAGGCTGCTGTTTGTAGTTGTTTGCAAATTGCAAGCATGGAGACCCTGAATTTTCAATAAATGAGAAGCCACATGAATAAAACCACCATATTTTGCTCTTCTTAATGTTGTTTTTTGAAGTGCTTAGAGATATTTTTATATACTATTAAGGACTTCCGAGTAGATAGGATACTGTAAGCTGAAATCTGATGAAGATGAGCTTGAGACAAATTTGCCCAATGTTTACTGTTCTTATGCTTCTCATTAGTTTGTTATGTTGCAACATCAATGTTTCTTAACATCACTGTTACTTCTGTCTTTAATCATTGGTTCTTTATGCATGTGCACTTATGCACAATTACAGTGATCAGTTATGTTATGTTTCCTTATTCTCTTTGTTTATTGAATTAGATATTAGAATAGCTATTTATACTTTGAAGGTTTTTAAAACAAATTTAAGACTTTGAACATCCTGAGTCTTTTCATCAGGATCCCCTTAATAAGCATTTGTGTTTTTTTCGTTAGGATGGCTTCTTGGGCTCCTAAAGATACTACTGATTTTTTTTTTTTTTTTTTTTTTTTTTGAGACAGAGTCTCACTCTGTCACCTAGGCTGGAGTGCAGTGGCGCAATCTTGGCTCACTGCAACCTCCATCTCCCGGGTTCAAGCAATTCTCCTGCCTCAGCCTCCTGAGTAGCTGGGATTACAGGCATGTGCCACCACGCCCAGCTAATTTTTGTATTTTTAATAGAGACAGGGTTTCACCATGTTAGTCAGGCTAGTCTCAAACTTCTGACCTCAGGTGATCTGCCTGCCTCAGCCTCCCAAAGTGCTGGGATTACAGGCATGAGCCACCGCACCTGGCCTGAAGTATCTTTTTAAGTTACTGTTTTGTTTGTAACGCCTTTTCCATTTGCAGGTTTCTAATCCTTCAAAGATAGAACATTTATTCAGGCTGCTAAGGCAGTTGTATAGCTTTAATTTTAGTACTGAAGAAAGAGGAACTAAGCAGAGTAAAAAAAGAATGCCTGTAGCTGTAGTGTTATATTTGCTTGATTTCAGGATTTCCTTCAGAAGTTAATCTGAATGCAGAGGAAGAGGTGGACATAGGGACTTAAGGACAGTGTGAAGAATGCTTCAGAGCATCTGTTCTTTCTTGGGGTTTACAGTTGTAAGTGAAACTTTTAATGATGGTCTTGTACTTTAAATAAGAAACTTCTGTTGATCCAGTTCAGGGAATTTGTGCCTCACCAAATTCTATACTATTTAGTGTATATTGAAAAATATTACATTGACTTATCATGTGATTGACTCTCAAAAAGGAGAAATTAATCTATTAGTATGAATTTTTTAAGTAAGAATTAATTCACTTGAAACCTTTCCCCTTCATTTCTCCCTCTTTTGTTATTCCCAATATCTCATTTAATCTGTATGTTCCAGATATAGTCATCTTTCAGTATCTGCAGGGGGTTGGTTGCAGGAACCCAAAGGATACTGAAATCCATGGATGCTCAAGTTCCTTAGTTGACCCTTCTTGTCTGCAGACGTGGAACCCATGGATAAAGAGTGCCAGCTGTATTTTAATATCTTTCTGGTATCACCATTGGCTTTAGGCATTAATTTTTCTCATTAGGATTGTTAGAATCAACACAATTAAAGCCGAGAAAGTTATCAAGATGTATGAAGCTTTTTTCAAAACCCATTATTTAAAGATGCATCAGAACTTTAGACCTGTAAGACATAGTTCAATATGGAGAACTTTAGTTGAAATTAACACTACTCCATTTTCTAAGGCTGTTGTCTTGGGAAATTTCCACAGAATACATCTGTTAGAGACGAGCTTAGTTATTGTAGTGTTATTACTTTAGTTCATAATTTTTTATGGTTGGTGACAAATATTTCACCTGCTCTCACAGTCCCACAGGAATAGAAAACCGCAGAATAAAGTTACATATAACTTGAAAATTATTCAGCATAAAGGTACCTCTCCAGCCACATACAGATTCCTATTTGTACTGGAATAAGATTTGCTTTATTAATCCTCTCTTCCTCTCTATCCTTAAAAGATTAACGTTATGTTGTAGATTTCATTCTGAGAGAAAAGATGACTTGCCATTCCAAAATGTGGTTTTAGAAATAGACTTAGTTTTAGAAGTAACTTGTAAAAATATATTCATAATGGAGACAAAGTTATACTTAAAAATCATTTAAAAAATAGACTACATTAGATTATTGGTAAATTACATGTATGCTAAAATTAATGAAACAATAGCCATAGGAACTGAAAGGTCTTTTTCTTTAATCTCTATTTTAGGTGAACCTCTAGATTTTGTCGTGCTTGAGACAAAAGTCTTTCCCTATATCTGTAGGCTTACAATAATAGAAGTTCATTTTGTTGAGAGACCCTGATACAATTTATTATAATTAAGTATATGCATATAATAGGTTACTTAAATCAGATACTATGTGAATAATTAAGGCAGAGTTTCTGCCTGCTAGGCTATAAACTAGAGAAAGCACTTAGAGGTAGCTGATATAATATCATGAGGTCAAAATAATTTGTTATCAAGATTTCTTGGCCAGTTTAGAGAAAGGAAGATATTGATGGCCATTGCCTGGAAAAGTACAAAGTTGTGAGGATTTGCTAAAAAATAGCTTCTAACATTAGTAATTGAAATAAAAGCAACCAGAGAATAAAAACTTAAATTCTAGTGTGCATTTTTTTTTTTTTTTTTTTTGAGACAGAGTCTCCCTCTGTCACCCAGGCTGGATGGCAGTGGTGCGATCTTGGCTCACTGCAACCTCTGCCTCCCGGGTTCAAGAGATTCTCCTGCCTCAGCCTCCTGAGTAGCTGGGATTACAGTTGTGCACCACCACGCCTGGCTAATTTTTTTTTTGTATTTTTAGTAGAGACGGGGTTTCACCGTGTTGGTCAGGCTGGTCTCGAACTCCTGACCTCATGATCTGCCTGCCTTGGCCTCCCAAAGTGCTGGGATTACAGGCGTGATTCACTGCACCCAGCCAAATTCTAGTGTGCATTTTAATGTATATTTCACTTACTCTTATTTTTACTACTTTAATAAACAGTGACATACTTAGATTTAAAAATTTTGCATCTTCCATACCAGTCTTTGTTATGTTGTTTCTTAAGTCAAATTATAAAATCTAGATTTTTTAAAAAATTATATTTTTTGTGTGTGAATACTCTGCTTTGGTTTTCTTTCTTTTTAATTTTTCTGGGAATGTTTTGATATTTCAATTTTTAATGTAATCAAATACATCATTTATTGTCTTTGCAATTGCCTCCACTGTTTTTTTTTTTCTTTTAAGTTCAGGGGTACATGTGCAGGTTTGTTACATAGCTAAACTTATGTCATGGGGGTTTGTACATATTATTTTATCACCGAGGTATTAAGCTTAGTACCCATTAGTTTTTTTTTTCCTGATCCTCTCCTTCCTACCACCTTCCACCCTCCAATAGGCTCCAGTGTGTATTGTTCCGCTGTATGTGTCCATGTGTTCTCATCACTTAGTTCCCACTTATAAGTGAGAACATATGGTATTTGGTTTTCTCTTCCTGTGTTACTTTGCTAAGGATAATGGCCTCTAGGTCCATCCATATCCCTGCAAAGGACATGATCTTATTCTTTTTTTTAAATTTAGCTTTATTTATTTATTTATTTTCATTATACTTTAAGTTCTGGGAAACGTGCAGAATGTGCAGGTTTGTTACATGGGTATACCTGTGTCATGGTAGTTTGCTGCACCCATCAATCTCTCATCTACATTAGGTATTTCTCCTAATGCTATCCCTCCCCTTGCCCCCCACCTCGACAGGCCCCAGTGTGTGATGTTCCCCTCCCTGTGTCCATATGTTCTCATTGTTCAACTTCCACTTATGAGTGAGAACATGCGGTGTTTGGTTTTCTGTTCCTGTGTTAGTTTGCTGAGAATGATGGTTTCCAGCTTCATCCATGTCGCTGCAAAGGACATGAACTCATCCTTTTTTATGGCCGCATAGTATTCCATGGTATATATGTGCCACATTTTCTTTATCCAGCCTATCATTGATGGGCATTTGGGTTGGTTCCAAGTCTTTGCTATTGTGAATAATGCTGCAGTAAACATACATGTGAATGTGTCTTTATAGTAGCATGATTTATAATCCTTTGGGTATATACCCAGTAATGGGATTGCTGGGTCAAATGGTATTTCTAGTTCTAGATCCTTGAGGAATTGCCACACTGTCTTCCACAATGGTCGAACTCCCATCAACAGTGTAAAGCTTTCCTATTTCTCCATATCCTCTCCAGCATCTGTTGTTTCCTGATGTGTGTGTGTGTGTGTGTGTGTGTGTGTGTGTGTGTGTTTGACGGAGCCTAGCTCTGTTGCCAGGCTGGAGTGCTGTGGTGTGATCTTGGCTCACTGCAACCTCAGACTGCCTGGTTCAAGTGATTCTCCTGCCTCAGCCTCCCGAGTAGCTGGGATTACATGTACGCGCCACCACACCCAGCTAATTTTTGTATTTTCAGTAGAAATGGCATTTCACCATTTTGCCAGATTGGTCTCGATCTCCTGACCTAGTTAGGTGTCTGCCCAAATTGCCACCTACTTTTGTGCTTGAAACCCAGGGCCCTGGTGGCATAGGCACTAGAGGGAATCTCCTGGTCTGTGGGTTGTAAAAACAGTGGGAAAAGTGTAGTATCTGGGCCGGAGTGCACTGTTCCTCATGGCATAGTCCCTCACGGCTTCTCTTGGCTAGGGGAAGGAATTTCCCAACCCCTTGCACTTCCCGGGTGAGGGGATGCCCCACCCAGCTTCAGCTTGCCCTCCATGGGCTGCACCCTCTGTCTAACCATTTCCAGTGAGATAAGCCAGGTACCTGGGTTGGAAATGCAGAAATCACCCGCCTTCTGCATTGATCTCACTGGGAGCTGCAGACTGGAGCTGTTCCTATTTGGCCATCTTGCTGGCCCCATTTCTCCTAATTTTTAATTTAACTTGATGTTATGGGATACTATTTAACTTACCCTCATTGATCCTTGTGATTTTACCCTATGCTTTCATATGAGCAGATCCTTTTTCTTGTCTGACATACACTTTTGCCTGACATGCTGTGTGTAAGCCAGGAACAATGCTGCAGTCAGGTCTGATTCCTGGAATATTTCACAGAGGTGCTGCATTATAATATTTATTATTACAACAGTAGCCTGTATTTATTGACTAGTTTTTTTGTTTTTTGTTTTTTGTTTTTGTTTTTGTTTTTGAGACACGGTCTCCCTCTGTTAACCAGGCTGGAGTACAGTTGTGTGATCATGGATCACTCTAGTTTCAACTTCCTGGGCTCAAGTGATCCTCCCCCTCAGCTTCCCAAGTAGCTGGAATTGTAAGTGTGTGCCACCATGGCCAGCTAATTAATTTCTTTTTTCGTAGAGATGGGGTCTCACTGTGTTACCCAGGCTGGTCTTGAACACTTGGGCTCAAGTGATTCTCTTGCCTCTGTCTCCAAAAGTGCTGGATTGCAGGTGTGAGCCACTGTTCCTGGCTACCGACTAGTTCTTATGTGCCAGGTAATGTTCTTAGTGGATCCCACATTAAGTGGGAGGAGACAGAAGGTAAAGTAAAAATGTGAAAATATGTAGTATGATAAAGATGATAAGTGCTATGGAGCAAATCAAGGCAGGGAAGGGATAGAGGGAAGGGCAGAAGTAAAACAAGGGGCTTAGGCTTACATGGAATGCTCAGAGAAGGATGGAGAAGGTTGTGTTTGAGCAAAGACCTGAAGCAGGTGGAACAGTTAGCCATCAACTATCTGAGGAATGAATATTCCAGGGGGAGAAAAAAGAAGTGGCAGCAGAACGCTTGAGGTGGAACAGTGATTGGCATGAGTGAGGCGGAGATGACATAGAGATGACATGGAGATGACATGGTCAAAGAGACGTGGAAGGGGCAGTTTTCATCTGGGACATTATGGGCCGCTAGAAATATTTTTAGTTTTGTTTAGAACATGTTATTTAATTTTTACAAAATTCTACGAAGGCCTGTCATTATTCATATATGATTATAAAACTGAAACTTAAGATGCTTAGATTGTTCCCAAAGCTTATACAGTTAGTCCCTGGAGTCAGGATTTGAATCCACTAGTCTAACTTCAAATGGTATTTAAAGACAAAGGATCTTGGATGGAGTTTTTTTTTAGCTTTGAGTACTTTTTTTTTGGCCCCGCCCCCCCCAAAAAAAACCCTCCCCATCAAATCACAGATAGAAACATTATCCAGAGTATTAATGTAAAAGGATATTAAAATGGAAGTTTCTTTTGAAGCCCCAAGATACTAGATGCCATACTTCAAAGTGGGGTTGAAGGCCACAGTGGTTTAGAATTTATAAAGTTAGGGTAGAATTAGTCAGACAGCATTTGCATCCCTTAAAGACATGGAGGTTGTGAAAGTTAGGAGATGGGAGATTAGGGGAGAGATTTTGGAGAAAGATGATAGTGTATGTGAATACCCTCCCTGAATGGAGTGAGGGAAGTAATTCCTAACCTTTGCCTAAGTCTAGTGGAAGATGGCCTTCCACTAGAGGACTTAATATTCCACAGAGTACTTAGTATTAGTATATGCCCTTACAGCTTAAAGGACACAGTGAGTTGGTATCAAATGTCCACCTGAACTCTAAGCCACAATATAATATGGAATCACCTACTTGCTTCACAGTCTGCTTTCACCTCCAGCCTCACATCTCCAAATGTGAGCATATTTGTGGGATTCTGTTGGTTTTCTTTATTTACTTTCCAGACAAGTTACTTCTTAACTAGTGAGTCTTGGTTTGGGCCAATCCTTCCTTCAATAAAGTTCTGTTGGCCTAAACTTACAAAAGTTCTTCAATTCTGTGATGTGAGAATGTTATTCTTTGTAGTACTGGTTACTCTAGTTTTTAATGGTTTCACTGATCATTTTAATTGGAATATTAGGAAGTAGAGAAGAGAATTGTGCATATTCAGTCATCTTATCTAGAAGTCAGTCAGATTTATTTAGAAAGCAAACTCTCAAAGAAATGGAAGATAATTACAGGGGCAGAAACTGGAGAACTGTGAGACAGCTACTGAAATACTACAATAAAAAGAGGGAGATTCAAGAGCTTTTTCAGACATAGAATGTGGCTTAGTGACCCAACAAATATGGAGAAGTTAGATGGAGGAGTTAAATGTGACTTGGAAGACTTCTGTATTGTTCCTGGTAATAGTAATGCTATGAGTGAATGTGGGAATAACAGATGGAGGAGTGATTTGGGTTTGGAAATAATAAAATAAGTACTGAAGAATATGTGCATTTGAAGGAGTTTGGTAAAAAGTAGTGAATATCTTAGTGAAATGGTCTTTTGCCAATCTGAGCTTAAATTCCTGCTTCAGTACTTTCTACCTATATGATACTGGGAACATTATATAAATTCCATGTCTGTGTTCATCCCAAAGAAGGAACAGTTGTGCCTGCTTTACAGCATTCTGTAATGATTAAATGAGAACATGTTTATTTAATAGATATGTGTTCTAGCACACATCTAATGCAATTGCTGGCATGTAGCAGTTTTTCAATAAATGAGCTGTAATTATTGACAATACTAGAATGTCTATGGGACTATGGCTTAGGATAGAAGTTGGAGGCTGTAGATTAAAATTAATAAACTATTGATGAATAGTTGGTAATTGGACACAATGAGGTTGATCAGAAGGGACAAGATTGCCCAGGGCAATTGAATTGCTAGAACTAAAAGAGAAGAAAAAACAAAGACCCGAGGATCTAAGAACTTGAGAAAGAAACTGAAAGGTATTATACAGGTAGGGGGGAAATAGGAAAAAGTGATGTTGAAGGGAACAAGGTGGAAAAATTTCAAGGATGCAAAAGACATGGTATGGGGAGGTGATCAGGAGTTGATGCTGTAGAGGTGGCCAAAAAACACCTTTTATTCCCAATAATACATTTTGTCCTTATCCTCTAGGCAATGGATAATTATGGAATACCCACTGAAGGGTTTTAAGCATGGGGAAAAGAAGTGGGAAGGAGAGGAAAGCCATTACTTGATTAAGTTTGCATTTCCTACCTCCTACATATGAGTGAGAAAATGTGATATTATGTTTGTCTTTGTATGTCTAGCTTATTTCACTTAACATAAGGATTTCTAGTTCCATCCATGTTACTGCAAATGACAGGATCTCATTGTTTATGGACAACAAGTATTTCACTGTGTATATATACCACATTTTCTTTATCCATTCATCCGTTGATGGGCACTTAAGTTGATTCCATGTCTTTGCTGTTGTGAATAGTGCTGTAATAAACACGAAGGTGCAGGTATCCCTTTGATATACTGATTTTCCTTCCTTTGATGATAAATAACCAGCAGTGTGATTGCTGAATCTCATGGTAGTTCTATTTTTAGTTTTTTGAAAAATCTCCATACTGTTTTCCATAGCAGCTGTACTAATTTACATTTTTATCAACAGCATATAAAAGTTCCCTTTCTCTGCATTCTCACCAGCATCTGTTGTCTTTTTAATAATAGTCATTCTAACTGGGGTAAGATGATATCTCATTGTGGTTTTAATATACATTTCCCTGATGATTAGTGATGTTGACATTTTCCATATCCCTGGTGGCCATTTGTATGTCTTCTTGTGAGAAGTGTCTATTCATTTCCTTTGCCTATTTTTAATGGGATTATTAGATTTTTTATTGTTGAATCATTTGAGTTCCTTATATGCTGGATATTAGTCCCTTGTTGGATGAATAGTTTGCAAATACTTTCTTTCATTCAATAGGTTGTCTCTCCACTCTGTTGATTGTTTCCTTTGCTGTGCAGAAGCTTTTTAGTTTAATGTAATTCCATTTGTCTATTTTTGTTTTTGTTGTCTGTGCTTTTGAATTCTTTGCCATAAAATTCCTCTGATCTGTGAACATGGGATGTCTTTCTCTTTGTTTATGCCCTCTTCAGTTTCTTTTATCAGTGTTTTGTAGTTTTCCTTCTAGATGTCTTTCACCTCCTTGGTTAAATTTATTTTTAGTTATTTGGTTTGTAGCTACTGTAAATAAGATTGCCTTCTTGGTTTCTTTTTCAGCTATGTCATTTTTGGTGTATAAAAATACTGGTGATTTTTGTGTGCTGATTTTGCGTCCTGCAACTTTACTGAATTTATCAGTTTGAAGAGTTTTTTTTTGTGGTGGTTTCTTTTGATTTTTCTAAATATAAGATCAAATTGTCTGCAAAGAGGGACAATTTTACTTCTTTTCCAGTTTGGACGCCTTTTCTTTCATTCTCTTGCCCGATTGCTCTGGCTAGGACTTCCAGTACTATGTTGCATAGAGTGTTGAAAGTGGAAATCTTTGTCTTGTTCTAGTTCTTAGAGGAAATGCTTTCCCCATCAGTATGATGTTAGCTGTGGGTTTATCATATATGGCCTTTATTATGCTGAGATATCTACCTTCTATGCTAGCTTGTTGAGAATTTTTATCATGAAGCATTGTTGAATTTTATCAAATGCTTTTTCTGTATCTATCAATGATCATATCATTTTTGTCCTTCATTCTGTTGATGTGATATATTATGTTTATTCATATGCATATGTTGAAACATCCTTGCAACCTGGGATAAATGCAACTAGATCATGGTGTATGTGTTATCTTTTTGATGTGCTATGATATTCAGTTTGCTAGTATTTTGTTGAAGATTCTTGTGTCTATGTCCTTCAGGGATATTCTTTTTTTTTTTTTTTTTGGTATATGTCCTTGTCTGGCTTTAGTATCAGGGTAATTCTAGCCTCATAGAATGAGTTAGGGAGAACTCCCTCCTCTTTATTTTTTTGGAATAGTTTGAGGAGAATTAGTACTAGTTCTTCTTTATATGTTTGGTAGAATTTGGCAGTGAAGCCATCTGGTCCAAGCCTTTCCTTGTTGGGAGGCTTTTTATTACAGATTCAGTTTCATTACTTATTATTGGTCTGTTCAGGTTTTCTGTATCTTCCTGATTTATTCTTGGTAGGCTGTATATGTCCAGGAATTTATCCACTTCCTCTGGGTTTTCCAGTTTGTTTATGTATAGCTGTTAATAATAGTCTCTGATGATATTTTGTATTTCTAAGGTATTGGTTGTGATGTTCCATTTCTTAATTTCTGATTTTATTTATTTGGACTTCTCTTTTTTTCTTGGTTAGTCTAGCTAGTGGTTTACCAATTTTATCTTTTTGAAAAGCCAACTTTTCATTTCGTTGATCTTTTTTATTTTTGTGGTCTCTATTTCATTTATTTCTGCTCTGATTTTTATTACTTCTTTCCTTCTGCTAACTTTGGGATTTGGCTTATTCTTGCTTTTCTAATTCCTTTAGGTGCATCATTAGACTGATTATTTGAAATCTTTCTACGTTTCTTGATGTAGGTGTTTATTGCTATCAACTTCCATCTTAGAAGACTTTTTGAATAGTCCAACTGAGAGATTATAAGAGCAAAATAGTAATAAAAATAATATTGGAGATGTTAAGAGGCTATGATGTGAGAGAGAAAAAGACTAGATTGACCTTAAGACTTCTAGGCTGGGTGACTGAATGGTACCAGTAACCATAATAGAGAACATAGAAGGAGGAACAATGAGGTGCAGGGTGGGTCTGGAGGGATGGAGTTGATGTATGTAGTCAACAGTGTCATTTAAAACTAGAGAAAGGCTTGGTTAAGATGATAACTGAGAGGAGATCACTGACTTGGGCAATTTGGAAACTGTCAGTGTCCTTTGAGAGAATAATTTTGGTAAAGTTCACAGAAGGGGAACTTATCCTGTAATGTATTAAGGAGTGACTTGGAGGTGAAAAAGTAAAGATAGCTGATACAGCACCTACTTTGTCAAGAAGTTTAACAGTGAAAGCAGGGAGAAAGATGAGTTGGTGGTTTGTGGAGGCATCAGGTTTGTGGGAAAGTTGGCTTAAGATGTGGGAGAAATAGGGCTGGGCATGGTGGCTCATGCTTGTAATCCCAGCACTTTGGGAGGCTGAGGCGGGCGGATCACCTGAGATCAGGTGTTTGAGACCAGCCTGACCAACATGATGAAACCCCATTTCTACTAAAAATACAAAAATTAGCCATGCGTGGTGGCGCATGCCTGTAATCCCAGCTACTCGGGGGTGCTGAGGCAGGAGAGTTGCTTGAACCCGGGAGGTGGAGATTGCAGTGAGCTGAGATCATGCCATTGCACTCCAGCCTGGGCAACAAGAGCAAAAAAAGATGTGGGAGAAATGAGTATGTAGGTTTTCTAGTAGAGAGAAAAAAAGGAAGATGTTAAATCTGTAGAACAAGGTATGGGAAGGAAGAAAGACAAGAATATGGGGGTAGAATTAGTCATTTGAGACACAAGAGCAAGGAGTAAAGAGAGGTAAAGATAGGTATAAGGCAGAGAGGAAAAAAGTTGAGAAATGTAATGCCTCATGGAATATTCATTCGCTGAGAAATTGGAGGCAGAGCCTCTGAGAGTGAGGAGTGATATTGAAATTAGGGCTTATCTTGGTGATTAAGGTTTGGAACAGCTATTGTGGGGAATGCAAAATGGAATCAACATGAATAAGCACAATTTTGCAAAGCTATATGGAAAGTCCATCAGCTAACCTTGTAATGGAGTCAAGGCAGCGTACTTTTCTAGCTACTGACAACCCAATAGTTGGGGTACAGTAAACAGATGGTTGTTTAGATACAGGTATGAAGATGGGCAGGTTAGGTGGAAGAGAAGAAAAGGGTTTATGGAGATTGAAGAGTGTTAACCATTATTTAACACCCCAACTAGAAGAATAGAATTTAAAAATTCAATTTGATCTTGATAATTAGTGCATTGGGTGAGTATTAGAATTATAACATCCTGGGTTTAAACCCTACTTGGTTACTTACTAGCTCTGAGACTTTGGATAATGCAATTATCCTATTTGTGCTTCAGTTTCATCATGTATTTTAGAAAGACAATGTAAAATGTTTTCTCTTACAGAGTCATTGTGATAATTAAATGGGTAATATATGTAAAGTTTGTAGCTCAGTGCCTAGAACATTGTAATTTCTCCTCAAATGTTAGCTTTGCATGAGTCAACTCTTGCCATAATAATGCTGTAACAAACCTCCACCAAATTTATTGTCGTATCATGGCAAGCTTTTAATTTTCTCACTCATAAGTGGCTCTGCTTTATGCTGTAGTTCAGTTTCAGGCTTTGAGGTAAGTTCAGGTTTGCCCCTTAAGCTTCACGCTTTGATCCAGCCTAACGAGGCACTGGTTGCCTATGTTGTAATTGTATGTTGATTATAGGAGTTCAAGTGCAAGCTAAGCCAGGCAAACACATTTAAAATTCTGCAGATATCCTGCATGCTCATATTCCATTGGCCAAGGCAAGTCGCATGGCCAAGCATAAAGGCAGTGGGAGTGGAAAGTATACCCTGACCCAAAGAGGAAAGGGAAGCAAACATTTGCTGAAAAAAATCCCAGTTTATTATAGCTTTGTTAGCTATGACATCTCAACAAGCTCTTGCTCTTTTTTTTTTTAATGAGCAAGGAACAATAACACTCTTGTGAAATAGTATGATAATTATTTTTACATTGAATTTTCACAAATCTGGCTTAAGATAAATGTTGGTCTTATAACTGAATGAAAATGATTGACAAAAGAATATTTTCACTTGATATCTAACATAATTTCAGAATCTCTGATATCCAGTACGTTAATATACATGAAGACAGTGTCTCTGTCTTGATCTTTCTGATCTTTCTCTACTATTAAACTATTTAATACATTGCTTCTATTGACCTTTTTAAAAAAATTAGAGATATAATTTACATACAATAAAATTCATTCAGGATTCATTTGGGTGAGTTTGAAAAATGTATAGTAATGTAACTAAAACCATAATAAAGATATAAAATATTTTCATCATTCTTCCAAAGATCTCTCATGCCCCTTTGGCCAATTTCCACACAACAGTCCCACCCTGAGGCAACCACACATTTGTTTTCTATCACTATAATTTTTTTTTCTAGAATTTCATACAAATAGAATCATACAGTCTTTTGTGCCTGGCTTCTTTCACTGATATTTTCATTCCTTTTGTTGCTGAGTAGTATTTTATTGTAAGGCTATACTACAACATGTTTTTCCATTTGCCTGTTGATAGACTTTTGGGTTGTTTCCAGATTTTGGCTGTAATTAATAAAGTTATGAATCTTTGCATGTAAGTCTTTGTGTTTTTATTTCTCTTGGGTAAACATGTAAGAGTGGGATTACTGCACTGTATGTTATGTCTGTGTTTAACTTTTGGAGAAATTGCCAAACTGCTTTCCAAAGTGGCTGTACCGTATTAAGTTCCAATCAGTAATGTATAAGTATTACAGTTGCTCTGTACCCTTGCTATATATATCATCAGTCTTTTAAGTTTTAGCCATTTTAATAGGTAAATAGTGCAATCCTATGTTTTTAATTTGCATTTCCTTAAAGACTACCAATATTATAGAACATCATTTATTTACCTGCCATTTTTCATATCTTCTTTGATGAAGTATCTGTTCAAACTTTTGCCCATTTTTAAATTGGATTGTCTATATTATTATTCAGTTGAACGAATTCTTTATATATCTCAAAAACAAGTTCTTCATCAGATTTCTGGTTTTAAAGTTATTCTCGTAGTCTTTGGCTTGCCTTTTAATTTTTCAAACAGTATCTTTTAAAGGACAAACTTTAAAAATTTTTGATGAAGCCCAGTTTTACAGTTTTTATGTGTGTATGATTCATGTTTTTTGTGTCTTAGCTAAGATATCTTTGCCTATCCCAAAATTACAAATAATTCTTCCTGTGTTTTCTTCTAGAAGTTTAATAGTTTGACTCATATTTTAGGCTGTAATTCATTCCAAATTATTTTGCATATGGTATAAGGAAAGGTTGAGTTTCATTTTTCCCATATTCATTGTCTAGAACCATTTTTTGAAAAAGACTCTAGTATTCTCATTGAATTACCTTGCCACTTTTGTTAATTGACTGGGAGGGACTTCTGGCATAATAGCATGAGAAGCTCAGCAGACTCTTTCTCCAGAAAAACTGGTGAAGATAATTAAAACACACACACACACACACACACACACACACACACACACACACACACGGCACGGTGGTTCACGCCTATAATCCCAGCGCTTTGGGAGGCAGAGGCGAGTGGATCATTTGAGGTCAGGAGTTTGAGACAAGCCTGGCCAACGTGGTGAAACCCCGTCTCTACTAAAAATACAAAAATTATCTGGGTGTGGTGGCGTGCGCTTCTAATCCCAGCTACTTGGAAGGCTGAGGCAGGAGAATCGCTTGAGCCTGGGAGGCGGAGGTTGCGGTGAGCCGAGATCGTGCCACTGCACTCCAGTCTGGGTGACAGAGTGAGACATTTTCTCAAAAACAAACAAATAAACATAAAACAAAATTAGCCAGGTGTGGTGGTGCATTCCTGTAATCCCAGCTATTTGGGAGGGAGGCTGAGGCAGGAGAATCACTTGAGCCTGGGAGGTGGAGGTTGCAGTGAGCGGAGATAACAACATTGCACTCCAGCCTAGGCAAAAAGAGGGAAACTCTATCTCAAAAACAAGCAAACAAACAAAAGAAACAAAACAAAAACAAAAACAAAAATACCCAACAACATACCATTTAATGTCTCTGGAAATAGTCTTACGGACATTTAAATAATAAGTAGATGAAGAAACGTTTATTCCAGAAAATCTGTATTGTGGTAAGAACAGCAAGACTCTATGGGGAACTGAGACCCTTTCCCTCCTATCCCCTTTCCCAGCTTAGTGAGATGGAAACTTTATTCCAAACTAGTGCAGCCCAAAACACAAGGCTCTCTCTATTCTCAGCTCCCAGACAGAGAGTAATCCTATGGAAGGATATCAGCTTTTCTCATCTTGCCACAGCTACCTATTGATGAGGCTAAGTTCTGAAGTAGAGTTCTCTTCTGCACAGCTCCCCACTCATGAGATGCAGTCTTTACCTTGGGTTTGGCACTGCTGAGATATAGGGGTTCTGATTGTCCTTGCCTTAGTCTGTAAAGTGAGTGTTGTACTCTGGATGAAACTAGCCAAAAAAGTTGGAGGCTACTGTTCATCTTCTACCCTCTCTGGCCCCCAATGAGCACTCAGCTCTTAAAGTGAGGGTGTCATTTAGAGAGAGTGTGCAATTGTCTGCCACCCTAGTTCCAGAGCCTTGACTCAACTTGACTTGACTTGAGATTTTGCCTGGAGGGAAAAGCAGAGACCCTTGGAAAGAGACAGCTTGTGGGAGCCCATCTGTGGTCAGAGCTCCTCAACAGAGCAAATCTCAAACAATGTAGGAACTACTCCTTCAAAGGAACCCGAATTTGATGGATTAGTCTATAGAACAATTTAAGCACCACAGTATTGTTGAAAGCAGTACATAAATCAGCTGGCACTTAGTATAGCTTAACAGTTGGACGTGGTCAGAGAAAGTGACAAAAAGAGTCCTGCCAAAACCACTGTCATACTAGTGACCATATGTGAGCATACATGCACAAAGCTACAACTCCTTGAGGAGCAGCACCAAAGATTTAACACTGCAGGTGGAAAATAGTCATATTTGTGTCATATTCAGTTTACTGAAATCTAGTGATACAGTGACAAACTTATATGCAAAAAGGGAAAAATACTCATTACTTACAGAGAATCAAAGATGAGGATGACAGTGAACATCACTAAAATAGTCCAGCTAGTCATTAAACAAAAAACAAATAATAACAAGCTTAGAGCAGGGGTGGGTTTACCCAGAGTTGCCATGATGTATTACCTAAAATGTCCAGTTACCAACAGAAATTTACAAGGCGTGAAAAGAAACAAGAAAATATGACCCATACTTTGTAAGTACAGTAGGCAGACAGTGGTCAGAAATCAGACTAACAGAAAATGACTAGAAAGTAGCCATTGTAGATATGTTCAAAGAACTAAAGGAAACTATGATTAAATAAAGGAAGGTAGGACAACAATTTTGCATCAAATAGAGAATATCAATAGAGAGAAATGATTAAAAAAATCAAATAGAAATTCTGGAGTTCAAAAGTACAATTACTGAAATGAAAAGTTCACTCTAAGAACCTCAACTATAAAATTTAAATTGCCAGAAGAAAAAAAATGGCAAACTTCAAGACTTCATTACTTACAAACTACTTCATTACTCCAAAACTTCATTACTTACAGAGGAACAAAGATGAGGGTGATGGTGGACTTCTTACCACTAGCTTTGTGACCCAGAAAGACAATGGACTGTCTTTAAGGTGCCAAAAATTAGCTGTTGATCTAGAATTTTATACTCGGAAAAAGCGTCTTTCAAATAGAAAGATGAATAAAAACTTCTTATAAAATGTGAGAAATTTATGCATATTTTCATGTCAGAGATGTTCATATTGTAATACACAGAACTGTGAATATGTTGCTTTACACAGGCATATCTTGGAGGTACTACAGATTCAGTTATAGACCACTGCAATAAAGCGAATACTGCAGTAGAGCAACTCACATGAATTTTTTGATTGCCAAGTGCATATAAAAGTTGTATTTACACTATGCTGTTGTCCGCTAAATGTGTTCTCATTGTTTAGCTCCCACTTATGAGTGAAAACATGCGGTGTTTGGTTTTCTCTTCCTGTGTTAGTTTTCTGTTCCTGTTAGTTAGTTAGTTAGGATGGCTTCCAGCTTCATCCAAGTCCCTGCAAAGGACAAGGTCTCATTTCTTTTTATGGTTGCATAGTATTCCATCGTGTATATTTACCGCATTTTCTTTATCCAGTCTATCATTGATGGGCATTTGGGTTGGTTCCATGTCTTTGCTGTTGTAAATAGTGCTGCAGTGATAATATGTGTGCATGTGTCTTTATAATGGAACAATTCTTTGGATATATACCCAGTAATGGGGTTGCTGGGTCAAATGGTATTTCTGGTTCTAGATCCTTGACGAATTGCCATACTGTCGTCCACAATGGTTGGACTAATTTACATTCCCACCAACAGTGTAAAAGTGTTCCTATTTCTCCACAGCCTCCCAAGCATCTATTGTTTCTTGACTTTTTAATAATTACCATTCTGACTGGCATGAGACAGTATCTCACTGTAGTTTCGATTTGCATTTCTCTAATGATCAGTGATGTTGAGCTTTTTTTCATGTGTTCATTGGCCACATAAATGTTTTCTTTTGAGAAGTGTCTGTTCATATCCTTTGCCCGCTTTTTGATGGGGATTTTTTTTTCTTGTAAATTTGTTTAAGTTCCTTGTAGATTCTGGATATTAGACCTTTGTCAAATGGGTAGATGGCAAAAACTTTCTCCCATTCTGTAGGTTGCCTGTTCACTCTGATGATAGTTTCTTTTGCTGTGCAGAAGCTCTTTAATTAGATCTCATTTGTCAATTTTGGCTTTTGTTGGAATTGCTTTTGGTGTTTTCATCATGAAGTCTTTGCCCATGCCTATGTCCTGAATGGTATTGCCTAAGTTTTCGTCTAGGGTTTTTATGGTTTTGGGTTTTACATTTAAGTCTTTAATGAGTTAATTTCTGTAAAAGGTATAAGGAAGGGGTCCAGTTTCAGTTTTCTGCATATGGCTAGCCAGTTTTCCCAGCACCTTTTATTGAATAGGAAATTCTTTTCCTATTGTTTGTTTTTGTCAGGTTTGTCAAAGATCAGATGGTTGTAGATGTGTGGTGTTATTTCTGAGTTCTCCGTTCTGTTCCACTGGTCTATATGTCTGTTTTGGTACCAGTACCATGCTGTTTTGGTTACTGTAGCCTTGTAGTATAGTTTGAAGTCAGGTAGTGTGATGCCTCCTGCTTTGTTCTTTTTGATTAGGATTGTCCTGGCTATATGGGCTCTTGTTTGGTTCCATATGAAATTTAAAATAGTTTTTTCTAATTCTGTGAAGATTGTCAATGGTAGCTTGATGGGAATAGCATTGAATCTATAAATTACTTTGGGCAGAATGGCCATTTTCACAACATTGATTTTTCCTATCCATGAGGATGGAATGTTTTTCCATTTGTTTGTGTCCTCTCTGATTTCCTTGAGCAGTGGTTTGTAGTTCTCCTTGAAGAGGTCCTTCACATCCCTTGTTAGCTGTATTCCTAGGTATTTTATTCTCTTTATAGCAATTGTGAATGGGAGTTCATTTGTGATTTGGTCCTCTGCTTGTCTATTGTTGGTGTATAGGAATGCTTGTGATTTTTGCACATTGATTTTGTATCTTGAGACTTTGCCAAAGTTGCTTATCAGTTTAAGGAGTTTTGGGGCTGAGATGCTGGGTTTTCTAAATGTAGAATCATGTCATCTGCAAAAAGGGACAATATGACTTCCTCTCTTTCTATTCGAATATGCTTTACTTCTTTCTCTTGCCTGATTGCCCTGGCCAGAATTTCCAATATTATGTTGAAAGGGAGTGGTGAGTGAGGGCATCCTTGTCTTGCACCAGTTTTCAAAGGGAATGCTTCCAGCTTTTGCCCATTCAATATGATATTGGCTGTGGGTTTGTCATAAATAGCTCTGATTATTTTGAGATATGTTCCATCAATATCTAGTTTATTGAGAGTTTTTAATATGAAGACATGTTGAATTTTATCAAAGGCCTTTTCTGCATCTATTGAGATAATCGTGTGGTTATTGTCATTGGTTCTGTCTGTGTGATGGAGTACATGTATTGATTTGTGTATGTTGAACTAGCCTTGCATCCCAGGGATGAAGTCAACTTGATTGTGGTGGATAAGTTTTCCAATGTGCTGCTGGATTCGGTTTGCCAGTATTTTATTGAGGATTTTTGCATCAATATTCATCAGGGATATTGGCCTGAAATTTTCTTTTTTTTGTTGTGTCTCTGCCCAGTTTTGGTATCAGGATGATGATGGCCTCATAAAATTAGTTAGGGAAGAGTACCTGCTTTTCACTGTTTGGATCATATTCAGAAGGAATGGCACCAGCTCCTCTTTGTAGAATTTGGCTGGTAGAATTTGGCTGTGATTCCTTCTGGTCCTGGGCTTTTCTTGGTTGGTAGACTATTAATTACTGCCTCAATTTCAGAACTTGTTATTGGTCTATTTATGGATTCGACTTCTTCCTGGTTTAGTTTTGGGATGATGTATGTGTCCAGGAATTTATCCATTTCTTCTAGATTTTCTAGTTTATTTGCATAGAGGTGTTTATAGTATTCTCTGATGGTAGTTTGTATTTCTGTGGGATAAGTGGTAATATCCCCTTTATCGTTTTTTATTGTGTCTATTTGATTCTTTTTTCTTCTTTATTAGTCTAGCTAGCAGTCTACCTATTTTGTTAATTTTTTCAAAAAACCAGCTGCTGGATTTATTGATTTTTTTGAGGGTTTTTTGTGTCTCTATCCCCTTCAGTTCTGCTCTGATCTTAGTTATTTCTTGTCTTCTGCTAGCTTTTGGATTAGTTTGCTCTTGCTTCTCTAGCTCTTTTAATTGTGAGGTTAGGGTGTCGATTTGAGATCTTTCTAGCTTTCTGATATGGGGATTTAGTGCTACCCTCTTAACACTGCTTTAGCTGTGTCCCAGAGATTCTGGCACATTGTCTCTTTGTTCTTATTGGTTTCAAATAACTTGATTTCTGCCTTAATTTCATTATTTACCCAGGAGTCCTTCAGGAGCAGGTTGTTCAATTTCCATGTAATTGTGTGGTTTTGAGTGAGTTTCTTAATCCTGAGTTCTAATTTGATTGCACTGTGGTCTGAGAGGCTGTTATGATTTCAGTTATTTTGCATTTACTGAGAAGTGTTTTACTTCCAATTTTGTGGTCAATTTGAGAATAAATGCCATGCACTGAGAAGAATGTATATTCTGTTGATTTGGTGTGGAGGGTTCTGTAGATCTCTTTTAGGTCCACTTGATCCAGAGCTGAGTTTAAGTCCTGAATATCCTTGTTAATTTTCTGTCTCATTGATGTGTCCAATATTGACAGTAGGGTGTTAGAAGTCCCTTTTTATTATTGTGTGGGAGTCTAAGTCTCTTTGTAGGTCTCTAAGAACTTGTTTTATGAATTTGGGTGCTCCTGTATTGGGTGCATACATATTTAGGATAGTTAGCTCTTCTTGTTGAATTGATCCCTTTACCATTATGTAATGCCCTTGTCTTTTTTTATCTTTGTTGGTTTAAAGTCTGTTTTGTCAGAGACTAGGATTGCAACCCCTGCTTTCTTTTTGCTTTTCATTTGCTTGGTAAACTTGCCTCCATCTCTTCATTTTGAGCCTATGTATGTCTTTGACCATGAGTTGGGTCTCCTAAATACAGCACACTGATGGGTCTTGACTCTTTATCCAATTTGCCAGTCTGTGTCTTTTAACTGGGGCATTTAGCCCATTTACATTTAAGGTTAATATTGTTATATGTGATTTTGATCCTGTCATCATGATACTACCTTGGTATTTTGCACACTAGTTGATGCAGTTTCTTCATAGTGTCATTGGTCTTTATATTTTGATGTGTCTTTGCAATGGCTGGTACCAGTTGTTCCTTTTCATATTTAGTGCTTCCCTCAGGGGCTCTTGTAAGGCAGGCATGGTGGTGATGAAATCCCTCAGTATTTGCTTGTCTGGAAAGGATTTTATTTCTTCTTTGCTTATGAAGCTTAGTTTGGCTGGATATGAAATTCTGAGTTGAAAATAATTTTTCTAAGACTGTTGAATATTGGCCCTCACTCTCTTCTGGCTTGTACCGTTTCTGCTGAGAGGTCTGCTGTTAGTCTGATGGGCTTCCCTTTGTGGGTGACCTGGTCTTTCTCTCTGGCTGCCCTTAACATTTTTTTCCTTCCTTTCGACCTTGGAGAATCTAATGATTATGTGTCTTGGGGTTGATTGTCTCATGGAGTATCTTAGTGGTGTTCACTGTATTTCCTGAATTTTAATGTTGGCCTATCTTGCTAGGTTGGCAACATTCTCCTAGATAACATCCTGAAGTGTGTTTTGCAGCTTGGTTCAATTTTCTCTGTCTGTTTCAGGTACTCCAGTCAATTGTAGGTTCGGTCTTTTTACATAATCCTATATTTCTTGGAGGTTTTGTTCATTCCTTTTCATTCTTTTTCCTCTAATCTTGTCTGCATGCCTTATTTCAGCAAGGTGGTCTTCAAACTCAGATATACTTTCTTCCTCTTGGTTGATTCGGCTATTGATACTTCTGTATGCTTCACGAAGTTCTTCCGCTGTGTTTTTCAGCTCCATCAGGTTATTTATGTTCCTCTCTAAACTGGTTATTCTAGTTAGCAGCTCCTGTAACCTTTTTTCAAGGTTCTTAGCTTCTTTGCATTGGGTTAGAACATGATCCTTTAGCTAGCAGAATTTGATATTACCCACCTTCTGAAGCCTACTTCTGTCAATTTGTCCATCTCATCCTCTGCCCAGTTCTGCACCCTTGCTGGAGCGGCATTGCAATCATTTGGAGGAGAAGAGGCACTCTGGCCTTTTGGGCTTTCAGTGTTTTTTTTTTTGTTGATCCTTTCTCATCTTCATGAATTTGTCTAGTTTTGATATTTGAGGCTGCCTATCCTTGATGGGTTTTTTTGGGGAGACACTTTTTGCTGATGCTGTTGTTGTTGCTTTCTGTTTGTTTTTCTTTCAATGGTCAGGCCCCTCTTCTGTAGGGCTGTTGTGGTTTGCTGGGCATTCACTTCAGGCACTATTCATCTGGCTCGCTCCTGTGCCTGGAGCCAGTCACTCAAGGAGGCTGGAAAACAGCAAAGATGGGTGCTTCCTCCTTCCTCTGGGAACTCTGACCTCGAGGAGCACCGATCTGATGCCAGTATGATCACTCCTGTATAGGATGTCTGACAACCCCTGTTTGATGGTCTCACCTAGTTGGGTGGTACAGGGAGCAGGACCCGTTTAATGAAGCTCTTTGACTATCCCTTGGTGGAGGGGGAGTGCTTTGCTGAGGGGAAACCCACTCATCTGGGCTGCCCAGATTTCTCAGAACTAGCAGGAGGAAAGGCTAAGTCTGCTGGTCCTCAGAGACTGTGGTCACCCCTACCCCTAGTGGCTCCGGCCAGGGAGATCAGAGCTTTGTGCCTGAGCCCCTGCCTGGAGTTGGAGTTCCTGCAGGGAGGCCCCTCCCAGTGAGGAGGGATGGGTCAGTGTCAGGCCTGAAGAGGCACTCTGGCCACAGTCTGCCACAGCCGGTGTGTTGTGCTGCGGGGGACCCCTCTCGGAACCAAGCCTTCCTGGCTCCAGCAGGGGAAAAGTGTAGCCTGGAGCTATAGAGATGGCTGCCACCCTTCCCCTGCCCAGGGAGCTTAGTGTGTTAGGCAGCTATCAGTCCCAGTGCTGGCTGCTGCCCCTCCCCCAAAGAGCTCAAATGGCTTAAACAACAGGCAGCCGCAACTGTGGTGCTAGTCGCCCCTCCCCACCGGGAACTCAGCAGGCTTAAGCAGAGTCTAGCTGAGAGGCTTTTGAGAATCTGCAGGGCTCTGTGGTTGGGATCCTAGGCCCTGGTGTTGTGATTTCATGAGTGAGATCTTCTGATCAGGAGGTTGCACAGTCTGTGGAAAAAGCATGGTTTCCCAGGCTGGATGGCACACTCACTCATCACCTCCCTTGGCGGGGGGGTGGGGACCCACCTGCCCTGTGTGGCTCTCAGGTGGGCCCCCTGCACCACTGCGCTTCCTTTCTCTCTGTAGGTCACACCAGCTGCCTAGTCAGTTCTGATGAGAGAACCTGGATACCTCAGTTGCCAGTGCAGGATTCACATGCTATTATGGTTCTTTTTGATGGGAGCCTCTGACGGTGGCTGCTTCTTGTTGGCTAGTTGGCCATCTTGGTCCCACCCTGTATTTCTTACATAAGACTTGAAAGTCAAAATTACTGCTTGATCCATTGGCTGCAGAATGGATGTTGTGTTACCAACCATGAAAACATTAGTCTCCTTGTACACCTCCAGTCAGAGCTCTTGGGTAATTAGGTGCATTGTCGATGAGCAATAATAATTTGAAAGGAATCTTTTTTTAAGCAGTAGGTCTCAACAGTGGGCTTAAAATGGTCAGTAAACTGTGCTGTAAACAAATGTACTGTCATCCAGGCTTTATTATTTTATTATAGAGCACAGGCAGAGTACATTTAACATCGTTCTTAAAAGCTTTAGTGTTTTCAGAATGGCAAATGAGCATTGGCTTCAACTTAAAGTTACCAGCTGCATTACAACCTAACAAAACAGTGAGCCTGTTCTTTGAAGCTTTGAAGCCAGACGTTGACTTCTCCTCTCTGGTTATGAGAGTCCTAAATGGAATCTTCTTCCAATAGAAGGCTGTTTCATCTACATTGAGAATCTGTTGTTTAGTGTAGTCACCTTTATCAATTTAGCTGGATCTTCTGGATAACTTGCTACAGCTTCTCCATCAGCACTTGCTGCTTCTTGCACTTTTGTGTCATGGAAATGGCTTCTTTCCTTAAACCTCATGAACCCCTGCTAGCTTCAAAATTTTCTTCTGCAGTTTCTTTGCCTCTCTCAGCCTTCATAGAATTGAAGAGAGTTAGGGCCTTGTTCTGGATTAGCATTTGGCTTAAGTAAATGTTGTGGCTGGTTTGATCTTTCCAGAGCACTAAAACTTTTGCCATATCAGCATTCAGGCTGTTTCCCTTTCTTATCATTTATGTGTCCACTGGAGTCGCACTTTTAATTTCCTTCAAGAACTTTTCCTTTGCATTCACAACTTGAAATGTATTTCTTACATAATGCATTTACTAACTGTTTGGCACATGAGGCCTAGGTTTTAGCCTATCTCAGCTTTTGACATACATACTTCACCAAGTTTCATGCGCATCAGTGTGAAGAGACCACCAAACAGGCTTTGTGTGAGCAATAAAGCTTTTAATCACCTGGGTGCAGGCAGGCTGAGTCCGAAAAGAGAGTCAGCGAAGGGAGATAGGGGTGGGGCCGTTTTATAAGATTTGGATAGGTAAAGGAAAATTACAGTCAAAGGGGGGTTGTTCTCTGGCAGGCAGGAGTGGGAGGTCACAAGGTGCTCAGTAGGGGAGCTTTTGAGGCAGGATGAGCCAGGAGAAGGAATTTCACAAGACAATGTCATCAGTTAAGGCAGGAACAGGCCATTTTCACTTCTTTTGTGGTAGAATGTCATCAGTTAAGGCAGGAACCGGCCATCTGGATGTGTATGTGCAGGTCACAGGGGATATGATGGCTTAGCTTGGGCTCAGAGGCCTGACGTTCCTGTCTTCTTATATTAAGAAAAATAAAATGAAATAGTGATAAAGTGTTGGGACGACGAAAATTTTGGGGGGTGGTATGGAGAGATAACGGGCGATGTTTCTCAGGGCTGCTTCGAGTGGGATTAGGGGCGGCGTGGGAACCTAGAGTGGGAGATATTAAGCTGAAGGAAGATTTTGTGGTAAGGGGTGATATTGTGGGGTTGTTAGAAGAAACATTTGTCATTTAGAATTATTGGTGATGGCCTGGATATAGTTTTGTATGAATTGAAAAACTGAACGGAATAAGAGAAAGAGAAAAGCAGGTATTAAAGGTCTAAGAATTGGGAGGACCCAGGACATCTAATTAGAGAGTGCCTAAGGAGGTTCAGCATAGCCCTGCCAGCAAAGATTATTTATTTACTTTAAGAGTTAAGAGTGGCAGTTTGGGATAGCACCAGGAGATATTGGCTGTGATGACTTGGAGAAACAGTGTAAACCGGCAGTGTAAACAAGAGCAGGGCATGTATGAGTAGTTGAGAACGGTGAATAGGAGTATGACTAGACAGAAGATAGTAGGGGTGACAAGTTTTTTGGGGCACAGTCCAAGTTGGTCTGGTGTCTGGAATGAGACTGGGGCCTAATAAAAAGGAGCGTCCATACAGGAGCTCCAATGGGCTGTACCTTGCAGCATTCCGAGGATAGGCCTGAATTCTGAGAAAAGAAAGAGGTAAAAGTATTGTCCAGTCCTTTTTAAGTTGGTGGCTGAGATTGGTGAGGTGTGTTTTTAAAAGACCATTAGTCCGTTCTACCTTTCCTGAAGACTGAGGACTGTAAGGGAAATAAAGGTTTAACTGAATACCAAGAGCCTGAAAAACTGCTTGGCTGATTTGACTAATAAAGGCTGGTCTGCTATTGGACTGTATAGAGGTGGGAAGGCTAAACTGAGGAATTATGTCTGACAGAAGGAAAGAAATGACTGCGGTGGCCTTCTTAGACCCCGTAGGAAAGGCCTCTACCCATCCAGTGAAAGTGTCTACACAGACTAAGAGATATTTTAGTTTTCTGACTCGGGGCATGTGAGTAAAGTCAATTTGCCAGTCCTGGGCAGGGGCAAATCCCCGAGCTTGATGTATGGGAAAGGGAGGAGGCCTGAACAATCCCTGAAGGGTAGTAGAATAGCAGATAGAACACTGAGAAGTGCTTTCCTTGAGGATAGATTTCTATGATGGAAAGGAAATGAGAGGTTCTAAGAGATGGGCTAGTGGCTTGTAACCTACATGGAAGAGGTTATGAAATGACGACAGAATAGAATGGGCCTGTGAGGCTGGAAGGAGATATGTTCCTTGGTCTAAGAACCATTTGCCTTGTGTGGGAAGAGATTGATAAGTGGAAGTTTCAGCGGGGGAGTAGGTGGGAGTGGCCAGATGAGAAGGAGAAAAACTGAAAGTGAGGGGTATAAGTTGGAATGCTAGCTGCTTTTTTAGCTATCTTATCAGTATGAGCATTGTCCTGAGCGATGGGATCTGATGCCCTTTGATGGCCTTTGCAGTGAATGACTCTAGCTTCCTTTGGAAGTAAAGCAGCTTTGAGAAGCGTTTTTATTAAAGAGGCATTAATGATAGAGGACCCTTGTGTAGTGAGGAAACCTCTCGCATGGTGGTGCAGAATATGGAAGGCATATTTAGAGTCAGTATAAATATTGACTTTTAGTGCTTTTGCAAGAGTGAGGGCTTAAGGCAATGAGTTCGGCTTGCTGAGAGGTAGTGGAGGGGGGCAGAGCAGTAGCCTCAATAATAGATGTGGAAGATACTATAGCATAGCCTGCCTTTGCTGGTGAGTGGCGATTAGGCCTGGTGGAACTGCCGTCAATAAACCAAGTGTGTTCAGGGTGAGGAACATGAAAGAATATGGGAAAATGGAGTGAATGTCAGGTGGATCAGAGAGATACAGTCATGGGGGTCAGGTGTGGTATCAGGAATAATGTGGGAGGCTGGATTGAAGTCTGGGCCAGGAACAATGGTAATTGTGGGAGACTCAACAAAGAGTGAGTACAGCTGAAGGAGCCGGGAAACAGAAAGTATATGTGTCAGGTGTGAGGAAGAAAATAGATTTTAGAAGTTATGAGAACTGTAGAGAGTGAGTTGAGCATAGTTTGTGATTTTAAGGGCCTCTAAAAGTATTAAAGCAGCGGCAGCCGCTGCACGCAGACATGAGGGCTAGGCTAAAACAGTAAGGTCAAGTTGTTTGGACAGAAAGGCTACAGGGTGCAGTCCTGGCTCTTCTGTAAGAATTCTGACTGCACTAACCATGCCTAGGAAGGAAAGGAGTTGTTGTTTTGTAAGGGATTGAGGTTTGGGAGATTAGTCGGACACAATCAGCAGGGAGAGCACGTGTGTGTTTTTATAAGAATTATGCCAAGATTGGTAACAGATGAGGATGAAACTTGGTCTTGACTGAAGTAATGGGGGCTGTCTGTGAAGCCTTGTGGCAGTACAGCCCAGGTAATTTGCTGAGCCTGATGGGTGTCAGGGTCAGTCTAAGTGAAAGCGAAGAAAGGCTGGGATGAAGGGTGCAAAGGCATAGTAAAGAAAGCATGTTTGAGATCCAGAACAGAATAATGGGTTGTTGAGGGAGGTATTGAAGATAGGAGAGTATATGGGTTTGGCACCATGGGGTGGATAGGCAAAACAATTTGGTTGATAAGGCGCAGATCCTGAACTAACTTGTAAGGCTTGTCTGGTTCTAGGACAGGTAAAATAGGGGAATTGTAAGGAGAGTTTATAGGCTTTAAAAGCCCATGCTGTAACAGGCCAGTGATAACAGGCTTTAATCCTTTTAAAGCATGCTGTGGGATGGGATATCGGCATTGAGCGGGGTAAGAGTGATTAGGTTTTAGTGAGATGGTGAGGGGTGCATGATCAGTCGCCAAGGAGGGAGTAGAGGTATCTTATACTTGTGGGTTAAGGTGGGGGGATACAAGAGGAGGACGCAAAGGAGGCTTTGGATTGGGAAGAAGGGTGGCAATGAGATACAGCTGTAGTCCAGGAATAGTCAGGGAAGCAGATAATTTAGTTAAATGTCTCGGCCTAATAAGGGAACTGGGCAGGTGGGGATAACTAAAAAGGAGTGCTTAAAAGAGTATTGTCGGCTGGGCGCGGTGGCTCACGCCTGTAATCCCAGCACTTTGGGAAGCAGAGGCGGGCGGATCACGAGGTCAGATCGAGACCATCCTGGCTAACATGGTGAAACCCCGTCTCTACTAAAAATACAAAAAATTAGCCGGGCGTGGTAGCGGGCGCCTGTAGTCCCAGCTACTCGGGAGGCTGAGGCAGGAGAATGGCGTGAACCCGGGAGGCGGAGCTTGCAGTGAGCCGAGATCGCGCCACTGCACTCCAGCCTGGGCGACAGAGCGAGACTCCGTCTCAAAAAAAAAAAAAAAAAAAAAAGAGTATTGTCTAAGTTGGCACCAGAGTTGGGGAGTTTTAAGAGGTTTAGAAGCCTGGCCGTCACTACCCACAACAGTTTGGAGGCAAGGGAAACAGGCCTTGAAAAGAAGGTAATGTGGAGTGGGTAGCCTCCGTATTGATTAAGAAGGGGACGGACTTACCTTCCACTGTGAGAGTTACTTAAAGCTCGGCGTCCGTGATGGTCTAGGGGGCTTCCAAGGCGATCGGGCAGTGTCAGTCTTCAGCCACTAAGCCGAGAAGATCTGGGAAGGAGTCAGTCAGAGAGCCTTGGGCCAGAGTTCCAGGGGCTCTGGGAGTGGCTGCCAGGTGAGTTGAACAGTCCAATTTTCAGTGGGGTCCCACACAGATGGGACGCGGCTTAGGAGGAATCCCGGGCTGTGGGCATTCCTTGGCCTGGTGGCCAGATTTCTGGCACTTGTAGCAAGCTCCTGGGGGAGGCGGGCCTGGAGGAACACCTGGCCACTGCGGTTTAGGCGTTTGGAAGTTCTTGTATGCTGGAGATGTGGCTGGGGTTTGTCTCACAGTGGAGGCAAGGAATTGTAACTCAGAAATATGTTGCTACTTGGCTGCCTCTACCCTATTATTGTACACCTTGAAGGAGAGGTTAATTAAGTCCTGTTGTGGGGTTTGAGGGCCGGAATTTAATTTTTGGAGTTTTATTTAATGTTGGGAGCAGATTGGGTAATAAGATGTATATTGAGAATAAGACAGCCTTTTGACCTTTTAGGGTCCAGGGCTGTAAAGCATCTCAGGGTTGCTGCCAAACGAGCCATGAACTGGGCTGAGTTTTTATATTTGATGAAAAAGAGCCTAAATGCTATCTGATTTGGGATAAAGAAAAAGGAGCATTAACTTTGACTATGCCTTTAGCTCCAGCCACCTTTTTAAGAGTAAATTGCTGGGCAGGTGGGTGAGGGCTAGTCACGGAATGAAACTGTAAGCTGGACCAGGTGTGAGGAAGGGAGGTGATAAAAGGATTATAGGGTGGAGAAGCAGAGGCTGAGGAAGAATTGGGACCTAGCTCGGCCTGGCGAGGAGGGGAGAGGTCAGATGGGTCTGTAGAAAAGGAAGATTAGAAAGACTCAGCGACGCTTGGGGTTGGGACTGAGGGGACAGGCGGGAGGGAAAGAAGGAAGATTTGGGACGATTTGCATTGGGAACAGAGACTAGGAAGGGACTGATGTGTGAAAGAATGCCTGGATGTCAGGCACCTCAGACCGTTTGCCCATTTTACGACAAGAATTATTTAGATCTCGTAGGATGGAAAAATTGAAAGTGCCATTTTCTGGCTATTTGGAATCACTGTTGAGTTTGTATTGGGGTCAAGCGGCATTGCAGAAGAAAATAAGGCATTTAGGTTTTAGGTCAGGTGTGAGTTGAAGAGGTTTTAAGTTCTTGAGAACACAGGCTAAGGGAGAAGAAGGAGTAATGGAGGGTGGAAGGTTGCCCATAGTGAAGGAGGCAAGCCCAGAGAAAAGAGAGAGTAGGGACATGGAGGGAAGAGGTTCGGAGGTTCTTACCCTCCAGAAAAGTGGGAAAGGTGTCGGGGCGCCAAAATAAGGGGTTGGGGTGCAGAGATAAGAGGTCGGGGTGTGGAAATAAGGGATCGGGGCGCAGAGATAAGAGGTCAGGGCATGGAAATAAGGAATTGGGGTGCAGAGATAAGAGGTCAGGGCATGGAAATAAGGGATCGGGGCACAGAGATAAGAGGTCGGGGCACGGAAATAAGGGATCGGGGGGTTCTTGCACCCCAGAAAAGCAGAGAAGGGGTAGAGACAGGGAGAGAAGGGGTTGTGGTTTTTGCCCCTCCCCCAGAAAAGCGGGACTTGCTGCTAAGGGTGAAGGACCGAGGCAGGCATCCCTGCGTGGTCAGACACCTCTGAAACGTGGGTAAATGGAGAGGCGTCCCTGCAATGATTAAACATGAAGGGAAGGCTGGCTTCCCAAGTCTGTGACTGATGCCTGAGTTTTGGGTCCACGGATAAAATGTGTCTTCTTTGTTTCTACCAGAAAATGAAAGCAATTGAAATTAAGAGAAGGGAGAGATTGAAGGGTGGTGCCAAGATTGAAAAGAGAAAGTGGTTGAGGGATAGTGAGAGAGGTTGGAGAAGAGAGTAAGAAGAGGCTGCTTACCCGATTTAAAATTGGTGAGATGTTCCTTGGGCTGATGGGTCTGAGGACCCGAGGTCATAGGTGGATCTTTTTCACGGAGCAAAGAGCAGGAGGACAGGGGATTGATCTCCCAAGGGATCTCCAAGGGTCCCCTGATCCGAGTCACGGCACCAAATTTCATGCGCATCCGTGTGAAGAGACCACCAAACTGGCTTTGTGTGAGCAATAAAGCTTTTAATCACCTGGGTGCAGGCGGGCTGAGTCCGAAAAGAGTCAGCGAAGGGAGATAGGGGTGGGGCCGTTTTATAAGATTTGGGTAGGTAAAGGAAAATTACAGTCAAAGGGGAATTGTTCTCTGGTGGGCAGGAGTTGGGGGTCACAAGGTGCTCAGTAGGGGAGCTTTTGAGTCAGGATGAGCCAGGAGAAGGAATTTCACAAGACAATGTCATCAGTTAAGGCAGGAACAGGCCATTTTCACTTCTTTTATGGTGGAATGTCATCAGTTAAGGCAGGAACTGGCCATCTGGATGTGTACGTGCAGGTTACAGGGGATATGATGGCTTAGCTTGGGCTCGAGGCCTGACACCAAGCTTAATCATTTGTAGCTTTTTATTTATTTATTTATTATTTTTTATTTTTAGATGGACTCTTGCTCTGTTGCCTAGTCTGAAGTTCAGTGGTGCAATCTCTGCTTATTGCAACCCCCGCCTCCCAGGTTCAAGCTATTCTCCTGCCTTAGCCTCCCGAGTAGCTGGGATTACAGGAACCTGCCACCATGCCCAGCTAATTTTTTTTTTTTTTTGTATTTTTAATAGAGATGGGATTTCACTATGTTGGCCAGGCTGGTCTCGAACTCCTGAGCTCAAGTGATCTGTCTGCCTTGGCTTCCCAAAGTGCTGGGATTACAGGTAGAACCACTGCACTGGGCCTGTAGTTTTTGATTTAAAATGAGATGTATGACTCTTCTTTTCACTGGAACAGTAGAAGCCATTATAGGGTTATTTATCAGTCTAATTTCAATATTATTGTGTCTCAGGAACTAGGAGGCCCAAGGAGAAAGAACAAGACAGGGCAAAGGCTGGTTGGTGGAGCAGTCAGAACACATACAACATTTATTGATTAAATTCACCATTCTATGTGATAGTGGATCATGGTGCCTCAAGTGATTACAGTAGTAACATCAAAGGTCACTGATCACAAATCACCACAAAAAATATAATAATAATAAAAAACTTGAAATATTGTGAGAATTATCAAAATGTGACACCAAGCCATGAGGTGAGCACATGCTGTTGGAAAAATGGTGCTGATAGGCTTGCTCCATGCAGGGTTGTGACAAAACTTCAATCTGTAAAAAGGCAATATGTGCAAAGAGCAATAAAGCAAAGCACAATAAAATGAGGTATGACTACATAGCAAAAAGGGCTTCACAGGTGATTAAGTTAATGTTCTTGAGATTATCCTGGATTACTTCTGTGGGTCCAGACAAATCACAAGGGTTCTTATGAGAAGAAGGCATGAGGGGTAGTGTCATAAAAAGCAATGCCATGACAGAAGCAGAGGGAGAGAAAGAGATGTGATGACAGAAGCGGAGATCCAAGTGATGTAGCCATGAGCCATGGAATGCGGGCGGCCTTTTGAAGCTGGGAAAGGCAAGGAATGGATCCTTCCCTAAAGTATCCATAAGGAATGAAGATTATGACACTTTAATTTTAGTCATGTAAGACTCATAAATGTCAGTACATTTCAAAATCTATTTTAGATTTCTAACCTCCAGAAAAAGAAGATAAATGTGCATTGTTTCAAGCCACTAAGTTAGTGAGAATTTATTGGAGCAGAAGTAGGAAGCTAACATAGATTTGGAAGTGAGGTTATGCGCTAACAAATACCTAAAAATGTGGTTGTGATTTCCAGTGGGAAGAGGCTGGAAGAATGTTGAGGAGCATGATAGAAAAGCCTAGATTTCTGTGAACAGATTGCTAGTGGAAATATAGATACTAAGGACTCTGCTAGTAAGGGCTCAGAAGGAAGTGAGGAACATAATAGAGAAAAATTAAATTGTCTTAGAGAATATTAAAGCTATTATAAATAAACTATAGAAATAGGAATACTAAAGGAACTCCTCATAATGGCCCAGATGGAATTAAGGGTTCTTTGTTATTTGGTGGCAGAAGACTCAGCAGAATTTTGTTCTGCAGTCATGTGGGAAATAGAATTTCTAAGCCATGAGCGTGGAGATTTAGCCGAGGAAATTTGCTTGGAAATCCAAGCAAACTGTTGAAAATGTGGCTTGGTTTCTTGTTTCTTATAGTAAAATGTGAGAGGAAAGACATAGATTAAGGGAAGAACTGTTAAACAAAAAGGAACTAGGACTTGATAATTTAGGAAATTCTCAGTCTATTCAGCTTTCAAAAACTGCTAAAGTTAGAAGATTTGATTACAAGAAAGTATGCTCTGGAGAGAATGCCAAAGGTTTGGCTGAGCAGTCTTTTGCTTGTGCCTTGGAACGATTTTAGATAAGGTCAGTATTTTAATCACACAGAAAAGTGTTTGAAAAGATTAAGTATATGACTCATGGATCCCCTCACAGATCTCAATAGGAGCCAGGAATAAAAATGGGATTATCCTGCATATATTTGTGGAAGAGCCTCTTGTTTGATGGATTTACTCCCTGTAACATGTGTGGGAGACCCACAAAGTTTTTGAGAATGTTGTATCAGCAGAAACACTGCCAGCTTGGACTGAAAGAGACAGAGAAAGAACAAAATGATAGAAGTTTGTTTGACTTCCAAAATTCTCCAGTTAGAAAACAGGCTAATAAAATAACTCAGGTTTAGACACATTACCCTTCATGAAAAGAAGGATAACTCTGAGGTCATGGCAGAGCCACGGGCCCAGAGGATGGACCCTCCAGCCACAGAGGATTATTCCTGGGTTTTGAAACATGATAGAATTTTCCCAGTTGGATTGCAAAATGTCATGGGAATAGTGACCCCTTTTTCCCCTTCTATTTTCTCCCAATGAGAATGTCTATATTGATTATCTTATGCCTGTGCCACCATTGTACTTTTTGATCTGATAACTTATTTTCTAGCTTCACAGATCCACAGATGGAGAGGTATTTTTCTCCAGGATAGATTATATCCAGAGCCTCACCCATAGATCCTTTAGATGATAAGGTTTGGGACTTTTAAGCTGATGAGATTTAGATGGTATTTTGTATTTGAATGTATGTTATAAGGGGTTGAGACTATTGGGGCCCTTGCCCTCTTCTCATTACCTTGTCTGACTCTGACCCTTTTTTCCTTCTTTAAGGACTCTTGTGATTACATTGGGTCTATCCAGATAATCCATAATAATCTCTCACTCTCAGGAACCTTAATTGTAGCTTCATAGGTCCATTTGTGATGTGTGTTTATGGTAAAATATTCACAGGTTCTGGTTATTAGGATGTAGCCATCCTGAAAGGGCTATTATTCAGCCTATCATAAACCCCACATGAAACAACCTATTTTGTCTGCATCCCCAAGGTCTTGAATTTTATATGGAGGAAATCAAGACATACTTTTCAAGTAAAGATAAAAATAATATGTTGTTCCCCTCTGTGTGTCCATGCATTCTCATCATTCAGCTCCCACTTGTAAGTGCGAACAGGCAATGTTTGGTTTTCTGTTCTTGCATTAGTTTGCTAAGGATAATGGCCTCCAGCTCCAGCCATGTCCCTGCAAAGGACATGATCTCATTATTTTTTATGACTGGATAGTATTCCATGGTGTATAGGTAGCATATTTTCTTTATCCAGTCTATCATTGATGGGCATTTAGTTTGATTCCATGTCTTTGCTTTTGTGAATAGTGCTGTAATGAACACATGTGTGCATGTCTTTATGACAGAATGATTTATATTCCTCTCAGTATATATGCAGTAATGGGATTACTGGGTTGAATTGTATTTCTGTCTTTAGATCTTTGAGGAATTTCCACACTGTCTTCCACAATGGTTGAACTAATTTTACATTCCCACCAACTGTGTATAAATGTTCCCTTTTCTCTGCAACCTTGACAGCATCTATTTTTTTGACTTTTTAATAATAGCCATTCTGATTGGTGCGAGATGGTATCTCATTGTGGTTTTGATTTGCATTTCTCTAATGATCATTGATATTGAGCTTTTTTTCATATGCTTGTTGGCCACAGGTATATCTTCTTTAGGAAAGTGTTCACGTTCTTTGCCCACTTTTAAATGTGGTTGTTTGCTCTTTTTTGTCATTTTGTTTAAGTCATAGAGGGAAACAACATACACTGGGACCTATCAGAGGGTGGAGGCTGGAAGGGTGGAGAGGATCAGGAAAAATAACTAATGAGTACTAGACTTAGTACCTGGGTGACAAAATAATCTGTACAATAAACCCACATCACACAAATTTACCTATATAACAAACTTGCATATGAACCATGAACTTAAAAGTTAAAAAAATTAAAACTGTGATGTGCAGTACAAACTAAAAAAAAGATAAAAGTAATAACATTAGCATGGTGCATTCCAGTTTATAAGGTGATTTTATCAGAATGAAAAGTAATAACATTAGCACCTTGCATTCCAGTTTATAAGGTGATTTTATTCTAATGATGTTAGTTTTGTTCTTAGTTGACCTCTTTTTGATTTATTATAGATACAAATCCAATCAGAGCTGGAAAAGTGAAATAAGGAAGTTGGATAGATTCTGTTGGACTGGGCTTTGGCTGCAGGAGTTGAGGGAGAGGGTCTTTGGTGATTCCTGGGTTTTTCAGCCTGGGTGATAGGAGGAGTTGAGAGATTATTTAAAAAAAGGAATTAACACAAAGCAAACTGAATTATAATGGAAAGAGTTGAGGGAAAATGATTAATCAGTTAAGCTCAAATATATGGGCTTTTGTTAATTATATGCTCCCCTGAGGGATACAGTTATGAGTGGCATTTATCTCAGGTTGTTTTGGGTCTATATAGGTCTAAAGGAACATATGTAAATAAACGGAAATGCAAACAGGAACTTTGGGAAGCAATTCTTACTTTCATTGTATTTTCAGCTGTTCATAGATATTGACTAAAAAGGACCAGAGATATATTCTTCTCTATGATAAAGGCAAAGTATGAAAGGATGCCTATAAATAAGGAAAGGAATTTTTGCTACTGAAGGTATTATAAAGAAAAAACCACATTGACTCTCAGTCCTTCGTTTCATGACATGTCTTACCTAATTCATTTCCCCCACAAAACATATGTTCACAATACATAGACTTGAGATCTCAGTGAAGTCTTGGCCTGGATTCGCCCTGTCTTAATCTATCTCTTTTATCCCATAAACTATAGGTTACTCAAGCAGACTCAGAACACCAACAGCTATTTCTTTAATTATCCTTGGAGGCATGGACCCTAAAGCTGTGGTTTTATCAAAGAATTATGTATATCTTGATGGTATCACTTTCAGTTTTATTCCAGTTAGTGAGCTGCAAATGAATATCCCATTATTGACAAAGATTAATGGTTTAAAGTCAAGAGGAATTCTAATGAAATGACAATCTTGTCTTCTTTATGGTACAGATGTTTTCCCATTGTAGCAATGACTCAGATTCCTGTTGGATCAAGTTTTTAACAGTCATTTCTATAGTGGCATGAGCTGGAAAATTAGATCTCAGTAAAATCAGCTTTAGAAAGTAGATACTATAATACGGAAAATGAATGAGCCCCATTATGGAAAATCTATGCAATTAATCTCTGTTCATTTAAAGGTATAAGGCTACATCTGAGGATGAAGTAAGAAATTGGGCTTGGTTGTCAAACCCATTTTATGGGGAGAAGTGATACCATGAATACTCTGTGCCCAGGTAAGTGATGGAGGGTCAAAGCAGTGAAATAGGAATCAGAAGTAGAAACATTATTTGCTTAGAGTTATGTATTGTGATGTCATCACTAAATGGGGCCCAGCACACTGTTTTGCAGTCATTATGACCTACCACTATAGTCAGCTGGTGCAGTGTGTGATAATGTTGTTCCCCTTGTCTCATTCCTTTTTTCCCCAGAGCTCTTCTGAAAGAACCATTGTGTTTTCTTGACTCTTGACCTCTCCTATATCTGCTCTAACATGCTAAAACCCCATTATGGATATTTAGATTTCAAAAAATGTGGGTCTAGCTATACCACTTGCTAGCTGGCAAACTTGGAAAAGTTACCTAATCCTCTCTGGGTATTATTATCTTCTTTTAATACCTGCAGCATCTGTTGTCGTGAGCCTTAATTAACATTAAAATTTGTAAAACCTGTAACTCTGTACCTGAAACATAGTAGCCATTTAATAAAAGTTAGTTCCTTCTCCTCTCAACATCCCACACACCTTCAAACATGGTTACACCCTCAGGTGTCAGAGCAACTGCTTCAAAATCTGCTCAGAGTCTTTTGAATTAAAATTGCCTGATGCTTACTGAAGTACATTCCAGCACCCATAGTTGTTATAGTGTGAATCATTCCATGAGTACAGCATGCAGGTATCATTAGAATTCTTTAAGTGTTCACTTTTAGTATACCTTTATCCAATCTCCTGACCCTCACAAGCTTGCGTGTGCTTATGTGTGCATGTGTGCGTGCACACACACACAGCAGTATTCATGAGATTGCCAAGATAATATTGACCCACTAAAATCTGCTCTTTAGTTTTTTTACATTATGTTTACCAAGAGAAATGGCTCAAAAATTTCCCAGAACAATTAATAAAGTGTTTAGGAGTCAAAATACTATTGATTTTCAATCTCTAATTAATTTACATTTATTGTATTTTAGATGGCTTTGTATATGAGTAATAAACTCTTTACCACAGACGAACAGCTTCCAATTAAAACATTTATGAGACAGGACCTGTGGTATGCTGAATAATAGCTCCCAAAAATATCCAGGTTGGAATTCCTGGAAACTGTGAATGTTACCTTTTATAGCAAAAGAGCCTTTGCAGATGTGATGTGAATTAGGATTTTGAGATATGGAAATAATTCTGGGTTATCTGGGTGGACCCTAAATGTAATCACAACTGTCCTTATAAGAGGGAGGTAGAGGGGGAATAGACTACAGAAAGAATAAGGAAATGCAATGATAGAAGATACTAAACTGTTGGCTTTGAAGATGGGAGGAAGGGGCCATGAGCCAGAGCCAATGAGGAATACCCATAGCATAGCCACTAGTAGCTGGAAGAGTCAAGAAACAGATTATTCCCAGATCCTCTAGAGGAGGCAGCCCTTGTGGCACCTTGACTTTAGCCCAGTGAAACTGACTTTTTATTTCTGGCCTCCAGAGCTGAAAGAGAATGCATTTGTATTGTTTTAAGCCACTAAATTTGTGGTAATTTGTTACAGCAGCAAAAGAAACTAATACAGGATCCAAGCAGTACCTGTAGAGGATAATGTGAGCCTTAGTCCTCAATATGGTATTAAATAAGAATGATATGTGTTTAGTCACTTGTCCTTCATGCTTCATTCATGACATCGGGTCATTAAAGAGAGACTTCCATACTGATGTATTCTGTCATTTCCAACCCCTTGTCATCAACTTTGTCACAAAATAGTCTAGATGGCAAGGCTGCTGTTGTTGAATTTCAGATGTTTCTTTGAGTCCCACTCAGTTGAATTTGGCTTGCATTATTTTATGATGGAGGCAGCTTGTCTGATTGTGACAGCTGGAAGAAACTTGGCACTGACAGATTCAGACCCCCAGGTTAACCTCCGCATTGCTTATAGAGTTTTGATAAGTGACAGTTTGTCTCAGTGATTGCCCATTTGGCTCATTGTTCTTCAGGTGAGTGATTCACAGCTGTATGTGGATTTTCTTTTGAAAATTCTCCCACACATACACCTGATTTCTGAGTCAGTGTGATAAGGACAGCTAAGTAACAAATAACCACACTTTTTTTTTCCTTTAGCAATATAGTTATAATAACTCTAAGACAGCGAAGCCTATGAGAGCTGGTAGGTAGAGAGTCAAATGGCTATTGCTGCCTACCTGGTTGTCATACCATTTTTTTCCTGCTTCTATAATTCTAGCTCCCTGCTGCCCTTTCTTTCTGTACAATAATGTAGGCACTGTAAGCTGCACCATTTCACCACCCACATATCACCTTTTATTCTAAATTAAAAGCAAAGGAAATTTCCTTTCCATTTACCTAGAACTCAGGATTTGTTAAATATTTAATGTGTTGTAATTAGAATGTATGCTTTTTAGAGGGTGAAAAACTTGATTTTTCCCATCTACTCTTAACATTTTATTAAATAGAAGATTTCTATTATGTGTTACCTCTTATGACTTTTCCCTCTAAAATACTGAAGTGAATATTACTTTACCTCTTGGGTGACATTTGATTGGCACTGCTAAAGATAGTAATTTGTTTAAATTCTTTAATATTTGGGAGATAATTTTATGACTTCTGGATGACGTAGCCCAGAATGAAGTCATCTGAGGTTGCCGTGCTGAACCTTAGGTGTAGCAGTGTCAGCTTAAGTAGCTGGATGATGCAAACAAACTGGAGGCTTGGGCAATCAGTCAGAATTCATACCTCTGACAAGCAGAACTCAACAATCTTTGTTTTGTAACACCTGAGTTGGAGAGGTGCTCAAATCATGGTCTCTTTTGGTTAGATCCTTTATTCATCTATTGCTGTGTGGCCATTTTACCACAAATTTAGTGCCTTATGCAAAATATTTATTATCTCACAGTTTCGTGTGTCAGGTATTCAAGCATGGCTTGGGTCCTGTGTTTCATGTTCTCTCACAAGACTAGAATCAAGGTGTCACCCAGGAATGGGACCTCGTCTGTGGCTCGACTGGGGAAGGATCTGGTTCCAAGCTCACATGGCTGTTGGCAGAATTCAGTTCCTTGTGGTTTGTCAATGGAGGACCCCAGTTCCTTGCTGAATGCTTTCAATTCCTTGACCGAGAGCCTCAGTTTGTAAGCCTCCCTTAGTTCCTTACCACATGGCCTTTCCATATGGTAGCTTACTTCATCAAAGCCAGAAAGGGAGAGAATCAACAGAGGGTATGTTTGCAAAATGGAAGTCACAATCTTATGTGACATAACTATGGAATTAACATGCCATTGTCTTTGTCATATTCTATTAGCTAGAAACAAACCAGAGGTTCTGCTTCCACTCAAGGGGAGGGGATTACACAAAGGCATGAGAAACAGGGATAATTGGGGGTAATTTCAGAGTTTTTCTGCCATAGGTCCCTAACACAGAAGCGAGTTATAAGACATTGCCAAATTCTTAATGTTTGAGCTTACAAAAAGTAATTATGGGTGAGAATTGATGCATTCAATTTAGGTAAATTATATAATATCATAAAGTCAAGATTATATAAGTTTTAGAGGATTTTACTTGAATTGTCAAATATTTATATATTATTTATTATTATTTTAAAAAGCAGTACCCCAACCATCTTCTTCTCTTCCTCCCAACACCTTCATCTCTTTTATCTAGTTATCTGGGTATTTATCTTTATGTCTCTAATCTATTTGTTTTGCTCCTTTTTAATGTTTCAGTTTTAGACATTATCTATTGACATCCCACTATGGAATATGGCATTCCTCTCTTTCCTACCGCTTACTATAACAGTACCCCACACAAGCACACACATGTTTTCCATGACTATCTCTTTAACACATTAATTGCAAAATTTGGGTTAGATTAGTCTTCTCTATTTACTTGTTATGTTTGTCGACAGACATTATTTATAATGTTACTGATCCATAGGCTAAACCCTGATTCCTCTTCCTTTCCATTACAATGTTTTATTTCCCCTAGGATTAATTATTGTCTTTCCTAATTGTGATTGATTTTCTATGTATATATAGTCAACACAATTCCAGATTCATCTTTTCTTAACATGTTTATGTGTATCAGGTATTCTATATGCTTCATGTCTCTGAAGAATCTCACCTGAGCCTTTCCATTCATTTAAATCCGGACTGGTCACCTTCTACTCCTTCTGATAGGTATCAACCTTGCAATTCTTCTCCATCATTTGGGGATTTTTATTGCCTCTTTCCTTTGTTGGATATCTTGATTTCTGTATGCCATGCCTTTTCTTGTTTTATGCAGCACATCTCCCAGTAATTTCATGCAAATGTCTTTATTCTGTCCTCACTCTTGCTTCATAGACTGGATGTGAAATTCTAGTGTTGAGAATAAATTCCCTAGAGAAATTAAAACAATGACCATATTGTCTTCTAGATGCCATTGTCACTATAAGCTTTGCTTTAGGTTGATTCCATTGGTCCGTTTAGTTGGAGAAGTCTTGACAACAGCATCTTTAGATCTTTCCTTTTGACCGGAACATCCTAGGAAATCCCTCTTTTAAGCTCCTAATGGGAAGTTCTTAGGGCTGTTTAAGGAAAGAGGGCACACAGGAATGTCAACATCCAGTATACCTGTTTTCTCAATCACCTATTTTCATTATCTTACCATACCCTAAACTGTGATTAGTTTAGAGAACTGTTTTACTCTTCTAAGAGAAGAAATCTTCAGTGTTTTGCAAGATTGAGGGACGGATAGTCACCAGGCTATAGAGTGAGAAAGGCATATGGGAATCTAACTGCTTTAAAATATTCTTTCACATAGTTGCTATTTTTGCCTTTTTATTCACCTATTCTTTCAGACATATCTGGTATGGAATTCATGAGTCCTCTGTAGTCTTACCAGGTTGATTTTTAGTTTTTTCTATGGCTAGCTTTGGATCCAGTTCTCAAGTCTGCTTAGTCATTTGTCATGTAACTACTTTATAGCATCCAGAATTTTGTTACTGTAGTTTCCTTTCTTGTTCTGCTTGTCTTTATGTCTTTATGCCTTTACAAATATATTTCTATCATTTTAATGACGTTTTGGGCAAAAGTGAAAGAAGATATACATATCTGTCATCTGACATATTTTTCCCTACCAAGTCTTATGAAATTTCCTCTAATTTGAAGAAATGTCAGATGCAGCACCTTTCTAGAGATTTAGCTAGAGAACTATTATACCAGACAGCTTATCAGTTCCTACTTTCTTGACCTGGCTTGGGAATGCCAATATTAAGCTGGAGAGCCTCATTTTGTGATGCAAGGGAGCATAACTGAAATATAATTTAGCTTCACTTTTGAAATTGGCACAGTTTTCATTAGAGAGTTTGTGTGTGTGTGTGTGTATATGTATGTGTATGCATATATTATGTAATGTATGTGTATGTATGTGTGTGTCTAGAAATACATATACAAATACATTTCTAGATGTAGTCTAATATGTGTATATATTTCTATTTCTAGACTGTTTCAGAGAAATGAGTCTAGAAATGTTGAAGTGTCTTGGGTAAGTTAGTTCTCCCTAGGGATACTCATTTCATTCTATTTTTTAATGTAAGCCAAATAGTATGCTTGTTCCACATGAGCATCCCAATCATCTTTCCTCATTGCATTCTCAGAAACTATGCAGGGGGAAAAGGCCTCCATCTGCCTGTGGAGAGAGGAAGCCAAATTATCCCTCCCACGTTAGCCCACAGAGGACTTTCCTTACTGTTTGATGCATCCTCAGCCTCCAACCCACCTGTCAGAGAACAGGGCTGATTATGTTCATACTTTCTGTTCTTATTTATACATCTATTTTGGTATCATTTAACTTCTATTTAGGAACAAGTTATAAACTTTGGGCCTACAGCAAAGTCAAGCTTGAAATTAACTTCTTTAAAGGCCCAAATCACGTTACTGGTTTTAGTAATCACATTATTCTTGATACGCTATCATTTGTAATTTAAATGTTAACAAATATGCCAGATATACTGGCTATTATTCAGAGACTGATCATAGAAATAATAGGTACATGATACCTGATGCCCCAAACCAAATTTAAAATATTCCTATTTTAGATTTTTCGATTTATCAAACGTTTATGGGGATACTGCCATTATGCCAGGCTTTGCGCTAGGCACTGGGAATATAAAGATGTGGCCTCATATACCTTATAGGATAGTGATGAGATATATTTGTAAATAAATCATTATAAAACAGAATTATGAGACAAGTACAGAAATATATCCTGGGAGTAGAGAACAAAACAGGGAATGACTAACTCTCCCAGGGGAGGAGAACAGGATTCACAATGACTTCACAAAAGCAGTGTCTGAGCTGAGTTTAAATGAAGAGGATTATGACACATGAATAAGGAGGGAGGGGTGGAAATACCATATGTAAAGATACGAGGCGTGAAACAGGATAATATGTTTCAGGGATACTGAAACGTAAAGAAAGGAGATAACCATAACACATGGTGGGTTTCAGTCAAAATATAAAAACATTTTTGAGAAGAGCAATGGATGCCAGTTAGTTAATTCAGTTTCTTTTAAAAAGATTTGAAGCACACAGAATACATTAGACATGATGTTTCATTTACTATTACAAATAATCAACAGTAGTATCAGAGTCAATGCATTTGTATCCCAGGAAACCCTTTAGTTTCAGGCAAACCAGGACAGTTGGCCACTTTATGCCATCTCAACAATGGAATATTTCAGATTGATCTAATTCAAGTCAGGCCAATCAGAATTATTTTCAGGAAATTTAAAACTGGAATCAAGAGAAAGAGAGTCAATGTTTCCTTTAATGGCCAAAGAAACTTTAAGATATAAAACTTAGATGTTTGATGGTTATGTTTCTTGCCTTGTGGAGAAACAAAATTTATAATGAAAGAGAATGAAATCTAAATTGCAAAAATGGTGCTGGGAAAACTGGATATCTGTATGCAGAAGAATGAAATTAGACCCTGTCTTTCACCATGTGCAAAAATCAAATGAAAGTGGATTAAAGACTTAAATCTAAGACCTGAAACTATGAAACTACTAAAAGAAAACATTGGGGAAACTCTCTAGAACATTGTTCTAGGTGAAGATTTCTTGAGTAATAACCCCAAAGCACAGGCAACCAAAGCAAAAATGGACAAATGTAATCACATCAAGTTAAAAAGCTTCTAGCCTAGGCAACATAGGGAAACTCTGCCTCTACAAAAAAAAAAAAAAAATTAGCTGGGTTTGGTGGTGCATGCCTATGGTCCCAGCTACTTGGGAGGCTGAAGTGGGAGGATTGCTTGAGCTTGGGAAGTTGAGGCTGCAGTGAGCCATAATTGTACCACTACACTCCAGCCTGAGCGATAGAGCAAGACGCTGTCTCAAATAAAAAAAAGGCAATCAAACAAAACCTTCTGCATAGGAAAGTAAGCAATCAACAAAGTAAATAGATGACCCACAGAATGGGAGACAATATTTGCAGACAACCCCTATAACAAGGGATTAATAACTAGAGTGTATAAGGAACTCAAACAACTCAACAGGAAAAAGATACAACAATCTGATTTAAAAATGGGCAAAAGATCTGAATAGACATTTCTCAAAAGAAGACATACAAATGGCCAACAGGTATATGAAAAGGTGCTCAACATCATTGATCATCAGATAAATGCAAATAAATCCGCAATGAGATATCCTCTCACCCCAGTTAAAATGGCTTTTATTAAAAAGACAAGCAATAACAAATGCAGGCAAGGATGTGGAGAAAAGGGAAAACTCATACACCATTGGTGGGAATGTAAATTAGTACAGCCACTATGGAAGACAATATGGAGGTTCCTCAAAAAACTAAAAATAGAACTACCATATGATCCAGCAATCCCACTGCTAGATATAAACTCAAAAGAAAGGAAATCAGTATATCAAAGAGATACCTGCACTCCCATGTTTACAGCAGCACTATTCATAATAGCCAAGATTTGGAAGCAACCTAAGTGTCCATCAACAGATGAATGGATAAAGAAAATGTGGCACATATACATGATGGAGTTCTATGCAGACATAAAAAGTGAGATCCTATCATTTGCAACAACATGGATGGAACTAGAGGACGTTATATAAAGTCAAATAAGCCAGGCACAGAAAGACAAACTTTGCATGTTCTCACTCATTTGTGGGATCTAAAAATCAAAACAATTGAACTTATGGGGACAGAGAGTAAAATGATGGTGACCAGAGGCTGGGAAAGGGTAGTGTTGGGGGCGGGGATGGGGAAATGATTAATGAGTATAAGAATATGGTTAGATACAATGAATAAGATCTAGTATTTAATAGCACAACAGGGTGTCTGTAGTCGGCAATAATATGTTGTACATTTGTGAATAACTGAGGGAATACAATTGGAATGTTTGTAGCACAAAGAAATGATGAATGTTTGAAGTGGTGGATACCTCGTTTACCCTGATGTGATTATTACACATTGTATGCTTGTATAAAAGTATCTCATGTACCTCATAAATATATACACCTACTATGTACCCATAAAAATAAAAAAATACAAGATTTAAAAAAAGCAGCAGCAGCATATCTGTTGTTGGTTCATTTTTATTGAGGCTCATCTATATACTATTGTTTAGCATTTCCCTGGATTCCAAGAGATAATACATTCCAGTTTATGATTAAGCTAGTTTGAGTTGGATTTTGCAACCCCAAAGTGCAAACCCACTTGCAACCCCAAAGTGTCTCAACTGGTGTCAGGAAGTGGTGGCACAACCAAGAGATTCTAAGATATGAAATAGGCAAAATGGATCAGGAGCCTGGTTAGAATTTCTATATACCAGGTTGAGAAACAATTATTGAAGTGTGGTAACAAAGTTAAACTATAATGTGTTGTTTCTTGGGACTTAGACCACGTACTCACCAAAGGTCACCTTTGTAGAAATAATCAGAATAGTAGAGTTTGTAGGTTTCTTGCATTCCTTACAAGATATTACAAGTAAGAGATAAGCACCAGTTCAGCAGGTGGGGATTGGAAGACTGCTCTGTAGTCATTAAGCAAAACTTTCTGCTTCAAGTCAATGACCTGAGACTGTCAAGGGCAATCACATGTTTTATTGAATTGCAGAACATAAATTCTCTAGCATATTCTAAAGTTAGTTTCCAGTTAGGAACAGGATCCTAGCAATTAGAATGGGAATACAGTAGTTCCCCTTTATCCAGGGTTTCACTTTCGTGGTTTCAGTTACCTGTGGTACCACTACAAAAGTAATGATGCTGGCAATTGGGATATGCTAAGGAGAAGCTGTAAAGTGCTTTAAGTGAAAAGGTGAAAGTTCTCAATAAAGAAAAAAAATATTATGTGCTGAGGTTGCTAAGATCTATGGTAGGGATGAGACTTCCATTCATGAAATTGTAAAGAAGGAAAAAAAATTCGTGCTCGCTTTGTTGTTGCACCTCAAACTGCAAAAGGTACAGCCACAGTGTGTAATAAATCCTTAGTCAATATGGCAAAGGCTTTCAGTTTGTGAGTAGAATACATGAAAAGAAGCATGTTCCTATTGATGGCAGTTGGATTGGGTACTATCCTCAGTTTCAGGCATTCACTGGGGGTCTTGGAACTCACCCCTATGGGTATGGGGAGACTACTGTTTCTTGCAAATAAATACCAGAAATATCAGGGCTTTTGGTTCCTCTGGGTTCATTCCAAGCACTTGGCTGAGTAAACCCTGCCTGATCAAGGGATGCCTCTTTTGTGAAGTATCCCTCTAGGAGGAGAGATGACTAATTTTAAAAATTACAATGTTAAAAAAATGAAGCATTGTTAATTTTTTTGATATTTTAAAAGTTGTCTTCTGTGCAAACCTTGGTAAACTCACAAATACATTAAAAAATTAAGCATGAATTTAGTCAGAAGGTTTAACTCTCTAAGCTCAAAATAGTTCTGTTACATTAATTTCCAACTTACAAAATAGACTGAGAAAGGAAAACCTTTTACTTTCATTTTAAGGCAGCTGGATTTGTAATCCATATTTAAAAGGTGCTTTCAGGGTTAGAATAATTATATGCAGGAAAATGCAAACAGCTTATTTTAAATATGCTTGAAGGCAAAGATTTCTCTGAATTAAACCTTCAGGTTACATTTATCAGTGCCAGCACCTGTGTGTTGAAATTAAAATGGAATAACTTTATCAAAATTCATTTTACTCTTCTACATTTTAGTTACTTGCATTGATGAATATACACTCTATCCTGAAGTATAAAATCTTGAGCAAGTCTTACAAATTACTTAATTTTTGTATCGTTTAGCAAGTAAGGAGATTTGACCAGAAGTTACGGGATATTTAAAACAGCAATACAAGAAGACTCTGTTCTTTCACATTTATTAAGGGTATTGTTTTCATTCTGTCAATATTTATTGTGCAACCACTGTGCATAATGCATTATTATTGTTGGTATTTCTTAACGGCTTCTCAGGTGCTGGACTAAGGGCAAAGGGGATGAAAAGGCATATATTTTTACTCTCCAGGATTTTATAGCTTAAGAAAGTCAGCACTGAAGAGATAGAGCTGAGCAAAACATAAATTAAGTAAGTAATTATTTATGAAAAGAATCACTGTTATTTGAATGGTAGATTCATGGATGGCACAATTTTAGAAAGAAAAAACACATGGAAAAATGGTGACTTCTCTTCCATTAATTGAAGAATTTACAGAAGTAGAATTTCAGCAGTGTGTGTGCACATGTGCACACATGCACACACACGTATGTGTCTGTGTGAAGTGGGTGGCAGGGGGGCAATGAAATGTTCCCAAGTATAGAATGGAACTTGGGAGACTCACTGGCACACTGCCTGTGTCATTGAATGAATCTGAATGAATGAAAAAATAAGTGAATGAATAAATTTGAAAAATAAGAAAATCTGTTAGAGCTAATAAAGAGCACGCACATGTGCTTGCGCACGTGCGTGCACACCCACACACACACACAGAACAGCAGTAGGAAGAAAACAAGCTAGATAAGATAGTCCAGCACAATCTGATAAAGAAAACCATGGGCAGAGTGTGTATATCTGGATATCTATTAAGTAGTGTGAAGTCATCATAGGCCTTAAGGAGAGAAATCGATGGTAATTTATTATATTCCAGAAATAGTCATATTTAGCTGAAACATTAAGAATGAGTAAGCATTAAGCAGGTAAAAAAGAGGAAAAAGAAATTTTCCAAGAATGAAACAGCATGTCCCAACTACAGATAAGACGCAATGTTAGATTCATAAACCCGAGGCTTAAATATATAGCAAAGGAACTTATTGTTTGCTGTAGAGTGTTATTGCTTCGGGAACCTTTTAGTAGGTAATGGTAGAAAGCATTTTTTTTTCTTAAGTCATGGATTTATTCTCTTCAGCCACAAATTCTGTCTGTTCCTCAATCCATATTTGTATTTCCTTTCTTTCATGGTGAAAATCCCAGTTCCCAATAGTGTCAGTGTAACCGCCTATTTACTCATTTTTAACACATGTACATGTGCTTGTGCAACACACATGCACACACGGACACACACACACTTAAATTGCTGTACAATACCAGCAATGCCACCAAATTTACCAAGTGAAATTCAAGGTTTATTTGCGGTTATTTTGGTCCTTAGAATATTTCCACTGAGGGTGGAAACAGTATTGTATTCAAAACGTTCTTGGATTAATTTGTTTTTATTTTATTCTATATAGTTATCTATTTGATATATAATTAGGTTTATATGTTTTTGTTTTTAGCAAATTATAAGGACTTTCCACAACATTCTTGTTGATTTAGTTTTGTTTTTATTATATAAAATATTAATATGTCATCAAAACTATATAAACAGGTATACTCAGAGAAATCCTACCTCTTTCCTATACCTTCTGCTCTTTCTACCCACCCCATATAGGTAATCTAACGTTTTTCTGGTTTATCCTTCCTATGTTTTCTGCCCCGTTTTTCTTAATCAAAAGCATGCTATGTATGCATACATTTTTGCTTATAGATTTAAAAAAATTAATAGACTTTACTTTTTAGAGTAAATTTAGGTTTACAGAAAAGTTTAGCAGAAAGTACAGAGTTCCCATATACCTGCTACCTCTCCCATTTCTCCTGTTATTAACATCTTACATTAATGTGGTATATTTGTTAAAATTGTTCAACTGATATTGATACATTATTATTAACTAAAGTTCATTGTTTATATAGGGTTTTACTCTTTGTGTTGTGCAGTTCTGTGGCTCTTGACAAATCCATAATGTCATGTAGCCACAGTTACAGTAACATATAGAATAGTTTCACTACCCTAAAAACCTTTTGTGGTCTCCTTATTCATCCCTTGCTTTATCCCCCAGAACTTTGGCAACCACTGATCTTTTCATTGTCTCCATAGTTTTGCCTTTTCAGAATGTCATATAGTTGAAATTATACAGTAAGTAGCCTTTTCAGACTGGATTATTTTACTTAGTAATATAAATTTAAGGTTTCTTTATGTCTTTTCATGCTTTGAAAGCTTATTTCATTTCACCACTGAATAATTTTTCATTGCATGGATATACCACAGTTTGTTTATCTGTTCCACTGACTGAAAGACATTTTAGTTGCTTCCAAGTTTGGGTAATTATGAATAAAGCTGCTATAAACATTCCTGTGCAGATTTTTCTGTGGGTTTATTTTCATTTGGATAAATTCTCAAATGAAATAAATCCAGTGTGATGACTAGACCACATGGTAGGATTGTGCTTAGCTTGTAAGAAACTTCCAAACTGTTTTCTAAAGTGGCTGTACCATTTTGCACTTCCACAGTAATGAATGAGAGTTCCTGTTGCTCCACATCCTCACCAGCATTTGGTGTTGTCAGTGTTTTATATGTTAGTCATTCTGGTAGATGCGTAGTGGTATGTCATTGTTGTTTTAGTTTGCAGTTCTCTAGTGACATATGGTATTCGCATCTTTTCATGCAATTATTTGGCATCTGTATATCTTCTTTGGTGAAGTAGCTGTTAAGATCTTTTGCCCATTTTAAAAATTGGGTTATTTGTTTTCTTATGTTGTATTTTAAGTGTTCTTTGTATATTTTGAATACCAGTCCTTTATCAGATATGTGTTTTGCCAAGATCTTCTCCAAGTCTGTGGCTTGTCCTTTCATTCTCTTAAGAGTATCTTTCACAGAGCAGAATTTTTCAATTTAAGTTTAAATGAAGTCTAATTTATCAATTTTTATTTTATATATCATGTTTTCAGTGTTGCACCTAAAATGTTATTGCCAAACCCAACACTATCTAGATTTTTTTCCTGTTATCTTCTAGAAGTTTTATAGCTTTTCATTTTACATTTAGGCTTATGATCCATTTTGAATTAATTTGTGAAAAGTGTAAGACCTGTGTCTAATTTTTTTTTTTACATGTGGATGTTCAGTTGTTCCAGCACCATTTGTTGAAACGCTATCTACATTGACTTGCTTTGCTACTTTGTCAAAGATCTCTTGAGCGTATTGGTATGTGTTTATTTTTGGATTTTATTCTGTTCCACTAATATGTTTGTCTATTCTTTCACCAATACCACACTGTCTTGATTATTGTAGCTTTATAGTACACCTTGAAATCGAGTAGGAATGATATGAAGCTTTTGTTTTTCACTTAACAATATATCGTAGACTCCATAAAATGACTCTACATCATCTTATAGGTATCTTCCTAATGACATTTGGAGTTTTTCCAAGTGATTTTATCATGAGATGAACAACGAACCATATATGTATTAATTTATAAATTGTGAAATTTATGAATCTACTTAAAAAAAATTTCTCTTTTTAATTTATTTTTTATTTCAACTTTTATTTTAGATTCAAGGGGTACATGTGCAGGTTTGTTACATGGGTATGTTGTGCTTTGCTGAGTTTTGGGGTACAAGTGATCCCTCCACCCAGGTAGTGAGCATAGTGCCCAGTAGGTAGTTTTTAAATGCTTGCTCCCCTTCCACCCTCCGCGCTCTAGTAGTCCCCAGTGTCTATTGTTACCATCTTTTAAAAAAGTTTTATTTTATTTTAAGTTCTGGGATACATGTGCAGGATGTGCAGGTTTGTTACATAGGTAAACATATGCCATGGTGGTTTGCTGTACCTATCAACCCATCACCTGGGTATTAAGCCCTGCATGCATTAGCTCTTTATCATGATGCTCTGTCTCCCCCAACCCTCCCCCGACAGGCCCCAGTGAGTGTTGTTCCCCTCCCTGTGTCCGTGTATTCTCATTGTTCAGCTCCTATTTGTAAGTGAGAACATGCGGTGTTTGGTTTATTATGAATCTAATTTTAAGTGGCATATCTTATTTAGGCCAGGTAGACCCTTTAAAAAAATCTGAATCTTTCATTAGTGAGGCACCACCATGCATAAGACAGTGATAGCAATGAATTCTGGCTGGAACTTCTCAGGAGAAAAGAATCAATAGCCAATGTAGTTTAATGGATTTTTCTCTACATGTTTTTGCAGTGCACATTAGACTGTGAGCACTGATGACTACCACTACGTTCAGTGGGAGTTTTGTCTTTATGAGATATCTGTTCTACTGCAGAAGCAAGTGCATATTAAAATTTGATTTAATCAGTAAATATTAAATTAGAAGAAAAGAGGAAGTGAGTTTGAAGTTTTGCTATATTTGTATCTAGCCATGCATAACACTTTGACCACATCAGATAACAAAACAAAAGCTGATTTTAGTAATTTGTTAAAACGTCAACTTCTATAGGCTACTTCTGAATTTAGGGATTTCCTGATAATAAATAATTTATGTAAACCTTACTTTTTTGATTATAAACAGAGCTCATTTGTTAAGCACAGAAGCACTATTTCCCCCCCACTTTGAGATATTCCTAGTAACAAAAGTTTGAAAGCAAACAGTTTGCTTTGTAAAGACCCTGTTCCTTTAATTTCAGAGCTTTCTAAGTATGCATTCCAAGGACAAAACTAAGATTAATGAGTGGAAGTTTGGGAGAGGCAGGTTTTAGCTTAATATATGAAAGCTGTTCCACTGTACTTGCCTTGAGAAAGCATGAGCTTCTTAGTGGACATTTTCAAGCTGAAGCATAGATTTCCCAGAGATGCTGAAGAAAGAAGTTTGGCACTAGGAATAGGTTGAGCAAAATAACATGTAAGATCTTTTTATGGTCTAAAATTCTATGGATTAAAAATTAATTATTAATTTTTGGTATGTGTTTGTTGAAAACCATTAACTCTTTACAATTTTAGTCTTAAAATTGTTACTTTATGTTTCACTAGACATGGATAATTCTGTAGGTCTTAATATAATTATGCTCTTATTATTTTAAGATATTACATTTATGATGCTTTGGTCAGCTGAGGTTTTATTTATCTTTTACAGTATCATGTTTAATGTCATTACTTTTTGTTGAAACTCCATATAGAAATATTACAGATGGTTGGAAAATAGAGGGTAAGTCCATCCATAGTCTGACAATTCTTTTTTTTTTTTTTTAGATGAAGTCTCACTCTGTCACCCAGGCTGGAGTGTAGTGGCATGATCTCAGCTTACTGCAACCTCCACCTCCCGGGTTCAAGCGATTCTTCTGCCTCAGACTCCTGAGTAGCTGGGATTACAGGTACCTACCACTGTGCCTAGCTAATTTTTGTATTTTTAATAGAGGCAGGGTTTCACCATGTTGGCCAGGCTGGTCTCGAACTCCTGACCACACACAGTGATCTGCCCACCTCAGCCTCCCAAAGTGCTGGGATTACAGGTGTGAGCCACCGTGCCCATCTCATAGTCTGACAATTCTAATGCTTTTATAGAAAATTATTGGTACTCACAACTTTGAATAAAAATGTCCAAAAAAGGGCTGGGCATGGTGGCTCACGCCTGTAATCCCAGCACTTTGGGAGGCTGAGGTGGGCAGATCATGAGGTCAGAAGTTCGAGACCAGCCTGGCCAAAATAGTGAAACCATGTCTCTACTAAAAATACAAAAACTAGCCAGGCATGTTGGCACGCATCTGTAGTCCTAGCTACTCGGGAGGCTGAGGCAGGAGAATGGCGTGAACCCGGGAGGCAGAGCTTGCAGTGAGCTGAGATCGCGCCACTGCACTCCAGCCTGGGTGACAGAGCGAGATTCCATCTCAAAAAAAAAAAAAAAAAGTCCAAAAAATATTTGTTGAAAGACCAGTGTGTAGGAACCAGTCATTTAACTTATGAATAACTCTGGATGCCTGGTATCTTCTCTCAATGTAGTTGTTTATTTTTTAACATTCATTTTGCCATCATGTATATGATGACTATCCTGAACTGGCTAAAGTTTTGGCTTTATTTAGCATTAAAATTCAGTTAGGTAGAATCAGATAAGGTCAGCTTTAATTTTATTGCAATAGTATGCTGGATACCAATGTACTTTCTAAAAACATGCTGTGATATATCCCATCTTACCGCCAACCATACAAAACAAAATCTCTTGACCCCAGCTGTCACAACACAATAGCTTCAATCTCTGAACCCTTTCACAGTGACATATTTTGAAAGAGATATCTACTGTCATTATTGTTTCTGGTTTTTTTACACTTAGATTTTGTCCTGTCTCTGCTTTAATGGGCAGTCCATCACAACCAGTACTCCAACAGTTCTTTTGTTAAGTCTACCATTTAAATATCCATGATTATGAATCCAATGATCACTTCTCTGACCTAATGTATTTTATTTTTTTCCTTTCAGCATTATTTGATAAAGTGTGATTGTTTTCTCTTTCTTGAAATACATTCTTCTGTTTGTTTAAATGACTTTATACTATTTTTCCTTATTCTTCCCTCCTTGACTGCTCTTTTTAAGTCTCCTTTGCAAACTCCTCTTCCTCTGCTGTACCTCAAATATGTCAGTTGTATTTTCCAGGGATTAGGCACAGAAAACCTTGTATTTTCAATTAACACACTTGCCCAAAGTAATACATCCAGTACTTTTGCTTTACATACTGCCTACATGCCAATGACTCTGTTACTTCTAGTTCTGAATTGTGCCTGCAGTTTGAGACATGTATAACCATCTGCTAACCTGATATCACCATTCAGGTGATGAGTAGGCAGTTAAAACAACTTATCCGAAGTAGAACACATGCTTTTCCCCATCCCGTCATTCCAACTGGTTCCTCCCATAGACTTCCCCTGCTTAATAAACGACAACCCACCATCAGCTTAGTTCGTCAAGTCAAAAACTTAAAGTCATCCCTGATTCATTTCTTTTTCTTTTCCTTTTTTTTTTTTTTTTGACAGAATCTTGCTCTGTCACCCAGGCTGGAGTGCAGTGGTGCGATCTCAGCTTGCTGCAACCTCTGCCTCCTGGGTTTAAGCAATTCTCCTGCTTCAGCCTCCAGAGTAGCTGGGACCACAGGCATGCACCACCATGCCCAGCTAATTTTTGTATTTTTAGTAGAGACAGGATTTCACCATGTTGCCCAGGCTGGTCTTGAACTCCTGACCTCAAGTGATCCTCCCACCTCAGCCTCCCAAAGTGCTGGGATTACAGGCATGAGCCACTGCGCTGGGCCTCATCTCTTTTTCTTACCCTCAACCTGATCCATTAATAATTCCTGTTAACTCCACTTTAAAAAATATGACCGCTATCTGACCACATCTAACTTCTTTTGCCACTATCCCAGCCTTCTTCAATTCTCACCGGATTATTGTAACAGCCTTCTAACTAGTCTCATTCCTTCTTCTGTTATTCCCCTCCTACAATCCATTTTACTCACAGCATCCAGAATGTTCTTTAAAAATTGCCAATCAGGTTCTTCCCATGCTTAAATCTCAGTGATGACTTTCTTATATACTTAACAAGCAAAATTATAAAAAACTTCCCACTTTTAACAACAAATTTTCACAGAATTTGACTCTCATCTATCTCGCCAACCTAATCTCCTAACAATTTATCCCATTTTTTATCTTAAAATGCCCACCATACCCCAGTTGTACTGGCTTTTGTTGTTCTTGCCTCTTAAACATATTCCATGAGTTTTCTATTGCTGTGTAACAGATTACTACACACTTCATGATTTAAAAAACACCCATTTGTTATCTCAGTTTCTGTGTGTCAGGAGTTCAGGCATAGCTTAACTGGGTCCTAAATTGGTACTGAGAGTGGGGCACTGCTACAAGGATACTTGAAAATTTGGACGCAACTTTGGAACTTTGGCAGAGGTTGGAACAGTTTGGAGGGCTCAGAAGACTGGAAAATGTGGGAAAGTTTGGAACTTCCTAGAGACTTATTGAATGGCTTTGATCAAAATGCTCATAGTGATATGGACAATGAAATCCAGGCTGAGGTGGTCTCAGATGGAGATGAGGAATTTGTTGAGAACTAGAGTAAAGGTCACTCTTGCTATGCTTTAGCAAAGAGACTGGCAGCATTTTGCTCCTGCCCTAGAGATCTGTGGAACTTTGAACTTGAGAAAGATGATTTAGGGTATCTGATGGAAGAAATTTCTAAGCAGCAAAGTGTTCAAGAGGAAGTAGAGCATAAAAGTTTGAAAAATTTGCAGCCTGACAATGCAATAGAAAAGAAAAACCATTTGCTGGGGAGAAATTCAAGCCTGATGCAGAAATTTGCATACGTAGTGAGGAGCTGAATGTCAGTCACTAACACAATGGGGAGGAAGTCTCCAGGGCATATCAGAGACGTTCATAGAAGGCCCTCCCATCACAGGTCCAGAGGCCTGGGAGGAAGTATGGTTTTGTAGGGTGGGCTCAGGGCCCTCCTGCTCTGTGCAGCCTTGGAACATGGTGCCTTGCATCGCAGCTGCTTCAGCTCCAGCCATGGCTAAAAGGGGCAAAGGTACAGCTTGGTCCATTGCTTCAGAGGGTGCAAGCCCCAAGCCTTGGTGTCTTCCACATAGTGTTGAGCCTATGGGTGCACAGAAGTCAAGAATTGAGGTTTGAGAATCTCTGCATAGATTTCAGAGGATGTAGGGAAATGCCTGGATGTCCATGCAGAAGTTTGCTACAGGGGCAGAGCCCTTATGAAGACCCTCTGCTAGGTCAGTAGGGAAGGAAAATGTGGGGTTGAAGCCTCCACACAGAGTTCCCACTGGGGCAGTGCCTAGTGGAGCTGCAAGAAGAGGGTCACCATCCTCCAAACCTCGGAATCATAGATCCACTTACAGCTTGCACTGTGCACCTGGAAAACCGGCAGACACTCAACACCAGCCTGTGGAAGCAGCCAGTATGGGGGCTGTACCCTGCAGAGCCACAGGGGTGGAGCTGCCTAAGGCCATGGGAGACCACCTCTTGCATCAGTGTGACCCAGATGTGAGACGTGGAGTCAAAAGGAGATTATTTTGGAACTTTAAGATTTGATTGCCCCATTGGATTTCAGACTTGCATGGGGCCTGTAGCTCCTTTTTCTCCCATTTGGAATGGCTATATTTACCCAATGTGTGTGCCCTCATTGTATCTAGGAAGTAACTAACTTGCTTTCGATTTTACAGGCTTATAGGTGGAAGGGACTTGCCTTGTCTCAGATGAGACTTTGGACTGTGGACTTTTCAATTAGTGCTGAAATGAGTTAAGACTTTAGGGTACTGTTGGGAAGGCATGATTGGTTTTGAAGTGTGAAAAGACATGAGATTTGGGAGGGGCCAGGGGTGGAATGATATAATTTGCCTCTGTGTCCCCATCCAGATCTCACCTTGAATTTTAATCCCCATAATCCCCATGAGTGAAGATTGGGACCAGGTGGAGGTAATTAGATTATGGCGGCGGTTTCCCCTATGCTGTTCTCATGATAGTGAGTGAGTTCTCATGAGATCTGATGGCTTTTTAAGCATCTGGCATTTCCCTGCTTGCACTCACTCTGTCCTGCCGCCCTGTGAAGAAAGTGCCAGCTTCTCCTTTGCCTTCCACCATGATTGTAAGTTTCCTGAGGCCTCCCTAGCAATGGGGAACTGTGAGGCAATTAAACCTCTTTCCTTTATAAATTATCGATTCTTGGGTATTTCTTGATAGCATTGTGAGAATGGACTAATAACAGGTCCTCTGTACATGGTCTCACAAGGCTGCAATCAAGTTGTCTTTTAAGACTGTGGTCTCCTCTGAAGTTCAGTTGTTCTCTGCCAGGCTCATGTGTTTTTGGTTAAATTCACTTCTGAGGTTGTAGAACTGAGGCCTCTATTGTCTTGTAGACTATTGGAGGAGAGTTGCTTTCAACTTGAGGCTGGTCTCAGATTCTAGCCACATGGCTGTCTCAGTGCATGACTGCTAACTTTCTTAAAGCCAGCAGATGAATTTTTCTGACCTCAGGTGAGCAGACCTGATCCTTACCTGATCAGGTCTGGCTCAGCCAGGATACTCTCCCTTTTGATTAACTTGAGCTAACCCAGCTTGATTACATCTACATAACTTCTTTGGCCAGGTAACATAACATAATCACAAGAGTGATGTTGCATATTATTCACAGATTGAGCTGACATGTGAGGGGAGGATTAATATACAGGGTGTGTAAATCAGAGAGTAGGAATCTTAGAGCCATCTTAAAATTCTGCCTGCCACACGCACTAAGCTTACTCTTGTATTCTTCTTTGCATTATTTGATCCCTCTGCCTGGTTCTTAATCTCTACATGGCTGGCTCTAATTGTTAGCCTGGTTTCATCTTAAAAGAGATCTTCTTAGAGAGATTTGTCTTAACAATCCAGTCTAATTATTAGGAATTCAAACATGAATAAGACATGTTTTGTGTTTTAAATAGAATAATCTAGTGGTAGAGTGAAAGATGGATTTGAATAGTTTAAAACTAGAAACCAAAATATCAAATAGGGGATATTTACAATAGTGTAATGTAGGAACATTGAAGATGAGGAAGTAGAGGATTGTGAATTGGGGGAAGAAAATTTCTTCAGTTTGAGGAAAATTTGAATTGAGATGATTTTAGGGCTAAAAAGTCTAAATAACTAGTCCAAGATCACATAGGTAATTTTTTTATACACAATGGAACCCTTAAAATATATTACTTGTAAGAAATTCACAACTTTTGTAACTTGCATTTTCTCTCTTTTTTTTTTTTTAAATTTAGCACTTGCTCATGTAATTATTATTATTATTTTAGAGACAGTATCTCAGTCTGTCACCCAGGCTGGATTGTGATGGTGCAATCATAGCTCACTGCAGCCTTGGACTCCTGGGCTCAAGCAATCCTTCCACCTCAGCCTTCTAAGTAGTTCTAAGTAGTTTGGACTACAGGTGTGCACCACTATACTTGGCTATGTTTTTTTCTAGAGACCAAGTCTTGTTATGTTGCCCAGGCTGGTCTCGAACTCCTGGCCTCAAGTGATCTTCCCACTTCAGCCTCTTAAAGTGCTAGGATTACAGGCTTGAGACACAGTCCTTGGTGCCTTTTTTCTTTATATTGATATTTTCCGAAAACGATCAGTCTCTCATCAAGAGGCATTTGTTATTTTGGGAATATCCTTTCCACTGTAAAGAACTAGAAAAATGGACACAGTATATAAAACAGATGTTTTCAGTTGTTGGCCATTAGGCGATACATGTCTGTAAATTCTGAGATAAGAGAAACAAATGAGGTGAGCCTTACAATTACCCACCTATGTGTTTGAAGGTGGTTTATAGACTACAAAGCAGGGAGAGAGTTCTTGATGAGGAGACAGAGTTTAGATTTCAGGTAGCTTGAATTTGCTAGGATTTGTAGCTCAGGGTATTGGAGAGGTGGGAACTGCACACAGTGAGGCTGGGGAAGGACCCACTGAAAAGCAATACTCAGCGGTTCTCAGAGCTCCCACAGAGTGGGGAATGTTTTATATTCCCAACAGTGAAAAGAAGAGACCTAAATTGTAAGATACAAGGCACTGGAAGAGTACTCAGAAGAGTCTCTCCTTAATAATGGGGATAATGTGGCCTTGAAAAAAGATTGTTCTGGAATTATCCTAACAAAGTTTAAAGGAAGCCTCAAAGTAATGAAACTGATCTGCATATTAATTAACTATGTCCTGGTTATAAAGAATATAACAAAATCTGGCACCTAACAATGTAAAATTCACAATGTTCACCAAACAGTAAAAAATTATTTTGTGTGTAAAGAAGCCATAACCTGGAGAAAAATAAATAAATCAGTAGAAACAGAGACAATAGATTTAGCAGCAAAGCTGTTTACAAAATAGCTGTTATATTATGTATATATAAAACAGTGTTATAAAATGCTCAAGCACATAAAGGGATACATGAGCATGAGGAGAGAAGTGTAAGAAAAAAATGACTCAAGTGGAACTTCTGGAGATAATGAATATGATAGCTGAAATGAAAAGTGTACTAGATGAGATTAATAACAGAGATAGGACTGAAGCAGAAAAGATTAGTGAACTTGAGGATCTAGCAATAGAAACTAAAATGAAGTACAGAAAGAAGAAGGATTGAAAAAAAATAGAACAGAGCATCAGTGAGCAGTGACCAACTCAGCCACTAAGCTATGTGTAACTGACATCCTGAAAGGGAGGGAAGAAAGTAGAAAAATTAGTTGAGAAAATAATGTTTGAAAATTTTCAACATTTGATGGAAACTCTAAGCCCACAGATCCAATAAGTTGAATAAACTGTATGCAAAATAAACTTAAAGGAGCCACATTGAGTCATATTTAAAATAAAATTATTGAAAATCAGTGATGTAAAGAAGAATCCTAAAAGCAGCCAGAGAAAAAAGGTATATTACTTACCAGAGTACTATGTATAAAAGAATAAAACCAGACTTTTTCTTATAAACTCTGTGAGTCTGAAGTGATGAAATGATATCTTTAAAACACTAAAAGAAAAAACTATCAAGTTATAATTTTATTTGCATTTAAATTATATTTCATAAGTGAAGGTAGGGTAAAAGCTTTTCAGACAAACACAGACAGAATTCACTGTAAACACATCTTTCTCATAGAAAGATTAAAGGAAGTTATCCAGGCAAAAGGCAAAAATGATATCAGATGGAAAGTTTGCTCTACCAAAAAATGAAAGGTTCCACAATGATAAATAGGTGCATAAATGTAAGAGAAATTTGTCTCATTGTTTTTAATCTTCTTAAAGGAGATTAAAATCTTCTGTGTACAGTAAAAATAATAAAATGTATTGTGTGATTTCTAACATGTACACTTAAAATATATGGCAACAACAGCACAAAAATGATAGGAGGAAATGAAAGTATACTGTTCTAAGGTTTTCATAGTATGTGTGAAGTGGTTTGAGTTACTTAAAATGCTTTTTAGAGTAATTTTTAAATAATGTAAATGAACCCTTACATGTCTATAATTGTCATACTTATTTTCTTACATGTGAGTGATATCTTGCTTGGTAATAGGATTCTTGATTCATAGTTTTATTACAAGAAAAACTTAAGACAATTTAAATTTAATGTAGCTTAATTGAACAAAGACCAATTCAGGAATCAGGCAGCACTCAGAACCAGAAGAGGTTCAGAGAGCTCTGCCCAGCAGCATGAGCAGTGAGCTTTTATTGGTTCAACATGGAAGCAAAGTCGAGAAACCATCTGATTGGCTACAATGAGGTATTTATATTATTTGGGCATAGTGTGATAAGGCTTTTGCCTTATTTGGGCATGTTGTGAAAAGCTGGCTGCCTATAATTGACTGAAACCTGGCTGCTTGTGATTAGCTGAAACTTGGCTGTTATACTCCTAAGTTACATTTTGGTTTGTTTACATACCAAATTAGGTTATGGTTCATCATGTAGCAACTCATAGTGCAGAGACAGCCTCTGACTAATGGTCTTCTGCTTATTTTTAAAATTACTATTATTTTATGTATTATTTCAATAGCTTTTTGGGAAATAGGTGTTTGCTTACATGGATAAGTTCTTTAGTGGTGATTTGTGAGATTTTGGTGCACCTATCATCCAAACAGTGTACACTGTACCCAATGCATAGTCTTTTATCTTTCAATCCCCACCCCTTACCCTGGAGTCCCCAAAGTCCATTGTATCATTCTTATGCCTTTGTATCTTCATAGCTTAGCTCCCATTTGTAAGTGAGAACATACAATGTTTGGTTTCCATTTCTGAGTTACTTCACTCAAGGTAATGGTCTCCAACTCCATCCAGGTTGCTGTGAATTCCATTATTTCATTCCTTTTTATGGCTGAGTAGTATTCCATTGTGTATATATGTGTGTGTGTGTATATATATATATGTATACACACACACACACATAAACACACCCCACGTTTTCTTTATCCACTTGTTGATTGATGGGCATTTGGGCTGGTTCCATATTTTTGCAATTGCCAGTTGTGCTGCTATAAACATGCATGTGCAAATGTCTTTTTCATATAATGACTTCTTTTTCACGGGGTAGATACCCAGAAGTGGGATTGCTGGATCAAACGGTAGATCTACTTTTAGTTCTTTAAGGACTTTCCACACTGTTTTCCATAGTAGCTGTACTAGCAGTTTCCACCAGCAGTGTAAAAGTGTTCCCTTTGTCACCACATCCATGCCAACATCTATTATGTTTTAATTTTTTAATTATGGCCATTCTTCTGGGAGTAAGGTGATATTGCATTGTGATTTTGGTTTATATTTCCCTGATCATTAGTGATGTTGAGCATTTTTCATATGTTTGTTGGTGATTTGTGTATCTTCTTTTGAGAATTGTCTATTCATGTCCTTAGCCCACTTTTTGATGGGACTGTTTGTTTTTTCCTGCTGATTTGTTTGAGTTCCTTGTAGATTCTGGATATTAGTCCTTTGTTTATATAGTTAGATGCATAGTTTGTGATGATTTTCTCCCACTCTGTGGGTTGTCTGTTTACTCTGCTGATTATTTCTTTTGCTGTGCAGAAACTTTTTAGTTTGAGTCTTATCTATTTATCTCTGTTTTTGTTGCAGTTGCTTTTGGGTTCTTGTTCATGAATTCTTTGCCTAAGCCAATTTCTGGAAGGGTTTTTCCAGTATTATCTTCTAGAATTTTGATGGTTTCAGGTGTTAGATTTAAGTCTTTGATTCGTCTTGGGTTGATTTTTGTATAAGGTGAGAGATGAGGATCCAGTTTCATTCTTCTACATGTGGCTTGCCAATTATCCCAGCACTATTTGTTGAATAGGATATCTTTTCCCCACATTATATTTTTGTTTGCTTTGTTGAAGATCAAGCCGGCATGTATTTGGCTTTATTTCTGGGTTCTCTACTCTGTTCCATTGGCCTGTGTGCCTATTTTTAATACCTGTACCAAGCTGTTTTGGTGACTACAGATTTATAGTATAGTTTGAAGTTAAGTAATGTGATGCTTCCAGATTTATTCTTTTGGAGTAGTCTTGCTCTGGCTATGCAGGCTCTTTTTTGACTCCATATAAATTTTAGGATTGTTTTTTCTAGTTTGGTGAATTTGTAGATTTGTCATTTTTACAATATTGATACTACCCATTCATGAGCATGTGATGTATTTCCAGTTGTTTGTGTCATCTATGATTTCTTTCAGCAGTGTTTTGTAGTTTTCCTTGTAGAGATCTTTCACCTCTTTGGTTAGATGTATTCCTAAGTATTTCTTTTTCCCTTTTTTTTTTTTTTTTTGCAGCTGTTGTAAAAGGAGTTGAGTTCTTGATTTGATTCTCAGCTTGGTCACTGTTGGTGTATAGCAGTGCTACTGATTTGTATATATTGATTTTGTCACTTGATCCTTTGCTGAATTCATTTTTTCAGTTCTAGGAGCTTTTTGGATCAGTCTTTATACTTTTCTAGGTATATGATCATATCATTGGTGACCAGTGACAGTTTGACTTCTTCTTTACTGAGTTGGATACCCTTTATTTCTGTGCCTTGTCTGATTGCTCTGGCTAGGATTTCTAGTACTATGTTGAATAGAATTGGTGAGAGTGGGCATCCTTGTGTTATCCCAGGTCTCAGGGGGAATGCTCTCACTTTTTCCCCATTCAGTATAATATTGGCTGTGGGTTTGTCTTAGATGGATTTTATTACCTTAAGATATGTCCCTTCTATGCCAATTTTACTGAGGATTTTAACCATAAAGGGATACTGGATTTTGTCAAATGCTTTTTCTGTGTCTATTGAGATGATGTTTTTAATTCTGTTTATATGATGTATCACATTTATTTGTGTATGTTGAACCATCCCTGCATCCCTGGTATGAAACCCACTTGATCATGGTGGATTACCTTTTTGATGTGCTTTTGGATTCAGTTAACTAGTATTTTGTTGAGGATTTTTGCATCTATGTTCATAAGGGATATTGGTTTTTTGTTTTCTTTTGTTTCAAATACCCTTTTCTGGTTTTGGTATTAGGGTGATACTGGCTTCATAGAATGATTTAGGGAGGATTCCCTGTTTATCTTTTGGAATAATGTTAATAGGATTGGTACCAGTTTTTCCTTGAATGTCTGATAGAATTCAGCGGTGAATTCCTCTGGTCCTGGAACATCTTTTGTTTGCGATTTGTTATTATCATTTTAATCTCACTGCTTGTTATTGATCTGCTCAGAGTTTCTATTGCTTCCTGGTTTAATCTAGGATGGTTGTATATTTCCAGGAATTTATCTATCTCCTCTAGGTTTTTCTACTTTGTGAGCATATAGGTGTTCAAGTAGTCTTGAATGATCTTTTCTATTTCTGTGATATCTATTGTAATATCTCCCATTTCATTTCTAATTGAGCTTATTTGGATATTCTCTCTTTTCTTGGTTAATCTCGCTGATATGATTTGGCTGTGTCCCCACCCAAATCTCATCTTGAATTGTAGCTTCCATAATTTCCACATGTTGTGGGAGGGACCCAGTAGGTGATAATTGAATAATGGGGGCAGTTTCTCTCATACTGTTCTCATGGTAGTGTATAAGTCTCACGAGACCTGGTGGTTACATAAGGGGAAACCCCTTTCACTTGATTCTCTTTCTCTCATGTCTGCTGCCATGTATGACGTGTATGTCACCTTCTGCCATGATTGTTAGGCCTCCCCAGTCAGATGAAACTGTGAGTCAATTAAACCTTTTTTTTTATTTTTTAATAAATTACCCATTCTCGGGTATGTCTTTATCAGCAGCATGAAAAGGGACTAATACACTCACTAATGATCTATTGATTTGTTTATCTTTTCCAAGAACCAGCTTTTCATGTCATTTATCTTTTGTATTTTTGTTGTTGTTGTTTCAATATCAATTAGTTCTACTCTGATCTTGGTTATTTCTTTTCTTCTGCTGGGTTTGGGTTTGGCTTGTTCTTCTTTCTCTAGTTCCTTGAAGTGTGACCTTAGATTGTCTATATGTGCTCTTTCAGACTCTTTGATGTAGGCATTTAATGCTATGAACTTTCCTTTTAGCACCACTTTTGCTGTATCCCAGAGGTTTGATAGGATGTGTCACTATTATTGTTCAGTTCGAAGAATTTTTAAATTTCCATTTTGATTTCATTGTTGACCCAATGATTATTCAGGAGTAGATTATTTCATTTCCATGTATTTCCATGGTTTTGAAGGTTCCTTTTGTTCCAATTTTATTGCACTGTGGTATGAGAGAGCACTTGATATAATTTCAGTTTTGTTAAATTTATTGAGCTTTGTTTTGTGGCCTATCATATATGGTCTATCTTGGAAAATGTTCCATGTGATGATGGATAGAATGTATATTCTGCAGTTGTTGGATAGAAAATGTTCTGCAAATATCTGTTAAGTCCATTTATTATAGGATATAGTTTAAGTTCATTGTTTCTTTGTTGACTTTCTAACTTGATGACCTGTCTAGTGCTGTCAGTGGAGTATTGAAGTCCTCCACTAATATTGTGTTGCTGTCTGTCTCATTTCTTAGGTCTAGTAGTAATTGCTTTATAAATTTGGGAACTTCTGCATATATATTTTGGATTGTGATATTTTCCTGTTGGACTAGTCCTTTTATCATTACATAATGTCCCTCTTTGTTTTTTAAAACTTTTGTTGCTTCAAAGTCTGTTTTACCTTATGTAAGAATAGCTACTCCTGCTCGCTTTTGGTGTCTGTTTGCATGGAATATCTCTTTCCACCCCTTTTCCTTAAGTTTATGTGAGTCCTTATGTGTTAGGTGACCTTCTGAATTATTTTCCTGGCAATTGAGAGATTTCTTCTTGATTTGGATCCATTGCTGATGAGCTAATGTGATCTTTGGGGGTGTTAATGGTCCTTGTTTTGTCATATTAGCAGAGTTGTCTTTTTGGTTTCTTCTCATTTGGGTAGAATATGTCAGAGGAATGATCTGGGGCTAAAGAGCTGCTATTCAGATTCTTTTGTCCCACAGGGTGCTCTCTTGATGTGGTGTTCTTCCCCTTCCTCTAGGAATGGGGCTTCCTGACAGCCTGACTGCTGTGATTGTTATTTCTCTTCTGGGTCTAGCCACCCAGTGGAGCTACTTGGCTCTGGGCTGGTACTGGGGAGTGTCTGCAAAGAGTCCTGTGATGTGATCCATTTTCAGTTCTCTCAGCTGTGGATACCAGCAGCTACTCCAGTGGAGGTAGCAGAGGGGTGAAGTGGACTCCGTGAGTGTCCTTGGTTGTAATTTTGTTTATTGTTCTGGTTTTCTCAATGCTAGTTGTGTTAGCAGTGAAGTTGTCACATGGACAGACTCAGGACCTCTGGTTAGCTAGGATGCTACAGGCAGTGGAATTAGCTGTTGTTTTCTTCTTCTTTGGAGTGGGTTTGTTCTTTTATGAGTTGCTGTAATGGCTTGAGTTGGTTGGCCTCTAGCCAGGAGGTGGCACTTTCAGGAGAGATCAACTGCATAGTATAGGGGTATACAAGCTTGCTTTAAGGTTGCCTGGATAAGTACTCAGGATTCTCAGGTGATGAGTGGGGCCATGGAGCTCCCAAGAGATTATGTCTTTTGTCTTTGGCTACCAGGGCAGGTGGAGAAAAATCATCAAGTGGAGGCCGGGTTAGGTGTGTCTGAGCTCAGACTCTCCTTGGGCAGGACTTGCTATGGCTTCTGTGGGGGATGGGATTGTGGTTCTCAGGCCAATGGAGTTATGTTCTTAGGGGGATTATGGCTGCCTCTCGTACATTATACAGGTCACCAGGGAAGTGGGGAAAAGCTGGCAGTGACGGGCCTCACTCAGCTCCCATGCAGCCAGTAAGGCTAGTCTAACTCTTACCACGCCCCTCCAATAGCACTGAGTTTATATACAGGGAGCCTGTGAGCAGTACTGAGATCTTGTACCAGGCTACAAGCCTACCCACTAAGAGCTGAGAAAGCAAGCAGGGATTTCAGGCTTCACCCCTCCCTGCCTGCCGCAGTTTCTGTGTTTATGTCCACACTTCCTATTCTCCCCCTCCCCCGATTCTGCCCAGGAAAATTCATGCTTGGTCAAAATTATTACAGAAGTTCAGCTGGAAGTTTCTTTCTCCCTGTGGTCCTTCCCCAGTTCCACTTGCAGCCCTCCCACAGACCCCTGTGAGATAAAGTCAGAAATGGCTCCCCTGAGACTGCCTACAGGGCTCTTCCTGCTGCTGCTTCTTCTTCCTTTTTTTTTTTGACAGAGTCTTAACAGACAGCCTGGTGTGCAGTGGCGTGATCGTGGCTCACTGCAACCTCTGCCTCCTGGGCTCAGGTGATCCTCGCACCTCAGCCTCCCAGCCAGCTGGGATTATAGGCATGTGCCACCATGGCTGGCTAGGTTTTGTATTTTTAGTAGAGGCGGGGTTTTGCCATGTTGGCCAGGCTGGTCTTGAACTTTTGGCCTCGAGTGATCCACCCACCTTCGTCTCCCAAAGTGCTGGGATTACAGGCATGGGCCACCATACCTGGCCTGCTTCTTCTACTTTTGTATTTTGCTTGGCTGTCTAAATTTGTTTCAGCTCTAGATAAGTTTAAATCCTTCTCCCGTGGTCTGGATTTTCAGGTTCCCCAAGGAGGATGTGTGTTTGGAGGCAGATTTTCCCCTTTCACACTTTTCAAGACATTTTTTCAACTGTCTCACAGAGTTTGCAGTAACAAGGTGCTTCTTTCAAAGGATCTGTGAATTCTTTCAGTTTTTCTGGTATGTTCCTATGGCAGTTCTTGGAGCAAAAGTTTACAATGTGAGTCTCCACATGCTGTTCTCTCCATCCGAGTGGGTGCTGCAAGTTAGTCCTGACTCCTGTCTGCCATTTCCCATATTTAGGCAGGATTTCAAGTCCAGCTGCCTATTTTTAACAGTTATTTTCTTCCATAATCTACAATGGTTGGTCTATTGTGTTCTAACTTCTGATGTTACAGTTAAGAATTTGATAATAATTTGGTTCTTTTTTATTTGAAAATATCTGCTTTTCTCTTCCCTTGTTGAAACTGGTAATATTTCCAGTTCAATGTTAGAGTTCGGACAGTCATGGTAGCCCACACCTGTTATCCCAGCACTTTGGGAGGCCGAGGAGGGCGGATCACTTGAAGTCAGGAGTTTGAGACCAGCCTGGGCAACATAGTGAAACCCTATTTCTACAAAAAATAAAAAAAAATTATCTGGGTGTGTTGGTACATACCTGTAGTCCGAGGTACTTGGGAGGCTGAGGTGGGAGGATGGCTTGAGCCTGGGGGTGGAGGTTGCAGTGAGTCGAGATGGTGCCACTGCACTCCAGCCTGGGTGACCTAGCCAGACCCTGTCTCAAACAAAACAACAACAAAACTTTAGAGTTCAAAAATCATCAGATTATCTTTAAATACGTGCCATTTAAATTATTTAACAAGTGAGCTCTTTTAATCTGAGTGTAACTTCAGATGAGGAGAGCTTTTGTTTATTATTTCTTTGATCACATCTTCATTTGTTTTTATCCCATTATTCACCAACTTACAAATGTTTAATCTGTACTTGATACCTATCAGGGTTCATTTTTATTCTGTTTTCTTCACTTGATTTTCTAAAACACAAAATTACTTTTCTTCAGTGACGTTTTCATTTTCTCAACTGAACTTTAAAATTCAAGAGTTCTTTCTTTTAGTTCTAGACACTGTTTTTACACATTCTAATTTCATATTTATAAGAGATTATAGTACATTTTTCCCCATTTTTTTGTGTGTCCTCTGTTATTTTTACCTCTACTACTCTTGTTGATCATCTAAGTTTTCTTCTTTTAAGCCACTGTCTCATAAAATGGTTTGTTGATCCTTATTGTTCATATTAATGGGCATTCATATTATTGGACATGGGATCTGTCAACACCTGTACTGCTCAGGTTTTGGAGTCTCTAAGAAAATGGTAATTAAACAACAATAAATAATTAAATGGGAGTGTTTAGCTCCAGAGTGCTTTTAGTGAAATTTAGGCTTAGAAAAAGAGATTTTTTTTTAAGTTTGGTGCAATCAGGGATGGATTGTACTTAGCCCAGGGATGGATTGTACTTAGCCCAACACTACAGTGTAAAGGGACACTTGGGCTCTCTTAGTAAACAGGTAGGAGAATTTTCTCTCCTTGCTTGTGGTTATCCGGGAATCTGTGACATTTGTTCCAAGTTATGTAGGAGAAGTTAGCCTAGAAGGGGTTCTGACCACTGTCCAGTAAGTTTTAGGCCAGAATTATATCTTCATTTTTAGGACTTAAAATCTCAGATGATTCCAGGTTCTTTCTAGCCTCCAAGAGTACACTTAGTTATTTTCTAGGAAAAGTAGCCACACCAGGGACTTAGGAAGGAGAAGGAATAGAGAATACAGACACAGGCTGCCATCTTCCTGGAATCATGAAAACGATTTGTATCATTTTGTAATTTAACATTTATAGAACTATAGTCTTAGGGCTCTGTGGCAGTTCTTGGTAACAGTATGTACTCCACTCCTGTGTTAAGTAGAACAGTAAGTTCTCAACATAGATTTTGTTCTATCTTATTTGGTTGTCTCTCGTAAGGTACACCACAACAGAGTAATGAATGGAGCATGCCAAATATTCTCCCTTATTGAAGTGTTGCAATTTTTGCCAAGACAGAGTTGTTTTAGTGGGTATCTTTTAACTGAAAAAAAATTTTTTTTTGAGACGGAGTCTTGCTCTGTTGTCCATGCTGGAATGCAGTGGTGCAGTCTCAGCTCACTGCAACCGCCACCTCCCACATTCAAGAGATTCTCCAGCCTCAGCCTCCCGAGTAGCTGGGACTACAGGCGCGTGCCACCACGCCCGGCTAATTTTTTGTATTTTTAGTAGAGACAGGGTTTCATGGTGTTAGCCAGGCTGGTCTCGATCTCCTGACCTCGTGATCTGCCAGCCTCAGCCTCCCAAAGTGCTGGGATTACAGGCGTGAGCCACTACAAACTGAACTTTATTTCTTTGGTGTATCCTTCTTAAAAAATGGAGAATTTATTCAGAATTACATAAGCAGCTGGAGATTTGACTGGGTCATTTTGATCACTAGTAGGAGTTAACTGCAATTCAACAGTGTTCTCAGCAGCAGACATTATTTTACTTCAAAGTCCTAGTAGTTTTAAAAGAGAATCTAATTACAAGATATTTTCTGAAAAGCATTTGGAAATTGTTTCCCACTTGTGCAGTTTTAAATAATCACATCCCTTTCCTCTCCTCCAAAAAAGTCCTCAACAAATCATATATTATTTAGGCTATATTATTTGCTACTTTCTTGAGCAGCCTTAAGGAAAAAAAACAAAAAAATAAAAAAACAAACAGTTTGGAGGAGGGGCAAGTGGTACTGCTTTTAAGATCTAAGTCATGTCAATTTTGTAATGGTGCATGGCCCTCCTGATCACACCTCTGTGGAGCAGGACCTAGAAACGGAGATGAGGCCAGAAACTAGAAATTAGGTCTAGGCTATGAAAGATGTAGGAGCGCAAAAGTGTACTTAGAAGAAAGCTAAAGATTCACTTTTATAAGCCCTTTGAAATATTTTGAAAACTTTTTGTTAAAGAACCTATTACATTAAAATTAGAAATAGGTGTTATTAATCTGAATACATGAAATATTGAGTTTGCTTTCATTTATTTGGGATATATGTCAGTAAGAATAAAGATATATACCTCAACTCTTCCTGTGTGTTCTACTGTGTCTCACAACACATTCTCCTTCTTCCTACTCCATTCCTCCCTTTTAAAATCTAATTTATTTGTATCACTTTATAATTTAACATTTATAGAACAATAGTCTTAGGGATCTGTGGTAGTTCTTGCCAACAGTAAGTACTCCACTTTTCTACTTGTTTTCCAGATTTTGACTTCACAGTAGCTGTATGAAACTTGGAGATATATTTAGTAATCATGTTATTTTAACATTTCTGGAAGCAAAGGCCTAAAAAGAAACAAGAAGCAAGCATGCATTTCATAAGCTCAAGTTAGAAAAGACTTAATGGAATATTTCAAATTGAAAACCATTTACTTTATTTATTTTAATACATGTCATGAAATTAAGTCCTACTTATTTTTATAAATTATTTGGCAATTAGAAAGTGTGAAGATAGGAAAATTCTGTAATTTGCAGTTAAATTCTTAGGATTGCCTCTGCATTCTGATGAACATTTCAACAAATCACTTAGTATTATGGGATTCTAAATGGAGGAATAATCTTCCATTTTTCTTTAAAAAGCTTGTTTTTTCTTATTATAGACAATTTGGAAAATAGGATATGTATGAATAATGAAAATTCACCTGTCATACAGAGATGTGTTTTAATATATTTTATCTTAGTTTTTATATATGCGAGTGTATTAGTCTATGCTCACAATGCTATCAAGACATACCCAAGACTGGGTAGTTTATGATGAAAAGAGGTTTAATTGACTCACAGTTCCACAGGGCTGGGGAAGCCTCAGGAAACTTAAAACAATGGCAGAAGGGGAAGCAAACATGTCCTTCTTCACATGGCAGCAGGAAGGAGAAGTGCCAAGCAAAGGGGGAAAAACCCCTTATGAAACCATCAGAACTCACTCACTATCACAAAAAACTGCATGAGGGTATCTGCCCCCATGAGTCAATTACCTCCCACTGGGTCCCTCCAAAGACATGTGGGGATTACAGGTAGTACAATTCAAGATGAGATTTGAGTGGGGACAAAGCCAAACCCTATCACAAGTCACTATAAAAATGAAACAGAATCATGCTGTGCATTTTATTTCTTAATTTTCATGAAAATTTTCCCATGCCAATAACATTTTATGAAATTTTACTTATAGTAATAATATCCTAATATATAAAAGTATACACACAGAGGTAGCACAATTTAATTATTTTCTATGGTTAAACATTTAGATTGTTTATACATTTATTTTATTATATATAATATGATGATAAATATCCTTGAGTAAAAAATCTTTGTGCACATCTACCTTTTTTTGGGTTAGATTGGTAGAGGTGAAATAACTTCATTGACACATATAACATCAGTAATATTTGATTATAAAAGCATTCTGAATTGATCATTGAAAGTTTGCAAAATTCAGAAAAGTATTAAAAAATTTAAATAGGCCATTATTTCACTATTTAAAGATAAATTTTATTAAAAAACATTTAAAACTGGAATTTATCCTCCTAGGGTTTATTATACTACTTTTTAAAACAGTGCAACATATTAAAATAATAAAATGACAATTTTTCATATTACTAAATATTTTCTGAGAATATGATTTTAAAGATCTTTAAATATTTTCTTACATAGATATACTCTAATTTATTTAACAGTGTTTTTCAGTTAAATATTAAGTGTTTTCAATTATTTGCTTTTATATCAATGGAATAATGAATATCATTACACATACATATAACATTTATTCTCTTAGTATAGATAACTAGAAGTGGAATTTCTGAAAGAGAAGAAACTTTTTAAAGATTCTTTACACATACTACCAACTTATCCTTCAAAATATTTTTGTTAATTTACATTCCCAATGCAAAGCCCCTCACCAAACATTATGGTTTGAAAACATGCCAGTTTGATTGATAAAACATGTTATCTCCTTGCTATTTGAGTTTTAATTGCTATAAATACTAAAGTAGTTAAACATATTTTGTATGATCAGTGGTCAATTGTACTACTTTTAAAATGATCTTTTCAAGTCTTTTGTATGCTTTTCATTTACCGTGCTATTTTTCTTACTGGTATATAGAGTCTTTGCATATTAAGGATATTATTATTTTGTTGTATTTATTGTAAATAATTTTCCAAAGTTTTCACGTGTTTTAGAATTTTAGTATTAATGTTCAAATACAGGGGTTAATTTTTTTAATGAAATGAAGTCTATAAATCATTTCTTCTATTATATTTACTACTATTTATAGTAGAAATGCCTTTAAAAGAAAATGCCTATTTTTTCCCACAGAAGACTTCAATTCGCATGTTTTGTTTTCAGACACATAAACTCATTTCCCATCATAGTTTATTGAGTAATCCACTTATTTTTTATAAACTTTGGTGCTTCTTTTTCATGTGTTTTTATAATAAAGATTATATATTCAGTTCTGAACTAGAACTATTTACTCTATTATTCTTGCACAAGTCCTGTAGTGTTTTACTTTTCATAGTACTTATATTCTTTGTCATACATTTCCTTAGCTCTTCTCTTCTTTCTTTTATTTTATAGCGGTTTTTAAATTCATATTGCCATCTTTCCTTGCAGGTCCAGCTAGGATTAATTTATTACTTTAACCATTTATTGGAAAGTATTTATTGTTAAACAAATGTGTGTTATGTACAGTTCTAGTCTTAGATATAATAAAATATGACAAAGTTTCAGCCCTCACTTTATGTATAACTTATATAAAGCATCCATAAATTATTATAATCCCCAATACACTTTTATTTGAGGAAGATTTGCCATCTTTGAAAAGTTCAGCTTTCTCAAACATTATTATGACATTTTTCTCCATTTAAATTAATTTTCCTTTGTCTCTTGACATGTATTTCTTTATTTCATAATTAGTTTTATTTCCCTAGGGCACCAACGTTTCTTATTTAAGGTTATTGTTAGTTGTTTTAATTTTTGATTTTTAAATTTTTTGACTCATGTTCTTTTCCTGTTGTATATTCTAGAAGTCTTTGCTTATAAATAGAAAGACTGTTGATTTTTATATTAATCTTGTAACTAGTTGCCATACTTTACCCTTCTAAATTATAATTTTGAGCTGATCTTGAGTTCTATAAATATGTAATTGTTTCACTGAAAATAATGACCATATTAATAACCATATTCTATAATTATATTAATAAATATTGTTATGCTTAAAACTTTGTATTTAATTTATTTCAATATTCATGAATTATACTTTATATGACATGTTGCACCTTTTTGATTCCTTAATTTGTCTCTTGGCAAGTTGTAATTTATTTTCAAATAGGATAAATGTATTATCTCAAGAATTATTCATGAGGACTGCATTATCTGTCTTGCTTTTAAACATAACCAGTAACTTTTCTTGGTATAAAATTCTTGAGTTATAACCTTGTACCTTGAGTAGTCTGTTGACATTTTATGTCATATAATGCTTATACTATTGTTTATATTGCATATGTTCCAAAAATATAAGGTCAACATAATATTTTTTCTTCTTGGCATAGATATGGTGGACTTCAGGATTTTTAAATTTTCTTTGTTTTCTGGATGTTTGGGATGTAAAAACAAAGTATCTGATTTACTTAACAGAGTCAGTTTCTATTATTTGCCTCTAAGAATCCTGGCTAGTACAGTAGGCAATCTGAGTGTTCATTCTGGAAGCTTGGATAGGTTATTCTTTTTCCTTGGAATTAAAAGATTTTGCCTGAGTATGTCTTGATATGATTATTTTCCAGTTCTTCCAGGCATTTGTTGTATACCTCATCTTTCTTGATTCTGGAAAGTTTTCTTCTATTATATTTTTGATTATTTCGTTTGTATTCTCTGCTCAGGCTTTTTCACCTAAGATTATATGGTCTTAGAATAGATCAGTGTTCTTGATTTCTTTGATACACCATGTTTTCTGACCTTTTTGAGGGTATGGATTTTGGTGAATGTCTCCAATTTGGCCACCAAAACACTAATTTGATTTTATGTAAAATCAGTTTGGCTTTTAGAGACAAAATAGTTTAAATTTCATAATGTATTCTTTTCTTATTTCAACCAGTTTTATTGTGTCTTTGGCTCAACATTAGCCTTTTCTTTTCTTATCATTTCCTGCTTATATTTCTGTGTTGAAGTTTCCCAAGAAAGTTTAACACCAAAGATTATTAAACTATGATAGGAGAGTAACTATAAATATGTAAAACAAACTATAAAGGTATTCTATGGCTGGGGGAGAGTATCCAAGGAAGGACAATCATGGAAGAGAGCACCTCTCCCTAAGGTTGGGATTCACACCTTACTGGAGAAGGTTTCTGTAGGTGCTGTCCACTGAATGATCTGTTTCTGCTTGACCAACATCACAGGAACTCAGAAGCTGGGGTGACCTTTCAGAATTGTTCTCAGTTTGGAGGAGGTAGCTGCACTTCTTCAACCAGTTATTAGCTGCAGGCTGCCACAGGAAGAGGTTTTGTCTTTATGCAATGACAGGATGGCATTCCCTGGTGATGTTGTAACTGACAGATTTAGTGGCACAGGGTCAGATATGTTTGGAGTAGTTCTGTTTGGTCAGAGTTACGTGTATTTGAAAGGGATTTTCAGATATGGAAATCCATAGATGAAGAGTAGAAAAATTCCTTTTCTTGAAGATGAAATTAGTTCACCATTAGGAAGATCAAAGTGAAGAAATGGGGAATGAATTAACAGTAAACCTGGTAAGTCAGAAGTTGCTGATGTCTTTGATTGTCCTGGGTACCTCCTACTTCATTATCTCAGACAGAAGACTTATCCAGCATGGGTTTAATGCCTTGGCTAGATAGGATGTGGTTCAGGTATTCCAATTCTGGCATTTGAACCTGGGTCAGGGAGATTTAATTAAATGCTGACAAGATGGTGAGAATGTTGCATAGGTTGAAGGATATTGCCATGTTTTTGAACTTGTCTTGGTACATCTGAAAAATTCTTTTCCACTTAAAAAATTTTATCTCAAAAAAGAAAAGAGTTTTAAAATCACTCAGCATTGTTAATATGTTTATTAAAGATTATTTGGGGTGGGGGAGAAAACATCAGGTTTTATTTTCTTTGGCTAGCGTTAATTAATAAATTTTTCAACCAAAAAAAATTTACTGAATGCTATTGAGCATACAAAAGAAGCATTTTAAATTTGGCAATATCTGGAGTAGTACCACATACTACTTTATTTCTGCTACCTTGATTTAGTGTCGTGAACTAGAGTTAGTCAGTTCTAACAGACTTCTGATCTAACAGACTTAATGTCTAATTTATATTCATTTTATTTTCAATATAAAATGCTTCAGTCCTAAGTTTTGATGATTTATCATGACTTAGTTAATATACATTTTAATTATATACTTTTTCTCCCAAATTTTACTTTCATGTAACTGAACAACTGCTTTCCCAGAAAATGGCTTAAAATATGATAGAAATAATATGTATACAATATAAAGATGAGAAAAGACAGGGAATATATGTTGTATATTGAAAAGGATAAAATATTGCTATTTAATAATGGGGGTGTTTATCTTTTGATTGCGGGGCTGTTGAGAGACTTCTTCACATTTTTTTGATCAAACATGCCTATTAATTTCTGTTTCAGTCCAATATACACACACACATGCATACAAGTACATATTTACGTAAACATCAGCACTGAAAGCATTTCTATTTTATAGTCATCTAAGGACAAAATAGAACATGTGAAAGAGCAAGAGTTGTCTAATCAAAACGTATATACACATGATGTGCCCTGAACTGTGCTAGTCATCTTGCAGGATACACAAATAATAGAAAATATTGTTCTTGCAATTACAGAGATAAGATATACTTCATGCAATCTCCAGAAAATAGTTCAAAACAATAGATTGAGTTGTCCAAACATCTGAATTATGGGAATTTAGAGAAGAGAAACAGTCTCTGAATCCTTTTGTATCTAATACGTAGAAGCTTTCTATTTTTTGATCTCAGTAGAATAAGAAGTAGAAAATTGTGCCTTGACTAATGTTGAACTTGTTTTAAACTATCAGTTTTACATAATAGAGCCCTGATTTATTTTTCATGTACCATCTCCCCACCATGCCTTTCCTAATAGCTCATTTGCCAGACACAGCAAGCACATTCATACTGCCTTAATCATGCAAACTCTGTGCCTCATTCCCATCTCCCCTTTTCTCTGTCAGAATTCTTATCTCATGAGGTGCTTTTGCTCAAATGCAAACACTCTGTGAATTCTCTCCTCTACTTGCCCTGGTTGCTTCCTCTTTATGTTTTCTAATACCTTGTTTTAGTATCTCTGTAATGCTTATAATTTTGGTCTAGTTTTACTGTCTAGTTATGTATAGATATGTGTCTTTACACCTTGAGTTCAGAGTTTATGACATACTTATATTTTTCTTCCCTCATCCTAGAGTTCAGCCTTGTAGACAGTAGTTTTTAATCAATAAATATTTAATAAATTTAAATAAATTTATTTGAAATATTGGGCATAAACAATAATTTTTTAATTAAGTTAAGTAGCAATGAAATTATGCACACAGGAAGTTCAGGTTGGTTGTAAAAGGTATGTGTATTCACTGATGCAAAAAATTAATTGAATAACTCTCATATTACAGGTGAGATTGTTTTCCTAGGACCATCTATTTATTATGAATTAGGAAATTGGCAAGACAAGCATGATGATGGAAAGAAAAGACTAACTTTATGTGATAAATGTGCAGTTAACAGTGTGGAGGAAGAGAATATTAATATGTTTGAGGGATTTGTACAAAATAGAGGAAATGGGATTATTTAGCCGGTAAGAAGTGAAGAAAGGTCTAAAATGGAGAAACAGATATGAATAATACACGTCTTCTTTTAAAAAGTGTTTTTGTCAAACCTTTAAAGGTTTTGTCAAACTTCCATGAGGTAATAGGGTATGGAGTGGCTCCTTCTGAAAACTGCTGAATACTGGACAAAAATATGTCAAACATTCATGATCAGACCTGGATAAAAGACAGGACTGTGATCCCTAATAGAAAAGATACAAAGGAGGCAAACCCTACCATCACCCAGCTTTTTGCCTGAATCCAATTCCTAAATATGGTGCCAGGTAGAAAAACAGAAACAGGGTCAAGTAATCCTCTGAGTTGAAAGTACAGAAACTAGAGTTGGGGAAGGCTGAGTCAGCTAGAATTTTCAGGCAGAGGAACAGAAAAGAGGGTACTATACCAAAAAAGAGGTCCAGAAAACAACCTAAAGTTATCTTTGTATCTTCAGTTGAATATCAATCTGCACAAGAGTGAAACTTCATGAAGACAGAAAAAGAAAAACCTCCAAAGAAAGAACAATACTGGAGATACATAAACAGAAAAATCCCTGGAGCTCACACAAGGCCAACAATCATTCAAGTAACTACCAGCCCAAGTAGAGGGATCATGCTTAATACATGGCACATTCACTAGACATTCCAGAGGGAACGTAAGTCTTAACAGTGGGGTTAAGTTAGCTCCAGAGTAAAGGTTACTGTAGACCCACCTAAAAAAAAAAAGTAAAAGCAAGCCTTGAATGAATTAAACTGATCTCCAGATAACTTTACTCTATGCCACAACGATGTCCAGTAATTTTTAAAGAAATACAACTACACTCAGAGCCAAGTGTGGTGGGACATTCCTGTAGTCCCAGCTACTCAGGAGGCTGAGGCAAGAAGATCATTTGAGTGCAAGAAGTCAAGGCTGCAGTGAGCTATGATTGTATGACTGCACTCCAGCCTAGGTGACAGAGTGAGAAGCCTTCTCTTAAAAAAATTACTACACATGAAAATAAGGAAAATGAAAGTCATGAACATGCAAAAAATTAGTCAATAAAAATAGGCCTGGAATTACAGATTTGATAGAATTTGTATATGAGAGAATAAAATATTTGCTATAAATATGCTTGATATACTCAAAGGTTTAAAGGAAGAGGTGACATGAATAGAGAAATGTAGATATAAAAGAGTTCAAAGGAAACATCTAGAGATGAAAAAGACAGTATCTGAAATGAAAAATAAAGTAGATGCAATAAACAGCAGACTGTCATTGCAGAAGGAACGATTGGTGAAATGGAAAATATTGCAAATGAAAGTAGCCAAAATAAAATACAGAGAAAAAAATGACTAAAATAAATAACAGAGCCTGTGAAAAAATATCATGCAATGAAACATATGTGTAATTGGAGATTCAGAAGGAGAGGAGGGGTTAGGAATGAAAGAATAACAAAAAAAAATAACAAAAACAATGGCTGAAAAATTTCTAACTTGAATGAAAACACCAACCCAAGAAGCTCAACAAATGCAAAGCATGACAAAAACAAAGAAAACTAGACAAAGATACATCATAATCTAGTTGCTAAAGTCACAAAGAAACTTAGAAAATATTTTTAACTAAATGCAAATAAGAACCAAGAATATTAAACTTTGTAGGTAAAGCTAGTGCAGTGCTTAGGAGTCTCATAGAATTCAGTTCTTATATAGGAAAAGGAGAAAGGTCTTAAATGAAAGACCTAAGCTTCCACATTTAAAAAAAATGAGATAAAAGAGGAAATTAAACCCAAAGTGAGAATGATTAAAATCAATATCAGTAAAATAGAATATAAACAGCCAATAGAAATAAAAGGGAGGGGATATGAATAAAGATCCAGGAGAATGAATAGAATAATAAAGGAACAATATGAATAACTTTGTAGCAATAACTGACAACCTAGATGAAATGGAAGAATTATTTGAAAGACCTAAATTAGGAAAAGTAACTCAAGAAGAAATATAAAATCTAAATAATCCTATGTTAAGGAAGCTTAAATCATAATGAAATTCTTCCCCACAAGGAAACTTTACATAGAGGTGGTTTACTGGTGAAATCCTTTTAGAAAATAAAAGATAAGGGTTGTTCCCAATTTATTATATGAAGTCAGCATTACTGTGATAACAAAGACATTTCACAAATGGAAAACTATAGATCAATATCACTCATAAACACAGTAACAAAATCCTCAATAAAATAGTAACAAATCAAGTCCGGCATACACTTAAAAATTTTGCATTACAACCAAGTGGGATATATGCCAGAAAGGCAAGGTTATTTTAACAGATAAAATCAATTAATATATTTTACCACATTAACAGAATAAAGGAAGAAAACCTTATGATCATATCAGTCATTGTAGAAAAGCATCTATTCATGATACAAACTTTTAGTAAACTGAGAATAGGAATAATTTGCTCAACCTTATAATAAAAAGCCTTTACAAAAATGCCACAGCTAACTAACATTATACTTCATAATGTTGAAAGGCTGAATGCTTTTCACTTAAGATTTGTATTCAACATTGTACTGGCAATTCTGGCCAGTGCAGTAAGACAAGGGCTAGAAAATAAAGGCATAAAGATTTTAAAGAGAAAAGTAAAACTCTTTATTCACAGGTGATATGATCATTTACATAGAAAATCCTAAAATATCTATAGGAAAGCAACTAGACCTAAAATGTGTGCAAGATGCAAAGTAAATAAACATAAAAATCAAATTTTTTTTTTACATGAGGAACTATCAGTAACTGAAAATTCAGGGTTTTCTTTTCTTTTCTTTTCTTTTCTTTTTTTTTGAGACAGAGTCTCGCTCTGTCACCCAGACTGGAGTGTGGTGGCATGATCTCGGCTCACTGCAACCTCCGCCTCCCGGGCTCAAGTGATTCTCCTGCCTCAGCCTCCCGAGTAGCTGGAACTACAGGTGCGTGCCACCACACCTGGCTAAACTTTTTTGTATTTTTAGTAGAGACAGAGTTTCATCATGTTGGCCAGGCTTGTCTCGAACTCCTTACCTCAAGTGATCCATCTGCCTTGACCTCCCAAAGTGCTGGGATTCTAGGCATGAACCACTGCACTCAGCTGAAAATTCAATTTTAAAATTTGGTACAAATTTGAAGTTTGGTTACAAATTTTCAGTTATAAGATGAATAAATTCTGGAGATCAAATGCATAGCATGGTAACTATAGTTAATAACATCACATTGTATACTTGAAATTTGCTAAGAGAGTTGATTCTAAGTGTCCTCACCACACACACACACACACACACACACACACACACACACACCCCATAGTAACTATATGACGTGATGGAGATGTTAATTGGCTTGATTGTGGTAATTCACAATTATACATATAGCAAAATAATATGCCATACACCTTAAATATGTACAGTTTTGTTTGTCAATTATGCCCCAATAGTGCTAGAGGGAAAAGAAAATTAAATTAACCTAATAATACCATTTGAAAGATTTTCCAGAAACACGAAACGTGTGTTTACCCCTTCATATTTAACAAGATATGTGCAAGACCTGTACACTGAAGACTATAAAAATATTGTTGATGGAAATTAAAGAAAACCTAATACGTGCAAAGATATACCACCCCTACAAATTTACCCCTACAAATTTAACAGGATATGGGCAAGACCTGTACACTGAAGACTATAAAAATATTGTTGATGGAAATTAAAGAAAACCTAATACCTACGGGGATATACCATCATGTTCATGAAATGAAGGACAATGTGGTTTAGATATTTGTTCTCCCCAAATTGTACTATGGACTACAATCCCAAGCAGAATCCAAGCAGGCTAATTTTTCAGCTATTGACAGCTTACTCTAAAATTTATATGCAAAGGCAGAGAACATAGAATAGCCAAAATAATTTCAAAGAAGAACAAATTTGGAGGTTTCTCTGATTCCAGGCTTATAAACGTCTATCAATGTGGTATTCACATAAGAAGAGATTTACAGGTCAATAGAACAAAGTAGAATTCAGAAATAAACCCATACACGTATGGTCAATTGATTTTCAAAAAAACTGCAGGGCACTTCAATGGGGAAAGGATAATCTTTTCAAGTAATGGGGCTGACTACTTCTACTTATATATTAAAAAAATAGGTTTCTTAAATCTCAACCTTTACCTCATGCTGTACATGAAAATTAACTCAATATAGAACAAAGATCAAAATGTAAAAGCAAAAATCTTAAACTTATGGAAGAAAATATAGGAAAATATCTTAACTTTGTGTTAGGCAAAGATTTCTTATATATTCACCAACAGTACAAAGGAGGTATGTCTAGAATATAGAATATTTAAAAAGAATACTCTTACAACACAGCAATAAGAAGTCAAAGAAACTTGGCTCACGCTAAGGTTGTAATCGCAGCACTTTGGGAGGCTGAGGCGGGCGGATCACAAGGTCAGGAGATCGAGACCATCCTGGTTAACACGGTGAAACCCCGTCTCTACTAAAAATACAAAAAATTAGCCGGGCGTGGTGGTGGGCGCCTGTAGTCCCAGCTACTTGGGAGGCTGAGGCAGGAGAATGGCGTGAGCCTGGGAGGCAGAGCTTGCAGTGAGCCGAGATGGTGCCACTGCACTCCATCCAGCCTGGGCAACAGAGTGATACTCCGTCTAAAAAAAAAAAAAGAAGTCGAACAACCTAATAAAAATGTGTAAAGGTACTTCACCAAAGAAGAAGGTAAATGGCCTCTAAGCACAGGAGAAGATATTTAGCACATTAGTAGCACTGGCAGAAATGTATATTAAAAGTACTATTATTGTGATAATTCTACATACCATTTGATAACTACATACTATTGCGATAACTCTACATGCATACCCATTAGAATAACTAAAATTAAGTGTTGCCAAGAATGTGGAGCTACCGAAACTCTCCGACACAATGAATGGGAATGTAAAATGGTACAAACACTTTGGAAAACACTTTAGCAGTTTCTTAAAAAGTTTGATGCATTTACCGTGTGACCTAGCATTTTCGATATTTACCCAAGAGAAACAAAAACTTATGGGCACTCACAGATTTTAATGTGAATGTTAATGGCGACTTTATTCGTAATGGCCGCAAGCTGAAAACAACCAAATGCCCATAAATAGATGAATGTATAAACAAAACTTTGGTATAGCCATACAATGGAATATTACTTTGGATTAAAAAGGAATAAACTACTGATATGCAAAAGTAGGAATGAATCTCAAAAACATTAGGCTGAGTGAATTTTACTAACGTGGAACAAATGGTTGTGGTGAAAAGATAGTGCAGGGTAGCCTTGCAAGGTAATTTTCAGAAAATTTTAAACAGATGTTTAGTGTTAATAAGCTTTACAGAAAACTTATGCCAAACATAAAGTGTATATGCTACTATATTGTGGCAGAAAAAAGATTTCTGGGGCTACCAGTAGGGAAATATTGATAGGAAAGGGATTCAAGGTAACCTTTTGCGGTGATGGAAATGTTCTGTATCTTGATTGTGGTGGTGAATGCACAGGTATGTACATTTAAAATGGGTGCATGTCATCTTTTCTTTCTTTCTTTACTCTCCCCTTTCTTCTCCTTTGCTTCCTTCTCAGTTTCTTGCTCCTTTTCCCTCAGCTTTTTGAAAATGCCATACTGTACGCTGACTGTGGAGGATTCTACATACATCTACCTTTTTACTCTTAGGTTTTTAATTTTTATATAAAATTTCATTTGTTTTCTTTCTATTTTGCATTAAAGTAACATAAGAATCCCCTATTTAAATAAAAATTCTATTAAAGATTTGTACCAATACAAAAAATAAATATATAAAATGGGTTCATGTTAGGTATATAAATAAGACTTTAATGAATTTTATTTTAAAACAAAGAAGTAAACTTTTAGAAAAATGTTATTTGTTCATATAAAATGATCTGTCATGGAGGATAATTTAGTTTTCCCAAAGTTATACATTTTGCCTTCTGTACTGTCTTGTTGAAAAAAAAAAAGTTTAAACTTTCTAAGGTGACTTTAACATTTTTTTTTGAAATTAGCTTCTGCGTATTGTGCATAAAATTGGCATCAGTTTAGACTTAGCTCTTTCTAATATTGAAATAATAAACAGTATTAATTACTAGGTAAGGGTCAGATAAATGAACAAAAGTTTTGAGAGATAATAAAAACGTTCAAATTGATTGTATATAAGTAGAATAGCAAACAAAATATGTTCTTTGAAGTTTCCTGATGTTATGCAAAGGATGTCAAATATGTAAACAGCAGGCAGGAACATAATGTGTTGGAACTAAGCGTTTCAGAGGAATTGTAATGTCTCATGTACTATTAAAAAGAGAAAGACTATCCTTACTTTCTTGTTCAATATTTCTTGCAACTAAAACAATTGCTTTAATAGCAATTCTGTCCTTCAATAAATGTGAAATACATTTGGCACTGGCAAATCCTCAAGTTTAAAATATCACCATACATAGTAACGTCATTTCAGAGTGCAGATACTAGGAGATGTACTCAGTGTACTCATTGGCATCAAGACTTGTTTTTCTTCTTCCTTTCTTTTCCTTGCAGATATAAATGCAGTACAGGATTCACAGCTAACTCCAAATTAATCTTAGAGAAATTTTATTTTTCAGCAGACTTAAATGTTGCAGCTTTTGTGAATTTTACTAACATGGAACAAATGGTTGTGGTGAAAGGTAGTGTAGGGTAGCCTTGCAAGGTAATTTTCAGAAAATTTTGAACAGATGTTTAGTGTTACTAAGCTTATAGAAACGTATTTAACAGTAGGGTTTCTGATCATAGCTAATATGTTCAACTGTGGCTTTAACAGTAGGTTTTCTGATCATTGCTAATATATTCAACTGTGGCATGTGATATCTCTCCCAGGACTAAATTTAAGATGGTTGAGTCTGTTCCTTTGTGAGTAATATGATCACTGACCTATCATCTATCTGATCATTAATACTATCATAGCTTTGGAATAAGTAAACCAGCTTAACACCTCACGTTTTCTTCTTAGTGCCCCATTAAGCCCTTAGATCCCCGGTTTTAAAAGATTGTAAAAAGGAAAATATGATATATCATGCTATTACATAGTTGTTGCCTTTTAAATTGACAAAATAATAGTTCTCATGTAAGATCTCTTGTGTAATGAGATTGGCTATGCAAATTTGCAGATAAGATGTATCCTAGTGTGAAATTGCTTGCATAATAAAGAGGAGAAGAATTTAAAGAGCTAATGAAAACAGTCTGCAGGCAAAAATAGACACCAAGAATTCTATTCTTCTTGGTGGAAGGGGAGATGAAAAGCACCCTTCTACCCAATTATTACTATAAGGAGAAAAATATTGATAGGGGAGGGGGAGGAGTTAAGCTGTGCAATTTAAAGCCCATTCACCTCCGCTATAGAGTTTGTGGTAAAATGTAAATTGTGCACCAATGGTTGTCATAAATGTATTCTTTCATGAAATCAAATAGATGCTGTTTTCTACATTATTTTGAATATGGAAGGAAGACAGTGGGAGCAAATGGAGTTAGAGAACAAAGGACATTAAAATCTGGGTTATAGTTACATTGGTTCCTCTTAGAACTAGTGAAAATGTTCACACTAATAAAACATCTATGAGGGCAAGCTGGCATTCATTCATTCATTTACTCTTCATTCATTTTCAACACATATGTGATAAACTGTTATTCAATGTACTAGCCAAGTATCAGGCTTTGGTAGCTAACCCAACAGGCATCTCTGCAATCATGCAGCTTTTATGGACTAAGGATAGGAGATACTGAACCAAAGTCACACAGTAACTATAAAATTATCATTGTGATAATTGCTATTAGAAAAGCAGGATACTGTGAAGGCATATAAGAAAGGAAATTAATCTTGATGAGAGCATCAAGAAGGCCTTCCAAAGGAAGTGAATTATATTTATACCTAAAGCACCAATAAGATTAATCCTGATGAAGACAAGCAAAGGAATTTATTTGTTAGGGTTTGACACAATAGCAAATAACAAAAACATCTAAAATAATAATAATGGCTTAAAGAGAAAGAGTTTGTTTTACTCCCACTTCTAAAGCTTAGAGCTAGGCAGTCCAAGGCTGGTAGGGATCACCTCTATGAGGAACCCAGGATTCTTCTATTTTGTTGTTCCATTGTGCAGGTCCTCTAGTTCCAAGGATACTTCATGGCCCAGGACAAATGCTCCAGCTCCAGCTATTTCATTAGCATTCAATCAGCAGGAAGAGGAAGGGGAGGAAGAAGGGCACACCTATTCACTTCAAGAGCACTTCTTATATCCCATGGTTATGACTTAGCCATGTGGTCACACCTAGCTGCAACAGACACTGGACAATGTGGTATTTATTCAAAGAATACATGTGCCCAGCTAAAAGTTGGAGTATTAGTACCATACAAGAATAAAAGAAGGTGTTACTAAAGACAAAAGGAGGAGGGGGGACTGTATATTGGGAGATGACTAATAGTCTTTGCCAGAGAAAACCACATGTGCTAAGGTAAGGTACGAGGCAAGAGGAAGTTTGGTATACTTGAGGGAAAGAGGGAAGCTCAGTGTGTTTAAACATTATGGGCAAAGGAGAGGAATAGTGTTAGTGTTCCTGGACCAAACCAAGGGTCGGGTTGCTTATTCTCATGGTCCAATAACAAGATGCAGACCAACTGGGAAAGAAGAGAATTTACTTCTGTAAACGGGTACAGGGAGAAGGCCAGGGAAAATATTGCCAGACCAACTCAAAATTACAAAGTTTTCCAGAGCTTATATACCTTCTAAGCTGTATGTCTACATGTAAGTGTGCATTCATCTAAAGACATAAGTGATTAACTTCTTCTCATCTATACCTAAGGTCTGAGTCCTGAAGACCTTCCTCTGGAGCTTCAGTAAATTTACTCAATCTAGATGGATCCAGGTGCCAGGGGTGATTACGCTTATCTTGTCTCCTGCTAAATCATGAAGATTTGGGAGTTCCTTTAGACCTCAATAAAACTTGTTTGTGGAGGTCTGGGGAGTTCCTTCAGACCCCCAGTAAAACCTGTTTAATACTAAACGGGTTCTGTTAAGAATTCCTTTGTTATTTCATCATGCTTCAAGGCCCTGGAAAGGCCTAGGCAAAACTCTTGGTGGGCTTTCGTTACATTCCAGCCTTCGTATAAGGGCACTGGCTCTATCAGCTTTAAATATTTAATTTAACCACTCAGTCAGTGCTGAAACAGTTGTCATGGAGGCCTTCCTGTTCAGCTGTTAGTGAGACCTGGCCTGCCAGATTAGTGGTGGGATACAGAGGGAGGTAGGGGCAGATCATGCATAGCCTTTTGGATCATATTAAGAATTTTGAACTTTATCAGAAGAACATGAAAAGCTATTGAAGGTTTTAAGGAAGAGGAAAACATGATCACATTCTCATATGAAAAAACATTTCTCTGATCACTGTGAACAGGTTAAAGACAACATTGGCAATACTTAGAAAGTTTAGGCCAGGCACGGTGGCCCATGCTTGTAATCTCAGCACATTGGGAGGCCAAGGCAGGTGGATCACCTGAAGTCAGGAGTTCAAGACCAGCTTGGCCAACATGGTGAAACCCCATCTCTACTAAAAAAATACAAAAAATTAGGTGTGATGGTGGGCACCTCTAATCCCAGCTACTTGGGAGGCTGAGGCAGGAGAATCACTTGAACCTGGGAGGTGGAGGCTGCAGTGAGCAGAGATTGTGCCACTGCACTGCAGCCTGGACAACAGAGTGAGACTCCACCTCAAAAAAAAAAAAAAAAAAGAAAAAGAAAAAGAAAGATAAAGGTAGGCATACTCTTTGGTGTATACAATTTCTCATTTATGAATTTATCGTGAGAAAGTCATCAGGCAAGTAGAGTAAGTATTACAAAGTCTGGAAGTACACCCACTGAATGTGGGACCGAGGCTAGGAAAGCTTCACTCTTTCATGTATAATTTTTCATTATGAATGATTTGTTTTACAATAAGCATGTATTACTTTAAATTTCATTGAAAAATCTATAAAGCAATTTTACTTTAGAACTAAACAAAGGCAAAAAGGCGTGTGGCAATGCTATAAAGTAGTCTAGATTGCTAACTCATTCCAGATTGTTGCCTTTTGCTTTGATTGCCATCTCTGATATTGCCTCTTTCCTGGATTCTGCCTTTTGGCCTGGTCCCTTTGCATTGACAATCTTGAACATTTGTTGTCCCCTTGAAGAGTTCTAGTAATTAAGGAGGTGGCTTCCATGGTGTGGTAGAAAGACAATAGGACCTAGATTTAGAGGGCTTGGATTATAATCTGGACTGATTTGTAGTATGATCTTGCAAATCGAGTAACATTTTGAGCATCAGTTTTTTTCACTTGTAAAATAGGGATAATTCTTACTCTATTTTATTGGGCTATTCTCTATCTGAAAGCATTTTATAAATTATGAAGCACCGTTATATATAGTTGTCATATAATTTACACATACACACATGCACACACACAGACACACAAACACACACGAACACACACTGCCTCACAGGGAAATCCCATTTCTTCAATGTTAGACTAATATAATTATTCTCAAAAGTGTTTTTCTTTGATTGAGCTCAAGTTTGTCTCCCTACAGTATATTATTGTGACTGTTTTTCAATTTGCAACAACATAGAATTGGTCCAGTCTTTCTTTATTACCGTGTAATAACCAAGAAAGCTAATGGGTTCAAACTGTATAGATTTAGGTCTATTTTTTTTTATAGTAGAATTTTCACATCTTTCTGGAACTTCAGGAACAGAGTTTGTTCTCCAGTAAAAAGTTTGAACAGCATTTGGAATAAATGAAACCATCTGAGGTTAAGTGTGTTCCGCTGGCTTCTTCCCATATATAATTGAAGATTATATGTAGCTTGATAAAATATTTTCCTTCAAATCTTTAACTGTAAAGAAATGAAGTTAAAAATTATGGTTTTACACAGCCAATTTATATGCTGTCTTTAGGGGGCAGTGCTAAACCACTGATAAGTTTCTTCATTTCTGCAAAGCTACTTGTAATAGTTAATATAAAATAAAGCTAAAATGGCAATCTTGATATTTGTGATACAATTATACACACCCCTTAATATTAGTAAAATTTTCTAGGTAGTCAAATGAAAATAATAATTTGAAGCTCATTTATTCAGTGATTCATTCAATAAATATTTATTGTTTCATTATGCACAACACATTGTAGGAGATACAATGTGAATAAGGCAATGTTTTCTTTCAAATAACTTACTTCACAAGGGTAAATAAGCCACACTTGTGTCTGTGTAGTATATTTGCACAAGCACACTGTGTGTGTGTACACAACTCTTTTATGGTAAAAAATAAAATAGCAGTACTTATTGATTTTTTATGTGCCAGTCTCTGTCAAGCAATTAATTTGATCTTCATACAGCCCTGCAAGTGGAAATGATTACACTATTTTTTCAGATAGGGAAACTAAGGATTAATAAGATTATGTGATTTGCTCAAAATCACAAAGCTTGGAAGTGGTAGAGCTAGGATTTAAACATATATCTGTTTGAGTTAAAAGCCAATGCTCTTTGCCACTATAGCATCTATCAACTCAAGGTGAATGTGAAATACCAAATGCAAACATTTGCACAAAGAGAGACAAGCAGAAGAACATGATATCATGCATGCTTGTGGGAAATCTGGAAAATTTTAGGTAAGGGATGAAATCTGAACTCTATTTTGAATCAGTGGGATTATAAGAAAATAATAAACATGATAGTTAATACTTATTGAAGCTGTATGTGTCAGGCACTTTATATTTATTACCTCATTTAGTCATCAGGAAAAAGCCCTGAGAGAGGTTCCACTGTATTGTTTTCCATTGCATAGATAAGGCAAGAGAGGCTGACAATGGTCTTATCTGCTGAAAATCATACGGCTAGTGAGGCGGGTATTTGGAACTTGAATTCAGGACTGTCTAATTTTAGAGCCCAAGCCCTTAACCACTACAATACGCTGTGCAGACAAGTAAGGTGAAAGAAAGAATAAAAGCATAGAGCATGATTAGGCAAGGGTAAACAATTCCACCTGGTTATAATCTGAGGTGAGTATAGTGAAAAAGTAAAAGGGCTAAAAAATCATTTGACTATAGAACTCTGAAGCCAGATTAAGGAATTTGGATATCATTTGCTGTGAAATGGGAAGTAATTGGAGCTTTATGAGCAGGGAAGAGAGATAAGCTTTTTTTTTTTTTTTTTTTTTTTTTGAGGGAGGAGAAAGAGATAGAGGAAGTTCCCTGTGTGATTGGATTAAATCATTGTAGCACCATTAACAAAATAGAAAAGAATGGATTAATCTAAAATGTTGATAATTCTTGGCCAACTATGAGGTGGTTTATAGTATGTGCCGCATCAATGTTGATGGTCAAACTGTTAGCTGATCATGAGCTGGTAAAGGAGATACCTTTTTGATCATTTTATTTATTCCTGTGAACAACTTTATCATATATATATATATACTCTTTCAGATTAAGATTTTAAATTTCCCAAGATTTTTTATTTTACTCAAAGGATCTGTAGGGTCAAAAATCCCTGTGATAATCACCTTCTATTATTGATTTGAGAAGTGTGTATTTATGAAAGCATGGGCTGCTATGTATCAAATTGCAGAAATTTTCACTCCCTGTCACAGAAGGCAAAATGCTCTCAGGACTTTACTCGTGTAACAGAAACGTATTCACCAAATATACCTCTTTTATTTAAACTGCAATTATTTACATCAGTGTGGTTTTTCAGTATATTGTCTTCCACAGGTTATTGTACCAAAGGAGTGGTCACAGAATGTAGTGGTGAGGGGAGAGTAGGTTTTGCAGCCCCCTAGTCTGGGTTAGAATCCTTTTTCTGCCACTTGCCAGCTTCGTGACCTTGGGTTTTACTTGGCCTCTCTGTCCCTTAGTTTCCTCATTTATAAAGTGAGAGGAAAAATATTTGCCTCAAATGGCTGTTGTGTGAATTAAAATAGTTAACAGACAATAGGCCAGTGATACTCCAAGTCACATAGTAAGTTCTCAGTCTAACAGTTGTTATTATTATTGTATTTTATAGACAGCAACTGATTGGGGGACAACTTAATTTCATTGCTTCTTAGTTACTGACAAGTGATCAAGGGGAAGTTAAAATGTGAATGCAGAAAACAAATTCTTTTAAATAGGAGGAAAAATAAAATCTTATATTCTATTTTTAAAAGGAACAATTTTGGGGGGAGGATGCTATTTACAATCCAATATGTAGAATATATTTACTTGCTTTAGTAATCATGATCTATCAATGTTGTGCTGAACGCTACATTCAGAGGACCTTTAGACAATTTAGTGTATTTCTTTTTATTTATGCATATACATCTTTTTTTTTAAATTGAGTCTGCTAAGTATTCAGCAGGCTCTTAGAGTGAAGTTTTTCCTCAGTTTCTGCAAATTTTCATGCTTTATTTCTTTGACCCTCCCATCTCTACTCTTAATTTTTGGAGCTCCTTTTGTTCAGATGTTAGAGGTCTTGGTTTGACCCCTAGTTTTCTCCACTTTTAAATTCTGTTCATCTTTTGGGAAATTTTCTCAGATTTTTCTTACTCTTGTATTGGATTTTATGTATTTTGTAACTTTCTGTTCTTGTTTCATGGCTATAAATATCTTCTCTCTGAGGATACTATTTATAACTTTTTTCTCTATATTTATTTTGGTGTCTGTTAAGAGGTTTTTCTCAAATATATGATTCTTGTGAGTGGAACTTGTTGAGAGGTTGGCTTCACAGTAGAGATTGATACATAGATCCCACCATTTTCCTGCTTATTTATAGACCTTTTTTCTTAGGAGGTCTGTTTCTACAGGGAGGAGTATTCTAGTTGTTTATCTGGGAATATAAACCGTGCTGCCATGTTGTCTAATGCAAATATGGTAAGGCACGGGGTAGGTTATGAATCTTCATTACTATATAGATATTAATTCTCTTGTTTTTGGAGACTCAGTATATCTGTAGTCTTAGAATTCATAATCCTTTTGCTTCAACTTCTTCAAAAATTAAACCTCTAATTTCTTGCCAGTGGTAAAGATTTAGTTTCCTGGCTGGGTGAAAAGGAGATGGGTCTAGGGGTATAATTCTTTCTGATACTGAGTTTCAGTCTGTTTCTGCCCCACCTACACTTACACCTTCACAGGTAGCCAGTCCCTCCAATTCTTTCCACATGAAGGTTCTTTGCTTTCAGTGTTCTCATGTTTGCTAAGTCAGGTAATACCCATCTGTTATCCAAAAGTTACTCAACATTATCCAGAAGTTTTCTTAATATTGTCTGTTCATCTCTCCTGTCATCCTTATTTTTATGGTGTAAACATTTTTATAAATGTTCTACCATCATTTTAGTGAGATTTGGGAGATAACGAAGGAAAATATATGTGCTAAATATGGAAGTCTCATTATGAATTTTAAAACTGTTACTCCTGTTATATGTATGATATGAAAGTTTATAAAGTTTTATTTCAGTGGCATTCTGAACAAACTGGTTTATCAGGAGTTCCCATTTCAATAAAATATTTTCCTGTTAGTGCCCTAACTGCATTTTTCCTTAATTTTATGCCTAAACCTAAATTCTTGATAAACCATAAGATTTTTCTCATTTGTTGCTATTCAAATATTTTATTAGGCCATTATCATGTTCTATTCTTCATTATGAACTTCATATATTATTTTATAAGTCTTTCACACCTAGTTTTTTTCACTTTTAACTTAAGTTGGACTATACATATTTTTATCTCAGGCACAGGGCACAGCCATGTAACTGTGGCTAAAAGTGAGCTGACTTGTTTGCCGAGATATACCACTGTCATTTATAGAATTTAATTGATGTTAAGATATCTAAATATCATTGATATAATATATTGGTATGATATAAATTTAATTTCAGAGAACCTCATCTACAATCAATTTGTCACCAGGAGAAGTGGAAGAAGAGGATGATGATGAAAATACGTGTGGGCCATCAGGACTTTGGGAAGCATTAACTCCGTGTAATGGATGTAGGAACCTTGGCTTCCCCATGCTTGCCCAGGTAAAAGTTTGCTTTTATTAAGGTACAATAAAACAAAAATGGTTGCCTATGTTTTTAAGATAAAATCTCCCTCCCCTTCGAAAATCAAATTAGGATCTTGTTCACTTTGTGATTTTGGATCTTGTGGTTTTTCTCAAAGTGTCAAGTAAAATGTGCATATAACTTGGTGTGCATATGTGTACATATGCGAAGACATAATTTATGTAAAAAATTAGTATTATTTAGTTTGGTTATAATGCAGAAAAGTTATCTTGTTTATGAGGTTTTAATATTTTGAATCCAGAAATATATCAGTTTAAAGAATGCTATTTTTAAAAAGTAAAAGTTGTCTACAGATATAAGGAAACATATTATGGCTGTTTAAAAGCATAGCCAGTGATTATATTTTTCACATCACAATGGAGCATTGTAGAATAATGGGAATGTGTACTTCTGGAGGTTTTGGAATAAAATCCAAAAATGAAACCAGAACACTAAAATATTGACTATTAGTTTCAAGTCATTTCACTATCATTAAGACTACTTTAAATCTGTAGTATCACCTTCAGGTTCCTGTTGTGGGTTGTGAACCATACACTCTTAGAGGAGTTTCAGAAATGACTAAAATATTCCAGAGATAGGAAATTTGAAGCCATGGTGAAAATATCTCTGCACAATAAGCAAAGAACTTAATATGAAAGGGTATAATGTTAAGAGGTTAATTACATAGAACGTGGGTGGAAAAAGCAGTCCAGGACAGAAGATAAATCACAGTACTTATCCAGAAAAGTGTTACATCTCAAAGATATTTTCCCTTCTGTCACGACAAATACGAAACAATTATGTCTAAGAAACCATCACGTCTTCCACATGTCTGTATCATAATTTGATCATAGCCCCTCAAATTTCAATATTAATTTGTTGTAGAAAGCTAAGTAGGATATTCAAATCAGTATATAGTACTTAAAAAATCTCTTCATAGGACTTTAAGACAGTTTACTGTAACCTTTACAGAATTGTTGTAAATACATACTAAACTGTGAGCTCCATAAAGGTAGAGATTCAACCTTTTGATGCTCAGCATCTGCAGTCTAACGCGTAGTTCCTGGCAAATCAGAAGAATGGGTTCGATGTGGTATCTCACACCTGTAATCTCAGCACTGTGGGAGGCCGAGGAGGGTGGATTGCTTGAGCCCAGAAGTTCAAGACCAGCCTGGGCAACATAGTGAGACCTTGTCTCTACAAAAAATACAAAAATAAGCCAGGTGTGGTAGTACACACCCATAGCCCTAGCTACTCAGGAGGCTGAGATGGGAGGTTGAGGCTGCATTGAGCTGTGATCATACCACTGCATTCCAGCCTGGGTTATGATAGAGTGAGACTCTGTCTCAAAAAAAAAAAAAAAAAAAGAAAGAAAGAAAGGAAGAGAAAAAAATGTCTTCTTTATCAAGCAAAATCTGATGGATGTAAAACAAAAAAAAATAATTGGAATGAAGTAATAGTTGAATGAATCTCAGTGAACAAATGTGTATATTCTAGGGTGTCATGTCTTCACTTAAAGTTTTTACATATAGTTTTTTACCTCATATCTACATGGGTAAAGGGAAAGAAAATTAACAAGCATAAGTTGTATTTTATTAGCTTACCCTTAACTGCTTAGCAGTTTATCAATAATTAAATGTTTTAACCTATTTTCCCCTCATAAAACTGCATTTGTAAAAATACATTTCCTAATCATTACTTTGCCTTATATCTTAAAAATAATTACTGAAATAAAATAATCAGGGTATTTACTATATTAGCCAGATGACTGCAAATCAAAAAGCTGTCAGTAATATGATTGTATCTGATTTTCTACCACCTTACTAACATTTGCTTTTTTCTAAATTTGATTTTATTATTTTTTAGGCTTGGTAGTACCTTGCTTTTGGTCTACAATTTTTAATATTAGGTTTGCTTTACCTTTGGCCATTTCCTTGGTGAAGACTGGTATTGTTCAATAAGTTTATTAATTCCTCAGATGTTCTAGTTACATTTACCACAAAATCTTTCCCAGTCTGCAGCTTTTCTTTTTGTCTTAATTTGTATGTGTACAAGTGCATCATGTAATTTAAAAAAACTATCCAGTTGATTAAGCTTCTCAATCCTATTTTTCATTTAATTCATCTTATTTAGAACTCCTTTTAACATAAATTTCAATTATGGCTCTATATTATTTTTTGCTTGTTGATATCTAGTTTTCCTATGACTTTCCATTGAACAATAACTCATATTCCTCTCGTTTTTATCCTTTTGTTTTGGTTTTACTTCTGAAGGCTTGTTTATTTCTGCCTTCCTATTTTTTAAACCACATGACTCAGTGTTGGTATTATCCATTATTAAATTAAAACTAGCAGCTGACTTGATTGCTTGCTTTATAAAATCTGTATTTTGTAAGTACTATGTTGAGTTTAAAAAGTATCTCTATTGGGATTTTAATTTTTACTGCATTAAATCTATAAATGTACTTGAGATACAGGTTTTGGGTGTTTTTTTTTAACTGAATTTAATCTAACAAACCAGCAATAAGACTATTTTACTAATGTTTCTCTCACTATAAATTTTTCTTTTTTTTTCAGATGGAGTCTCGCTCTGTTTCCCAGGCTGGAGTGCAGTGGTACGATCTTGGATCACTGCAACCTCTGCCTCCCTGGTTCAAGCGATTCTCCTGCCTCAGCTTCCTGAGTAGCTGGGATTACAGGGGTGCGCCACTATGCTTGGCTAATTTTTGTGTTTTTAGTAGAGACGGCATTTCACAATATTGGCCAATCTCATCTCAAACTCCTGGCCTCAAGTGATCTGCCCGCCTCGGCTTCCCAAAGTGCTGGTATTACAGGCGTGAGCCACTGCACCCAGCCTCTCACTATAAATTCTTAAGAATGTGTGTGTGTGTGTGTCTGTGAATATTATTGTTTAAGGGCTATCCTTTAGCATTTATATTTGTGTGTGTATATGTGTGTGTATATATATATATACACATGTAAACATGTTTTATGTATATATAACATGTTTATATATATACATTTTCATTGCAAAATATATTAAAGAATTTTTGAAGTTTTGCAATTAAAAATATAATATGTATAGCATATTTTTGTGTATATATAGTATATTTGTACATATATATAGTATATACACATACACACATACACAATTTGCAACATTTTTTAATTCATCTGGTTTTTTAGTTTATTACCTAGGATTCAACCATTCTCAACCATTCACAAATGGTAATTTTTAAATCTTTTTCTGTTATTATCAGTATCTATTATCTAAATTATCTCTTAAACTTTGATTACAAGAGATGAGGTAACAGGATATGTATTGTTTTAGAATTTTAAGAAAACTGTGACCTAGGAACAGGATCTGATAGTAATAAGCATCAGGATTTGTAATCAGAAGCAGATTGAAATATTTACCAAAGGAATATACAATTTAAAAAGAGATTGAGTCAGATTAAGATTTAGAGAAAAAATACAAAATGTGCAGTGCTTTTAACAATGATCCCTTCTATGATTATCAAGGGACTACAATGTGGTAAGCATGCTGACAGTCCTTGAATATAAAGATAAAGTTGGTCTCTGTTAAGAGTTTGCAATATGGTCATTTTAAAGCTTCTTAGGGGGTCTCCAGTATCATATGATACTGGGCTACGTACCACATGAAAAACAAAAATTGTTTTATTTTTAAATTTTTTCATTTGAAATTATTTGCTGAAAAGTGATTTATGGTTAGATGTGATTTCTCAGTAATGTAACCTTGAAATTCGCAAAGCTAGAACATCTAACCTGTGAAATGTTTTTCATATTTTGAAACCATTTTTTTCAGGTCTGAAGCACTTTTGGAGGCCATTAAAAATCATTAAGTCGTAAGCGCTGTGAGGGTCTACTGGTAAACTGCTTCCTTACAATATATACAGGGGCCTTTGGGATCTGTACAATTAGTACAGTACTATGTAAAATTTTATATCCCCAGATTTGTTTGATTGGAATAAATTATATTTCACATTTATAGCCCTTAATTGGATCCAGCAAACATGTATCAAATATCTTTTATATTCAAAGCACAGTGCTTGTCAGAATCATGAGTGTTATGGAAACAATACAGACATAATTGGGGGCCAGGTTACCTATACATTCTGGTTCTCAAACCATGTGATGTATTACTTTAGACTCGAGCAGACTTTTTACTTGCAAAATTAGAATATTGGCTAATCCCATGGATGTGGATCTTACAATTCTAAAATGATCTAATTTCCAGTTTTTGTCCAGATTATGAATTGATCCTATATTACATTTTATTTTTCTATCTCCAAGAATACTAAAATTGGAGAGAACCAGGTAAAAGATGAGTGCTTTGCAATTATCTTTCCATTGTAACTAGATTGAAATTTCTACAAATTCATGAAAATTTAGAATTCTAAATAGCGTCAGGGGATTAAAATTCTTGGAAGATACTGAGAAGATTTACTGTAAATAGAGCTTTTATGGGACAATTGCAAAGCAGTTAATTAAGATTTAAGAAAGGAAATCAAGAATGAAGAGACTGGGAAAATTAAGCCCTTTCTGGAAAGTATGATTAAACTCAGAATTTGTTTCTCAACACTACCATTTACACAGTGCCTACTATGTTCCAGATATTATACATGTATGGTCTCAAGGTGACCATTTAAAGAAACAATCTACTGAAACTCACAGTTAATGTGTGGCAATGCTGTGATTCAAACCTGGAGAGAGAGAGGAGAGAGAGAGAGAGTCTGTGTGTGTGTATTCCTGGGTTCTCATTTTATATTTTGGAAAACAGTTTTAGAATAATTCTCCTAATGTAGGATCATATCTGAGAGTAATCTTCAACATTTTATTCTGTCATCTATTAATTTATTTAAAAAATATAAAGTTAAGGGAAAGTTAAAGATAGTTTTCAGAGCCTGATCATAAATTGCCATTAGTTTTATTGCTACCCTTCCTGTCAATAGAGCATATGTTATTAGAGCAGATAATTTGAGTTGATGGATTTTATTATGGTGAATCACATTGTTCCCCTCCACAGTCTTAGGTGAGATGTCCACCTCTGCACCATGTGTAGTACTGGGCTTTGAGGTTATTACTGCAGAGTCAATCCAGCTAGGTAGAGACCCTCTGGCTTCCATCCCATTCACGCATGTGGCCTCATCCTGCAGAGTTGAGATAACTGACTCCCAATGCTGAGTAGCAGAGAGTCAGCCTTTGAGTAGCAGAGAGATACTGTCAATGCAACAGCCTTCTCAGTATCTCTCTGCTCCTGTAGCCACCACATTCATACTGCTCTCTAGGGAGAGGCCAGTAGCACTTACTGATATGCTTGAAGTACCCTTTTAGGACAAGAATGTGCATGCAGCCCTTGCTATAACAAGATTAAGACATGGAAGCACCCACTAATAGCCATGCTGGCTATACTTCCTCCTGGACCTCTGAAGGCTGCTTTTGCCAGTGCTGTGTTTCTCTCCTGAGTCTGCAGACTTGGTTGCAGCCACATCCATGGTACCTGTGGTGGTGCTTACTGTCATCACTACTGCTGTTGCTACCCTGCCCCTTCATCAGGCACTATAGGTTTTATGACTGCAGGGGTGTGTGAACTCTTGAACGTAGTATATGTGGGAGGTATGTTGGATTCATATCTCTATTGTATAATCACAATAGGTGGACCCAAACATTTCAGCATTCATGTGAAGTCTACTGATTCTGAATTGCTCCTTCTCTTCACAAAACTTCATGGCATATCCCTAGGGAGAGAACAAATAAGCAAAGACAGTGAGACCAGCAAGATCTCCTTTCTCTTCCTATAGGTAAACAACAAAAAGAAATTATTGCACAAGTACACAAACATGTTGTGTTGCCACCAATGTATATAAGTGGCAATTGCAGGGAGACACGTCCTACAACATATCAGCCTGCCTAGGTCATAGTATGTGTTTCAGAATAGACTGGTCAGGATGCTTTGGACAGCATTACAACATTGATATAAAATGAACAGCTGTGGATATAAAATGAAGAGTTGCTGACAGCTAAGAAATCTCTGAAATTCAGGCTTGGAGAACCCTGGAGAAGCACTAGGAACCTCCTCAATGTACCATGGCCTCCAAATGGAAGCTCATTTGGCCTTCAGACCTTCCAAATGCAATGCATTTCCCAGGTGAGCTGCAGCACCAAAGGCTTTACAGGACCTGTACCTGCTCTCCCCCAAAGCATCCAGGCCCCATCTAGTCTCTGCATAGACTCACCACTGGGCTCCTCTGCACTTCCTCCAACACAGATGAGTCCAATGTGTTCCCAGCTAGGATAGCCCTGGTATCACTGTAAGCCTCCACTGGTGGTCTCAGGATGTAAACAAGGTTTTCCCAGTGAACAAAAAGGTCTTCACTTGCATCCGATGGAGGACACAGCTGAAGATAAAAAGAGCGGCCCGTGGCAAGCTTCAGGTGGAGCTGTTTTTTTACGCTGTTGTGGATGGTTATTTTCACAAACATCAAGGGAAGCAGCCTGGTTAGTTCTAAGATCTCTGCAGGCGGACTTTCTCTTTTCTGGGTGGCAGGACCACACCTGGCATTGTCACAGACAGCAGCTGGTCGGGCCAGCAGCATGACATCAGGTAGTGTGAGGCAGGGGCTGGTGCGAACGATGCCCATTGTTACCATTCGGGCACGGTTGTGCACGTCAATCACTTCTCCTCTTTTGCTGATCTGGATAAAGTCGCTCTCAAACATGGGTGCATACCTGAATATAGTATACTCGCCTTTGTACAGTTGCCGCTGCAGCTTCCCCATGGAGGTGTTAAACATGCCCATTGCGGGGCTGCTTTGGGCCGTGTAATACGGTAGCATACAGCAGTCCTCCATGTCTTCCTTTAAATCAAGACAGTTCCCAGCAGCTGCTCCACACCTTCCTTAACATGCTTTAGCGGGCATCCTGTTTCCTTGGCTACTCTGGCAGGTGGGCCAGCAGTCGTGTTCTGCAGGCTTTCTTTTTTGTCCCCAAGTGACTGAGAACAGGGAGGGTGGGGTATTGATTACCAACCGCTCAATGCCAGAGACAGTCAGTCCCCTGGATCCAGACTGTGCCCTGCTTAGTGCATGGAGCTGTCAGGAGCACAGGTGTTGGGGCCCTCGTGGATGTCCGGGCACACAGGTGTCAGTGCTCATTCGGGAGGGACCTCCATTTGAGCCTGATATTCCACTTCACAACAGCCTTTGCTCTTTGATTCCACAACCTTAACTGGCAATCCCACTGCTCTTCTTCCCAACCTGAACCATCCACTGCTGCTAAACCACCCCGCAGGACCACTTTTATCCTCCCCTACCCATTGTGACCTGCCCCATCACACACCCCTTTGTCTCTGTCACCCAGTAGTCCCTGCCTCAGAGCAGGGGCACCGCCCTCTCCACCCCACCCTCAGCCCCACCGCCCTCCACAGCTCAGCAGACCACTACCCCGCCACCAACCTACCATCTAGGGACCTTAATGCATTCTGGCAAATTGCTTTCAAAAGGGTTAGAGGTAAATTTTCTGTGCAAGGCAAGAGTTTAATATACATTCTCTGTATACTCATTTATCCAGCTCCTCTAGTTGTAGACATTTATTTTAAAGAGAGAATTGGATAAATTGGTAAACAGATTGGTACAGGATGTTTATCAATGTTTGTTGTAGAGTAAAAAATTATAAACAGCATTAGTGTCTTACAATAGGGGATTGCTTAAATAAATTATGGAGCTTCTGTGACGGGACAGTCTGCAGCCCTAAAAATGATTACGTAGTTTTCCTATTTATTGACATGAAAAGATATCCCTGACCTTTTTTTTTCTTAAAGAATAAGAGAAAAACTGATTTCAAACTCATAGTATAGGTGAGATTCAATTTATGTAAGACCACGTGTATGTGTTTGTGGATATGGAATTATGTTCAGTGAAATGTTTAAAGTGCTTAGGTATAATTTTCATTTTCTTTTTAACTTCTATTTTTATTAGGAAATTTATTTCTGTTACCAGGGGAAATAACTATTTTATTGGCAATGTATTTTTTTTTTTCTGTTTCTATAGCCATGATAAATTTTATGTTTTGACTCACCCTCAAACTGTTGATGCAATTTTTGAGTTTTACCTAGACATTCATACCCTGGCTATGGAATGAAAAGAGCCTTAAACATCACATTTATGCTCTATTCTTTACCATCAGATTGTATTGAGAAAAAAAAAAGCTGTAAAGAATTTTGCTAGGTATTGCAAATATTTTCAATTCAATAAGATTATAATATCTTTATTGAAATGACAGTACACATGATAACCCATGTGAACACAAACACACACACACACACAGAGCCATAGCCATAGTTGAGTCTTTTTTTTTTTTTTTTTTTTTTTTTTTGAGATGGAGTCTCACTCTGTCACCCGGGCTGGAATCAGTGGCGTGATCTTGGCTCACTGCAACCTCCGCCTCCTGGGTTCAAGTGATTCTCCTGCATCAGCTTTCCTAGTAGCTGGGACTACAGGCGTGTGCCACCACGCCCGGCTAATTTGTATTTTTAGTAGAGATGGGGTTTCACCATATTGCTCAGGCTGGTCTCGAACTCCTGACCTCGTGATTCGCCCGCCTTGGCCCCCCAAGTGCTGGGATTACAGGTGTGAGCCACCGTGCCCAGCCCACTTGAGTCTTTAGTTGCATAAGTCAATGCAAACATAATTTCTTCCTTTCATATTGAAATGTTTGATTATTTTGGATACTTGGAGTATTTTTATTTTATTTATTGAGATGCCTATTCACATATCAATAGCACTTTTTACTGCCCTTCCTAAAGTCTTTATATCTTAACTTCCACTTCAAGTCTATGTTACTTATCTTGTAATTGGCAAAACCAAGAAACCAAATACACATTTAGTAAAATAACGTTTTAAAAGTGTCCAAGTGGTTCTGATGTTTTTCATAAGGGATAACAGGATTGGTAGTATTGGACACAGCAAAATTTAATTTAAGTGCCTTTTTTTTTTTTTTTTACTGATTTTCTTAAAAGTACTTTTTTGCTATACACATATATGACAAGATATTTGTCTTAGAGTTCCATTAGAGCGCTGGTCTCCAAGGAAGCCAGAAACTACATTACTTATAGAGCCTATAGATGTTTGGATTTTCCACACCAGTCAGTAGACTGACAACGGTGGAACCTCTTTCATTTGGCTTGATAACCATCCTATGTAGCATTCTGGCAAATACCTATTTTTATGAATTTGATGGGGTTTGTCTGAAATTCCTCTAGCTGTTTAGAAAACTACCTTTTTAGCATTTGCCTCAAGACTTGAGAAGCTCAGATAGCTAAATAAAAAACTACCTGAACTTGAGATTAAGAAATTCCTTTTATGAAAATGCAGCAGCTTTCTGTGTGGTTGCTGTTAAATCAGATTTCTATATAGTTAGTCACTAGATATATTAAAATAAATTTATATACTCTCTCCTCTCTGTTGGAGTTTATGTCATTGGGTTAATAATTTAACCTCTCTGGGCCTTATTTTTCTCAGCCTTGAAATGGAGATGACCCCTGAGCTATCTTTCAACTCCAGAATAGTTACGGTTTTGTGATAGGGCTTTAGCTTTCCCCCTCTCTCCCAACAACAAAACTACTACATACTTTGGAGATACTCTGAACCATAACAATGAATCGAGATATTATTCGTATAACTGCTCTGGGAATTGTTTAATTCAATATATGATTTTATTCTCTTGCTAAATTTCGTCTTCCCAAAACTTTTAAAAGAACCAACGTTTGAAATGAGGAAATGGCAAGATATTAGTTCAGTAAGATAGGCAATCAGCGGTGTTAGTGCTTAAAACTATGTAATTGAAAATATGGGTTAAGTATTTTAAACAGAAATCAGTTAATAATGAACATGGCTGTGGTTTACAGAATAATTCCCCCAAAAGATATTTACATTATAATCTTCACAACCTGTGAATATATTACCTTATGTGGCAGAGGAACTTTGCAGATGTGATTCAGTTTAGGATCTGAATTGGGGGTGTTATCTGGATTACGTTGGGGGTCCGGTGTAATCACAGTGGTCTTTGTAAGAGAAAGGCAGCAGGGTCAGAGTCAGAAGATATGTGATGATGGAAGTAGAGGTCAGAGTGGTGCAGCCATGGACCAAAGGAATGCAAGAGGCCTCTGGAAGCTGAAAAAACAGGAAGTGGATTCTCCCTGTGAGCCTCCAGAAGGAGATAGCCCTGCCAATACCTTAACTTTAGCCCAGAGAGAATCATTTTAGACTTTGACCTTGAGAACTATGAGAGAATAAATTTGTGTTGTTATAAGCAACTAAGTTTGTGGTAATTTGTAATGGTAGCCCTAGGAAACTATTCCACATTTTGGTACCTGGAAGTGGAGTGCTGCTGTAACAGGTGCATAAAAATATAGAAATGGCTTTGGAATTGGGCACTGGGTAGAAGCTAGAAGAATTTTGAGGAGCATGATGTAAAGAGCTTAGATTGCCTTGAACAGAAATATGGACATTAAAGATGCCGCTAATAAGGGCTCAGAAAGAAGTGATATGGTAGAGAAAACCTGTATTTTCTTAGAGATTACCTAATTGTCATAAACATAATGTTTATACAAACGAGGATGTTAAAGTCACTACTGTGAGGGTTCAGAAGAAAGCGGGGGAAATGGTAGAGAGAACTTGTATGATCTTAGAGAATACCTAAATCATTGTAGAGAGAATGTTAATAAACATATGAATGTTAAAGGTGCTTCTGATAAGGACTCAGAAATAAATAGGAAACATGTTATTGAAAACTGGAGGAAAGGAGATACTTGCTATATAATAGCAGATAGTCTAGAGGAATTATATTCTATGGTTATGTGCAAAGCAGATCTAGTAGGTGATGAACTTGGATATTTTGCTGAGTAGATTTCTAGATAAAGTGTTGGAGGTATGGCCTGGTTTCCTCTTGTTGCCTATACTGAAATGTGGGAGGAGGAAAGAGATAAATTGTGAGAAGAACATTTAAACTCAAAGAAACCAGGACTTGATGGTTGGAACATTCTCAATCTATCCAGATTGCAAAAAACACTGAAATTTTTAGATTCACTGTCAAGAAGTGTACTTAGAGAGAAAGCTGAAAGCATGGCTAGATAACTTGTTTCTAGTGCCTCAGGAGGATCAAAAACTGAGATTATTCAACCACACAGAGGGCTCTTTGAAGAGATTGAGCAGATCTGAATTATGATGAGATGAATTACGCTGAGATGGGATTCAGAGTTGGGATTATCCAGGAAATTCTTGTGACATACCTGGGAGACCCACAGTGTTTTCATGAATGGTTTATTAGCGGAGACTTTGGTAGCTTGGACTTAAAGGGACAGAGGATAAAATGAAAGAAGGCTGTTGGATTCCTGAAATTCTGCAGGCAGGAAATAGGCTTATGAAACTACTGAGTTTGCAAACATAAGTTAACCTTTATGGAATAGAAAGGAGGACTCAGAGGATGGGACTGAGGCCCGAGAGGGTAGAGCTGAGAACTCCAAAGGATTATTCCCAGGGCTTGAAACCTAATGGAGTTTGCCCAGTTGCAGTTCTGAATTGCTTCGGACTGTTGACTCACTTTTTATTTTTCATTTCTCTCTCTTTGGTTGGGGATATCTATAATTGTTTCGCTACACTTGTCATATCATTGAATTTTAGGAGCGAATAACTTTTTATTCCAGTTTCACAGATTCACAGATGCGTCTGACTCATGCTTGATTTATATGAGGAAATTTGGGACTTTTGAGTTTTTGAGATTTTGAGTTTAAGTTGATGTTGTGTAATGGGTTAAGATTTATGGGACGTTGAGATGGCATGAATGGATTTTATATGTGGAAGAATGTGATTATTTGGTGTCCAGAGGATGTACTGTGATAAAGACAGCATAATGCTCCTCCCCAAATGTCTAAATTCTAGTATGTAGAGCCTATGAATATGTTACTGTATATGACAAAAGGGACATATATTGTTAACTAAAGGATCTTATGATGGGGGGGGATTATCCTGGATTATCAATGTGTGCCCAATGTAATTATGAAGGTACTTATAGTGTGATATGATGAGGAAAGCAGAGATTTGAAGATGTTACATTGCTAGCTTTGAAGATGGAGGAAGAGGCTATGAGCCAAGGAATACAGGTGGCCCCTTGAAGTTGAAAAAGGCAGGGAACAGATTCTCTTTTATTTTTATTTATTTATAAATTTACTTATTTGAGATGTTGTCTTGCTCTGTTGCCATCCTGGCTCACTGCAACCTCTGCCTCCTGGGTTCAAGCAGTTCTCCTGCCTCAGCCTCCTGAGTAGCTGGGATTACAGGCATGCATCACCACGCCCAGCTAATTTTTTGTATTTTTAGTAGAGATGGGGTTTCACCATGTTGGCCTGTCTTGTCTTGAACTCCTGACCTCAGGTGATTCACCTGCCTCGGCCTCCCAAAGTGCTGGAATTACAGACATAAGCCACCATGCCCCCTAGATTCTCTTTTAGAGCCTCCAGAAGTAACCAGCCCTGCTAACACCTTAATTTTAGCCCTGTGAAATGTCTTTTAAACTTTTGATCCCAATAACTGTCAGAAAACATATTTTGTTATTTTAAGCTATAATACTAAGTTTGTGGCGGTTTGTTACAGTGGCTGTAAGAAACAGATACAATAGCTACAGAAATTAGGTCAGTAGACATTTCATCTCTCATAGATGCACTCAAGGAGAATATGCCTGTAGTCTGCATCTAGGCAGAAGATGGGACATATATTTATTTTACAGAAAAATGCATTTCAGCTTTCCTGTCAAGCATTTGTGTGATCTAGATTTTTATTGTTTTGTGCAGTTATTTTTATAACTTTTAAAATAAATGAACTATAATTTTGCCTTTGGAAAGCCTCAATTTTTTAATCATTTTAGGAAAGCCTTATGATGATGATGTTAATAGTGATGTTAATAATGATATCTAACACTTATTGAGTACCTACCACATTCCAAGTGCAGTGATAAGCACTTAACGTTCCTTGTCTCACTTATATTTCACAGTAATTCTATGGACTATTTATACTTTCCCATAGTCCCTATGGACTATTTATACTTTTATAGTTTGCATATCTATTGTGTTTGAGCCAAATTCCATGTGAATATTTGATATAAAATTAAAAAAATAGACGGAATAGCTTCTTTTAGCAACAATAAGGGTGTATAGTGTCTACTGTTCAATATTTTTTACTATGGCATTTCACTGTTAAAGAGGAAATCAGTAATTGTTGATGTCACTCTTATCTAGAGTATATTCAATTGATATCATTTTGATATTGATATCAATGATATTGGTTATCATGTTGTATTATGCTTACGGAGTGGATGAGCTGCTAAACGTATTTATTATTGTCCAAATTGAAAAAATGATGGTTTGATAAGTATCTTAGTTCATTTAGAATCTCTTCCCATTTCCTCTTCTTTTATACATCTTTCCATCCATTTGTTTCACAGATGTTTATTGACCATTTGTTATATGTGTGGCATAGAGCAGTAAGCAATATAAACATCATACCCTCCTCATACCTGTTTATAATTTTGTGCCAGGTACTGTAAATGATACAAAACTGGAATTATGTGTGGTTTCTGCTCTGAGAAACTTTATAATTTAGTTAAAGTAATTGGCCTGACTATTATTTGTTGGCCATAAAATCTTGGGCAAGTAACTCACCCTCTGCTGCTGCTTCTTTAAAATGAGGACGCTAGTTCCTGTTTGTTTGTAGGATTGTTATGAAGCTCTTTCAATATAAATGCAAGATTCTCTATAAATTATTTACAATACAAACGCACATTTTTAAAAATTGTTTTGTTTGTGGCCTTCAGAGACATCACTCTGTCAGTTTTGGTAGGATTGGCAGTATGTATAGTATAAAACAACTTCATATAATAAGTGCATTCTAATATGTGCAATGTTAATTTGTATGTGCTCAGAAAATCTGGAAGTATGTATAGTATACAGCTATAGTGGTTATTTCTAAGGCTTAAGATTCAAGGGAGACTTTAACTTCCTGCTTTATATACTTAAACATTGTTTGAATTATTTATGACAAGCAGATCTAATTTTTCTAATAAAGATTTTATATTTTCTGAAAAAATAAATGCCATAAGTTGTAAAAAGTCGTAATGACTCCTTATGGCACCATGAGTTCCTGTAGAATAGTTTGCAAGTTATTGCTTGCATCTGTCCATTCATTACTCATTCAACCAATTTATCCATTGATCCATTCATCCATCCATCTACCTACCCACTCATCCGTTCATTTTTCATTTCAATCCATACCTGTCTTAGTCCATTTTGTGCTGCTGTAACAGAATACCACCGACTGGATAATTTATAAAGAAAAGAAATTTACTTCTCACAGTTTCGAAGGCTGGGAAGTCTAATATCAGGGTGCTGGCATCTGTCAAGGGCTTTCTTCCTACATCATCCCAAGGCAGAAGGTGAGAGGGTAAGAGAGGTCAAGAGAATGAGAGACGGTTGAACTCATCCTTTCATAGCAAACACACTCCAAGAATAATGACATTTATCCATTCATGAGGGCAAAGTCCTCATGGTCTAATTATCTTTTAATAGTCTCACCTTTTAATATTATTAAAATAGCAGTTAAATTTCAAAATGAGTTTTGTGGGGGGACACTCAAACCATAGCAACATCATTTTAGGTATTTTTGATTCACTTGTCTTGAATCATCAAAATTGCTCTACAAGGAGGATGAAGTACGGACAGCTGAAGACAGTGTGGGATGAATTGTTTGTATGATCGTTTTTGTCTAATTTTATTTTATTTTAATTAATTAAGTTATTTATTTATTTTGAGATGGAGTTTTGCTCTCTCACCCAGGCTGGAGTGCAGTGGCACAATCTTGGCTCACTGCAACCTCTGCCTCCCGGGTTCAAGTAATTCGCCTGCCTCGGCCTCCCAAGTAGCTGGGATGATAGGTGCTCACCACCACTCCTGGCTAATTTTTGTATTTTCAGTAGAGATGGGGTTTCACTGTGTTGGCCAGGCTGGTCTTGAACTGCTGACCTCAGGTAGTCCGCCCACCTTGGCCTACCAAAGTGCTGGGATTACAGATGTGAGCCACCATGCCCAGCCTATCTGACCATTTTTGTTAAGAGGTTGTTCTAGTAAGTTATCACTCTGCTATGAAGAACTGCCCAAGACTGGGTAATTTATAAAGGAAAGAGGTTCAATTGACTCACAGCTCTGCTGGGCTGGGGATGCCTCAGGAAACTTACAATCAAGATTGAAGGGAAGCAAACACATCCTTCATATGGCGGCAGGAGAAAGAAGTGCCGAGCAAAGGGGGAAATGCCCCTTTTAAAACCATCAGATCTCGTGAGAACTCATTCACTATTATGAGAACAGCAGGATGGGGGTAACTGTCCCTGATCCAATTGCCTCCAACTGGGTCCCTCCCATGACGTGGGGGTTGTGGGAACTAAAATCCACGATGAGATTTTGGTGGGGACACAAGCAAACCATATCATTCCACCCCTGGTACCTCCCAAATATCATGTTCTCACATTTCAAATCAATTATGCCTTTCCAGCAGTCCCCCAAAGTCTTAACTCATTTCAGCATTTACTCAAAAGTCCACAGTCCAAAGTCTTACCTGAGACAAGGCAAGTTTCTTCTGCTTATGAGCCTGTAAAATCAAAAGCAAGTTAGTTACTTCCTGTATACAATGGGGATACAGATACTGGGTAAATACACCTGTTTCAAAAGGGAGAAATTGGCCAAAACAAAGGGGCTACAGGCCCCGTGCAAGTCTGAAATCCAATAGGGTAGTCATTAAACCTTTAAGTTCTAAAACAATCTCTACTAGGTAGTCCCCCAGTGGGGACTCTGTTTGGGGGCTCCAACCCCACATTTCCCTTTCACACTGCCCTATCAGAGGTTCTCCATGAGGACTCTGCCCCTAGAGCAAACTTCTGCCTGGACATCCAGGCATTTCCATGCATCCTCTGAAATCTAGGCAAAGGTTCCCAAACCTCAATTCTTGTCTTCTGTTGGACCTGCAGGACCAACACCACATGGAAGCCACCAAGGCTTGGGGCTTGCACCCTCTGAAGATATGGCCCGAGCTGTACCTTGGCACCTTTTAGACCAGGGCTGGAGTGGCTGGGATGCAGGGCGCCAAGTTGTGAGGCAGCACGGGGGACCCTGGACCCAGCTCAGGAAACCGTATTTTCCCTCCTAGGTCTCAGGACCTGTGATTGGAGGGGCTGCTGTGAATGTCTCTGACATGCCCTGAAGACATTTTCCCCATTGTCTTGGTGATTAACATTTGGTTCCTTGTGACTTATGTGAATTTCTGCAGTCACTTGATTTCTCCCCAGAAAATGGGTTTTTCTCTTCTACCACATTGTCAGGCTGCAAATATTCTAAACTTTTATGCTCTCTTTCCTCTTGAATGCTTTGCTGCTTAGAAATTTCTTCCACCAGATACCCTAAATCATCTCTCTCACATTCAAAGTTCTACAAATCTCTAGGACAGGAGCAAAATGCTACCAGTCTCTTTGCTAAAGCATAGCAAGAATCACCTTTATTGCAGTTCCCAACAAGTTCCTCATCTCCATCTGAGACACCTCAGCCTGGACTTCATTGTCCATCACTATCAACATTTTGACCAAAGCCATTCAGCAAGTCTCTAGGAAGCTCCAAACTTCCCCATATCTTCCTGTCTTCTGAGCCCTCAAGTCTCTAGGAAGTTGCAGACTTTCCCACATTTTCCTGTCTTCTGGGCCCTCGAAACTGTTCCAACCTCTGCCGGTTACCCAGTTCCAAAGTCGCTTTCACATTTTCGTGTGTCTTTATAGCAGTCCCCCACTCTCTGTGTTACCAATTTACTATATTAGTTCGTGGCAGAAAGGGAAACAAATATGTTCTTCTTCACATGGCAGCAGGAGAAAGAAGTGCCAAGCAAAGGGGGAAAAATACCCTTATAAACCATCAGATCTCATGAGAACTCACTCACTGTCAGAGAAAAGCAGGATGGGGGTAACCATCCCCGTGATTTAATTACCTCCCACCAGGTCCCTCCCATGACACATGGTGTATTAGGGTTGTCTAGAGGGACAGAACTAACAGGATCTCTCTCTCTTTTTTTCTCTCTTTATGTCTCTCTCTCTCTCTCCGTGTATGTGTATGTGTGTGTATATATATATTATATATATATTATATATATATAGAAAGGGGAGTTTATTAAGGAGTGTTAAACTCACATGATCACAAGGCCCCACAATAGGCTGCAAGCTGAGGAGCAAGGAATCCAGTCTGAATCCCAAAGCTGAAGAACTTGAAGTCTGATGTTTGAGGGCAGGAAGCATCCAGCATGAAAGAAAAATGTAGGCTGGGAGGCTAAGCCAGCATATTCTTTTCACGTTCTTCTGCCTGCTTTTATCCTAGCTGCACTGGCAGCTGATTAGATTGCGCCTGCCCAGATTAAGGGTGGGTCTGCCTTTCCCAGCTCACTGACTCAAATGTTAATCTCCTTTGGCAACACCCTCACAGACACACCCAGGATCAATACTTTGCATCCTTCAATCCAATCGAGTTGACATTCAGTATTAACCATCACACATGGGGATTATGGGAACTATAATCCAATATGAGATTTGGGTGGGGACACAGCCAAACCATATCAGAGGTATCAATTATTATTATTACTATTTTCTGAGATGGAGTCTCACTTTGCTGCCCAAGCTGGAGTGCAGTGGCACGATCTTGGCAAACTCCGCCTCCCAGGTTAAAGTGATTCTCCTGCCTCAGCCTCCTGAGTAGCTGGGACTACAGGCATGTGCCAACATGCCCAGCTAATTTTCTTTTTTGTATTTTTAGTAGAGACAGGGTTTCACTATGTTGGTCAGGCTGATCTTGAACTCCTGACCTCAAATGATCCACCCACCTTGGCCTCCCAAAGTGCAAGGATTACAGGTGTGAGCCACCACACCCGGCCATCATCATCACTGTTGACTGAAGTCACATTTTCCTGATTATTAGTGAGAAGGAACTTTTGTTTCCCTTTAGATTTTTGAGGCAATTGTATTTTTTCTCATGTGAATCAAATTATTTTTACTTCTTATATTTTTCAAAGAATTGATTTTGAAGTGTATTTTAAAACATTAAATTCTTATTACTAGTGGATGCCATATTTGGAAATTCACTTATTTGCTAAAATTTGTAATCATAAATGGTTCTTTGTTTTCATGGTTCTTCTCATTCATGGACGTGCACAGAGCAGTGGAAAATTGCACATGTTCCCAGTTGAGTCCCAGTTGAGGTTGAACAAGACAACACTCTGCCTTCTTGTTTCAGTTCTCATACTGTAAACAAGAAACAAGTGTCCTTTTCATATTCTATTTAGTGCCAGTTTTTTAAAAAAAATTTTCTGGTTTTCCTTGGGCATTTCACTGTTTAAAATGGCCTCCAGTGTAGTGCTGAAGTACTTTCTAGTGTTTCTAGAGGCATAAGAAACACTAGTGATGTAGCTTATGGAGAAAATCTATGTGTCAGATAAGCTTCACTGAGGTATGAGTTATATTGTGGAACTCATGGCTGTGAGTTCAATGTTAATAAATCAACAATATATGTTAAATAAGTTGTCTTTAAACAGAAGCATATACAAAACAAGATTTTGTATTGATCAGTTGATAAAAATATTGTGACCAGAGGCTCCAGGAATCTAAACCTGCATTCTCTTAGGAGCAATGATTTAGTATTTACTAACTTGGTGTTCATGGTGGCTTTATTGAATAAAATTACTGTGAAAGCAAGAATTGACTGTATATTCTAGACCAAACAGAATTCTATATTCTAGACTGTATATTCTAGATCAAATATATTTAACAGACTTTGTCTGTTAAAAATATTTTAAAAGTATTTTTCCAGCCTGTTTCTTGGTATTTATCTTTTTTTTGTGGTGTAAAAGTTTTAATTTTTATGAAGTGTTCTATCTGTGTATTTACTTAAAGCTTCTGGATTTTGTATCTTGCTTAGGCTGACCTTGACCAGCCCCACAATTATAAAATATTTTACCTTATTTTCTTCGTATAGTTTTATTTATTTTCAGATTTATAATTTATCTATGGTTCCTTCCTACCCCCAAATTAATGATCAGTTGTCCTAGCATCATTTATCGAATAATCCAGCTTCCTCTATTGATTTTAAATGTTACATTTGCATAATTACCCTACTGAACTTTAAAAAAAATTGTGAAGATACACGTAACATAGAATTTTCCATATTAACTATTTTTAAAGTGTACAGTTCAATAGTGGTAATTGTATTCATGTTATTGTCTAATCAGTCTCCAAAGTTTTTTTATTATGGAAATCTGAAACTCTGTACCCATTAAACAAAACTTTCTATTTATTCCTCCCCCTATCTGTCAATGGCAACCACCATTCTACTTTTTATTTCTAGGAATTTGACTACTCTAGATACCTCAACTAAGTGGAATCATACAATATTTATCTTTTTGTGACTGGCTTATTTCACTTAGCATAATGTTCTCAAGATTCATCTATGTTGTGGCATATGACACGATTTTTCTTTTTAAGGCTGAATAATATTCCATTGTGTGTATATACCATATTTTGTTGATCCATTCATTTGTCAGTGAACACTTAGGTTGCCTCCACCTTTTGGCTGTTGTGAAAAATGCTTCTATAATATGGGTTTGGAAATATCTCTTTGATTCTGTTTTTAATTCTTTTGGATGCATACCAAGCAGTAAAGTTGCTGGATCTTATGGTAATTCTATTTCTAATTTTAAGAGGAACTGCAGTGCTGTTTTCCATAGTGGCTGCATCATTTTAAATTTCCACCAATGATACACAAGGATTCCAATTTCTTCACATCCTAGCCAACACTTACTTAGCTTTTTTGATAGTAGCCATCCTGATGGTTGTGAAGTAACATCTCTTTGTGGTTTTGATTTGCATTTCCCTAATGATTAGTGATGTTGGGCATCTTTTCATGTGCTTGTTGACCATTTGTATATCTTCTCTGGAAAAGTGTCTATTCAAGTCTTTTTTCTATTTTTTAACTGGGTTATTTTGTTGAGTTGTAGGAGTTTCTTATATATTCTGGATATTAATCACTTTATATACGTGATTTAAGAGTATTTTCTCCCATTTCATAGATTGCCTTTTTACTCTGTTGATTGTGTCCCCTTGACGCACAGTTTTAAAGGTTGATGTAGTCCAATTTATCTAATTTTTACTTTTGTTGCTTGTGCTTTTAGTGTTATTATAACCCAGCAATCATTGCCAAATCCAATGTCATAAAGCTTTTCTGCTTTCTTCTAAGAGTTTTACAGTTTTAGATTTTACCTGTTGAGATTTTGATTGGAAGAATAGCAAATTTAGAGATTATTTAGGATAAAATTAGCATTTTACAACATTTAATATTTTACTCAGGGACATGGTATAAATTTCTGTTTTCAAGTCTCTTTTTATGCATTAAATAGATATATTAGCCTATTTTCTGTTGTTTATATCAGAACACTTGAAACTGGGTAATTTATAAAGAAAAGTAATATATTTTTTATAGTTCTGAGGTTGAGAAGTCCAAGGTCAAGGGGCTACATCTGGTGAGAGCCTTCTGAGAACTCTGTAGAGACCCAAGGTGGTGCAGGGCCTCACATGGTGAGGGGGCTGAATGTGCTCTCTCAGGTCTCTCTTCCTCTTCTTATAAAGCCACCAGTCCCACTCCCATGATAGCCCATTAATCCATTAACTCATTCATCTATTAATTGATGAATGTATTAATCCATTCATGAGGGCTCTGTTCTCATGACCCAACACCTCTTAAATGCCTCTTCTCTCAATACTGCCACATTGGAGATTAAATTTCAACATGAGTTTTGAAATGGGAAAATATTCAAACCATAGTATATTGCTTCTGGCCCTCCAAAACTGATGTCCTTCTCACATAAAAATCCATTTCTTCCACATCATAGCCCCAAATTCTTAACTTGTTCCAGCACCAACCCAAATGTCCAAAATTCATAGTCTCATGATATCAAAACAAGCTACCTACATTCAAGATACAGTGGTGTTATACAGGCATATGGTAGACATTTCCATTAGAAAAGGAAGACACAGTGTCTGTTGGCTTCATAAATGTCTTCTTTTGAGAAGTGTCTGTTCATATCCTTCGCCCACTTGTTGATGGGGTTGTTTTTTTCTTGTAAATTTGTTTGAGTTCTTTGTAGATTCTAGATATTAGCCCTTTGTCAGATGAGTAGATTGCAAAATTTTTCTCCCATTCTTTAGGTTGCCTGTTCACTCTGATGGTAGTTTCTTTTGCTGTGCAGAAGCTCTTTAGTTTAATTAGATCCCATTTGTCAATTTTGGCTTTTATTGCCATTGCTTTTGGTGTTTTAGACATGAAGTCCTTGCCCATGCCTATGTCCTGAATGGTATTGCCTAGGTTTTCTTCTAGGATTTTTATGGTTTTAGGTCTAACATTTAAGTCTTTAATCCATCTCGAATTAATTTTTGTATAAGGTGTAAGGAAGGGATCCAGTTTCAGCTTTCTATATATGGCTAGCCAGTTTTCCCAGCACCATTTATTAAATAGGGAATCCTTTCCCCATTTCTTGTTTTTGTCAGGCTTGTCAAAGATCAGATAGTTGTAGATGTGTGGTATTATTTCTGAGGGCTCTGTTCTGTTCCGTTGGTCTGTATCTCTGTTTTGGTACCAGTACCATGCTGTTTTAGTTACTGTAGCCTTGTAGTACAGACACATGCACACGTATGTTTATTGCGGCACTATTCACAATAGCAAAGACTTGGAACCAACCCAAATGTCCAACAATGATAGACTGGATTAAGAAAATGTGGCACATATACACCATGGAATACTATGCAGACATAAAAAATGATGAGTTCATGTCCTTTGTAGGGACATGGATGAAGCTGGAAACCATCATTCTCAGCAAACTATTGCAAGGACAAAAACCAAACATGGCATGTTCTCACTCATAGGTGGAAGTTGAACAATGAGAACACTTGGACACAGGAAGGGGAACATCACACACTGGGGCCTGTGGTGGGGTGGGGGGAGGGGGGAGGGATAGCATTAGGAGATATACCTGATGTAAATGACGAGTTACTGGGTGCAGGACACCAACATGGCACATGTATACATATGTAACAAACCTGCACATTGTGCACATGTACCCTAGAACTTAAAGTATAATTAAAATATATATATATATATATATATATATATATATATATATATAGAAAGAAAAGGAAGACACAGGCCAAAAGAAAGGAGTAACAGGCCCCAAACAAGTCTGAAACCCAAGAGGGCAGACATTAAATCTAAGGGTGAGGAATAATCTCCTTTGACTCCATGACTAGCATTCTGCACAAACTGATGTGGGGGTTAAGTCCCCAAGGCCTTGAAAAACCCTGCCTTTGTGGCTTTCCTGGGCTTAGCTCATGCTTCAGCTCTCCTCGACTAGGATTGCATGCTGGCAGCTGTATAGTTCTGGCATTTTGGTGGTGGTTTTGCTCCTATGGCTCCACTAGGTACTGCCCTATGCAGTGAGGATTCTCTGCAGCAGCTCCAACCCCACATTTCCACTTTTTCTTGCTCTAGCAGGGGCTGTCTGTGGTCACTCCTTTCCTGTAACAAGTCTGTGCCTGAGACCCCAGGCTTTTGATGACATTCTTTGAAATCTGGGTGGAGGCTGCCAAGCCTCCACAGCTCTTGTTTTCTGCAAGCCTACAGAATTAACATTATATGGATGTTGCTATAGTTTATGACTTGTACCATCAGGAACTGTGGCATGATCTGCACCTGGGACCACTTAAGCCATGGCTGGGGCAACCATGGAGCACCATGCAAGGGTGTGGGGAGCAAAGTCACAAGTTGGACCTGGGCAATGAGCACCCCAGGCCTGTCCCGTGAAACCACTCTACTCTCCTCAGCCTTTGAGCCTGTGATGGGAGAGCCTTGAAGATTTCTGAAATGCTTTCTGGGTCTTTCTTCCATTTTCTTGAGGAATAGCACCTGGCTCCCTTTTGTGTGTAGTAATCTCTTTTGCAAGTGGTCACTGGGCTACACCCTTGGTTTCCTCTCCTGAACACATTTTTTCATTCTTTATGTGGTTAGGCTGAGCATTTTCCAAATCTTTCAATTCTCCTTCTCTCTTGATTATAAATTCTTTCTTTAAGTTATTATTTGCTTTCAATTCTCAGTGTAAGCAGCCAAAAGTAACCATGCAGCAACTTTTATGTTTTACTTAGAAATTTCTTCTGCCACATACTCTAGTTCATCACTGTTGATTTTTGCCTTCCCCAAAGCCCTCAGCATTAACATAGTTCAGCCAAGTTCTTTGCCCATTTATGACAAGAATGACCTTTGCTCTGGTTTCCACTCCCTTGTTCCTCAGTTACATTTGAAACCTCATCGAAATGGCCTTTACTGTGCATATTTCTATCAGCACTCTGGTCATGACTACTTAACCAATCTCTAAGGACTTCCAAACTTTCCCTAGTTGTCTTGTCTTCTAAACCCTCACCAGAATCTAGGCTTTTTCTAGCCTGCTCCTCCAAATTCTTCCAGCTTCTGCCCATTATCTAGTTCCAAAGCTGCTTCCACAATTTTAGTTATTCATTATCAGCAACACTCCACTTCTCGGTAACAATTTTCTGTATTAATTCATTTTCTGTTACTTATAACAGAATACCTGAAACTGGGGAATTTATAAAGAAAATAAATTTGTATTTTATGGTTCTGGAGGCTGAGAAGTCCAAGATTGGATAAGTTTGTTCCCTCACTGCTAATAAAGACATACCCGAGACTGGGTAATTTATAAAGGAGAGAGGTTTAATTGACTCATAGTTCCACATGGCTGGGGAGGCCTCACAATCAAGGTGGAGGGCGAATGAGGAGCAAAGTCATGTCTTACATGAGACATGAGGCAAGAGAGCATGTACAGGAGAACTCCCCTTTATAAAGCCATCAGCTCTCTTGAGACTTATTCACTATCATGAGAAAAGCATGGGAAAGACCCGCTCCCATGATTCAATTACCTCCCACTGGGTCCCTCCCATGACACATGGGAATTGTAGGAACTACAATTCAAGATGAGATTTGGGTGGAGAGACAGCCAAACATATCAAAGGTCAAGGGGCCAGAGCTGGTGAGAGCCTTCTTGCTGGTAAGGACGTGCTGTAGAGTCCCAAGGCAACGCGGGGCATCACACAGTGAGTCTTGCTCCTGTTACTCCCCACTAGGAAAGGGAATAAGTGAGAAAATATTTTCTCTTAAAGATCTTCCTTGAGAAAAGTGATTACAACTGAAAGAATAATAATTCCCTTAGATGTGTTTTAAGAGGGCATGCCTGATGCTTTTCTACAGCATCTCTCATAAACATCCTTTTAAATGAGAAAACTCAGTTACAGAGAAGTCAATTAGCTTGTTGTGGTGACACAGTTATGAAGCAGCAGAGGTGAATATACCAACTTATTTCTCTTTGGTCCTAAAGCCCAGAGTCCCCTCTTTTTTTTTCTTTATTATTCAATCATATCTAAGAGAAGGGTATTGTTCACATCTTTAGATGTTTCTTCAGCAAAAATATGGAAATGGGTTGACCAGTCCCCTTCTCCCATGGAAACGGGGATAACTGATTACAACAGAGATATCTGCTAAGTGTCAATGCATCAGTGCTTTATTAGAGAATGAATTAATGAGATTTCAGATTATTTTAGTGCCTTCAGAAATTTCTATTGTAGCTTATTCTGATTTGAATCCTGGCTACCATTAGGAACAAATTCTGTATTTACATATAGAAATATGCTTCATATTTCTATATTTTTCTCTGCTATTTTAGTTGTGTAGGTTATATTTTCATTATTTGTCCTATCTGATATTTCATTGTTCAGCTGCTGAACATCTGTTGCTTTCATTTGTAAGTGCAGTTCAGTTTCAAGAATTAGAAAAATACACCTAGGATTTTTTAAAAAATAGAATTTAGCATGTATTCTAGAACAAGACAGGTAGATCTAAATTTTAACCTTAGTTTTGCAACTTACAAGGTATGTACCTTTTGTCAGTCATATAACCTATTATTTTTTCATTGCTTGTAAAAGAGGGAACTTATACCTACCTTGAAGGGTTGATATAAAAATTAGAGAATGTTTTTAAAGCACATAGCATAATGACAGAACTATAGTAGGCTCTCAGTAAATGGTAGTTATTTATATTTTGCTCCCCTTAAAAAGGTACACCATTTTACCTTTTTAATAAGTTATCCACTCTCTTATTTTAATATCTCCAAGAATGAAAGCATCTTCTATAAAGTCCCAGCTTTAACAAATATAAGCTGTGTGACCTCAGAAATTAATTGGTTTGAGTCTTAATTTCACCATTTGTAAAGTGAGGATAGTAACAGCACTTACATCCTAGAGGTGTAGTGAGGAATAATGACATATACTATTTATATTAAGTGTTTATAATAGTGTTGAGCACACAGTAAATGCTCAATAAGTGTTACTCAATAGTGTAAGTAGTAATAGTAGAGTACCTCCTAGTAATATTACATTCCAAGTCACTTAGTACATTTTTTTCCACAGGAAAAGTTGTTCAAGTTTTTTTCTCGTATGTGAAGATAATTATATTGAAGAATACAATTCAGTATGAATTAACTTTTAACTTAGTTTAATGAGGCTACAGTTTTTCAGCCAACAACCTATGCTAGCTACCTACCAGCCACCTGCCCTTATAAGCTCTTAATAAATACTTGCTGAGTGAATGGATGGTCTATGGCAAAGGTCTGCAACTCTGTAAAAGGTTAGATGGTAACTATTTTGGGTTTTGAGTGCTATATGGCCTCTGTCACATTGCTTAGTTCTGCTATTGTATCATGAGCCATAGATAATATGAAAATGAACGGACATAGCTGTGTTTCAATAAGATCTCATAAAAGCAAGTGGTAGGATGGATTTTTGTTGAAGTTGGCTGACCTCAGGTCTACAAAATAAATAAATTAGAATCCTAATACTGATAATAAGATCCACATTAATATGTACTAATATTTGAATGTCCTACCCATTAAGTATTAAGAGGTGGGACCATTAAGAGGTGATTAGGTTACAAGGGCTCTGCCCTCATGAATGGATTAATGCTATTATTGCAGGAATGGATTCCTGATACAAAGTAAGTTTGGCTCCCTCTGCTCTTGCTCTCTCACCATTGTGATGCTTTCCACCATGGGATAACACAGCAAGAAGGCCCTCACAAGATTGGGACCCCTTGACTTTGGATGTCCCATCCTCCAGAACTGTGAGCCAAATAAATCTCTAATTTTTGAATAAATTACCCAGTCTGAAGTATTCTGTTATACTAATAGCAACACAAAACAGATTAAGGCAATAAGGGTCTATTTGGAAATATTTTCAGATGAGAAAATGTTTTATCCTGTACAGAAAAACGAAAGCTTAGAAAAAAGGCAACAATGCTGTGGACAATAATTTAAAAAGTATTTTTCACATGTAACCAGAATCCAGAGTGTAAGTTTTCAGACTTTTAAGCTCAAAGCTCAAAATTTCACAGAAATTTTTTTTAGATGTTTAACTTAAACACATTTCTTAGAAACAGAAACCAGATTAGGATTGGTGTAGAACCACTCTGGATTTTTAGAAACTAATTTCTAAATGAGACGTGGTCAGGAACTGCCTAATTACCTTTCAGTCAATGAAGTGCTGTGTATATGATGGTGGGCTCATAAGATTATAATGATGTATTTTTACTGCACCTTTCCCCTGTTTAGACATGCAAATGGTTAATACTGTAGACAATCGTCTACAGTATTCAGTGTAGTAACATTCTGTGCAGGTTTGTAGCCTAGGAGCAATAGGCCATACCATAACCTAGGTGTGTAGTAGGCTGTACCATTTAGGTTTGTGTAAGTGTACTCAGTGATGCTGATACAACGATGAAATCACCTAATGCCACATTTCTCAAAATGTATCCTCATCCTTAAATGATACATGACTGTACGTTCTTTGTGGAATGCGAGATGGGTACTTCTTCCTAATGTCAGTGAGCAAGTAGTTGGTGCAAAACTATTAATTTTATAAACTTTAAGGTCCATTTCCTTCCTAAAGTCTTATTTAATCCTCTCCACCAGAAATAACCCCCTTTCTCTTAACATGCAAAGAATTTCTTTTTGATAACTGTGGCTTTCTGCCTTTTATTATAGCTGTTTATATACATGTTTTATCTCTTCTTTTAGATGATAACATTTGTTTCTGACAAATGTTTATGATCTCCAGCACACTCTGCTGTGTGCATTGCATGCCGCAGGCCCTCAGGCTATGTTTGTTGAATTCTGAAGTTTCCTTTGGTGTCATTGTAGGGAGATATGCTGGAATAGTGTAAAAAGCATCTTTGCTTTTTGGCAAATGTGAGTTGTTTGGCAGTCTGGGTACTAATTCTGACTGTATCACTTATTAACAATATGCTCAATTTCTCTGAATCGCCCTCCATTTCCCCATCTGTAAAATGAGGATAATTCCAATACTACATTGCTTTGTGAGGATTAAATGAACTGATAATTGTCAAGTGCCTAACAGAAAACCTGGCACATAATAAACATTAGCCTTTATTATAGCTAAAGGATGCATTCAATTTCTCTTTTTGTTTTAATTACTACTCTATCATGTAAATGTTCTAATAATGACTAATAACCCATTAATAAGTAAACATAAAAAGGTAAAGAACATCTCAATTGTGTATTAATAAAATGTTATGTTGTTTTCTGCATATGTCAATAAATAGTTCTATTTTATAGTTGCTATAGCAGCAAAAATATAGCTATATTTATTTCAAATCAACTTCAAGGAGTCCTATTTCTTGCTTTGAGTCTGTGGCCAAACTGAAATTTTGTTTTACTTATCAGGCGCTAACATTCTGAAAGCATGTAAAATTATCAGGGATTATAAGGGAATTTGTGAGAGAAAAGGGAAAGTGGTGTCTATTATTTTATTATATCCTTTGAATGGCCAGTGCATATTTTATAATAGAAGGGAGAAACAATCATAGAAAGATGAAAGACATCACCAACCTTGTTCTTTATTTCTGGTGTGTTTATGTGCCTTCGGATCATAATACACCTGACCTCTCTGATTGACCCTGCGGTCTAGTGCTGCTCAGGCCCTGTCCATGGTCTTCTTTCTCATATGCCTCTTTCCTGATATCTTGCTCCTTACCAAACCCTAGATTCCCAGGATGGTTTTCCATTCGCCCCAATGTATGCCAGTCAGGCCCTGTGGCCTCCTCATGGCTAGCAGCTTGACCTATTATAAAGGTGGGTAAAGAATTGCTTTGTTGAGTGTGAGGTAAAAGATTGGGGTGGTCATGAAGAAGATGGAATATGGTCTCAGGGAGAGAACAAGTAAAGATGGAGAGGAAAGAACAGGTAAGCAATGATTAGAGGGAAATGCTCTGATAGATGGGGAAAGAAAAAAGAAAGTGAAAGGATGTGGGCTGCATTTGTAATCCTTGGTTGCAAGTGATATATCGATTTTTCAAACATGTAGTGATGATGCAAAGAACAAGGAGGGAACTTGAGCAATTTGTCATTGTCACCTGGAAGTGGAGAATAAATTACAGCATGTTAAATACCTTTGATGTACCATTTTTCATGGCAATGGTGGACCGCTGGCTACTTAAAATATATTGAAAAGGTGATATTTTAGGGGCTGGTTGTTTTGTGATAATTAAATTTGTAATTTGCTCTTAAATGGTTTTGTATTTTTGCAACATATATTTAGCCCAGAAAACTAAAAACTATATGTTTTAGTTCTTCATGTAACCTGTTTTTCTCAGGTTAGAGCATTTCATTTTGATATAGAAGAAAACAGATCACCATATAGTCAATATAGCAGTCTCATACACCTCATAGAAAGATTTAGGTATCTTTTAGTTGATGATCACAGATGCCCTAGTTTCAGCCATTCCTTGGGGGGCTATCTAAGAAGATGCCTGATGTGTGGCAGACCAAAGCATAGAACCAAGTGCCCATGTTCCACAAGGAGACTTTCTGGACTAATCCTATTATACCTCAGCCACCACTAGAAACCAATTCTCTACTATCATTACCCTTTTATTACTCTCATTGGACTCAATTTCCATTTCTTTTCTTACTACTCTCTGTGATAAGCAAAACCTCTATATTCTCATCCTCTCCTGTGAACGTTTTCTTTACTTCTTGACTTTTTCCAGAAGTATTTATATTTATTTGCATATATTAAGTTACACCAGCTGCATTGTTATCATGAAGTTGGTAAGACTGGAAATCAGCTATGTATGTTTTTAAAGAGAATCCTAAAACCAACATTTGTATCATGGACAACTACTATTCTTATCACTGTCTTTCTTCAGTTGCTATTCCTTTAATGTTTATTTATTGTTCTCTTGCTATGTATCAGACACTGTTTTAAGTAAGAAGGATGCAGTGATATAAATTTTGCATTCTAGGAGTGGAGACAAACAATGGCAAGTAAAGAAATAAGCAAGGAGACTTGATAATGATAGGTGCTATGTACAGTTTTTTTAAAATTTCTATTTTTATTTTAGAGTCGGGGTACATGTGCAGATTTGCTACAAGAATATATTGTGTGAAATTGAGGTTTGGGATATGATTGATCCTATCACCCATATAGTAAACATAGCAACCAGTAGGAAGTTTTTCAGCCTTTACCCACCTCTCTCCTTCCCTCCCCAGTGTCTGCTGTTCCCATGTTTTTGTTCATGTGTACCCAAGATTTAACTCCCGCTTTATGAGAAGAGGTGACATTTGGTTTTCTGTTTCTGCATTAATTTGCTTAGAATAATGACTTCCAGCTGCATCCATGTTTCTGCAAAGGACATGATTTTATTCTTTTTTTTATGGCTGCATAGTATCCCATGGTATATATGTATCACATTTTATTTATCAAATTTACCATTGATAGGCACCTGGGTTGATTCCATGTTTTCAGTGTTGTGAATAGTGCTGTGATAAACATATGAGCGCAGGTTTCTTTTTGGTCGAGCAATTTATTTTCCTTTTGGTATATACCCAATAATGGGATTGCTGGGTTGAATGGTAGCTCTATTTTTAGTTCTTTGAGAACTCTCCCAACTGTTTCCCACAGTGGCAGAAGTAGTTTACATTCATACAGTGTATAAGCATTCCCTTTATTCCTCAGCCTCATCAACTTCTGCTATTTTTTGACTTTCTAACAATAGCCATTCTGACTGGTATGAGTTAGTATTTTATTGTGGTTTTGATTTGCATTTCTCTGATGATTAGTGATGTTGAGCATTTTTGTTTTCATGTTTGTTGGCTACTTGTATGCATTCCTTTGAGAAGTGTCTTTTCATCTCCTTTGCCCACTTTTTAATGGGGTTATTTGCTTTTTGCTTGTTGATTTAAGTTCCTTATAGATTCTAGATATTAGTCCTTTGTCAGAGGCATAGTTTGTGAATATTTTCTCCCATTTTGTAGGTTGTCTGTTCGCTCTGTTGATAGTTTTCTTTTGCCCTGCAGAAGCTCTTTAATTAGGTCTCAATTGTCAACTTTTGTTTTTGTTGCAATTGCTTTTGAGGATATTGCCATAAACTCTTTGTCAAGGCTGATGTCTAAAAAGTAGTTTCCCAGCTTTTCTTCTAGGATTTTGACAATTAGAGGTCTTACGTTTAAGTCTTTAATCCATTTTGGGTTAATTTGTTTTATGGTGAAAAGTAGGGTTCCAGTTTTAATCTTTTGCACATGGCTAGCCAATTTTTCCAGCACCATTTATTGAATAAGAGGAGCTTTCACCCTTGCTTATTTTTGTTGATTTGTCAAGAATCAGATGACTGTAGATGTGTGGCTTTATTTCAGGGTTCTGTATTCTGTTCCCTTGGTTTATATGTCTATTTTTGTAAGAGTACCATGCTGTTTTGGTTACTATAGCCTTATAGCATAGTTCAACGTTGGGTAATAAGATGTATCCAACTTTGTTCTTTTTTCTTAGGATTGCTTTGGCTATTCAGCCTCATTTTTGGTTCCATGTGAATTTTAGAGTAGTTTTTTTCTAGTTCTGTGAAAAATAATGTTGGTAGTTTGGTAGAAATCACGTTGAAAATGTAGATTGCTTTGGGCAGTATGGACATTTTAATGATATTGATTCTTCCAATCCATGAGCGTGGAATGTTTTTCCATTTGTTTGTGTCATCTATGATTTCTTTAGGCAGTGTTTTATAGTTTTCCTAATAGAGATCTTTCACCTCCTTGGTTAGATGTATTCCTAGGTATTTTATTTTTTGGTGACCATTGTAAAAGGGGTTTCATTCTTGATATGGCTCTCAGATAAGAGCCAAATGTTATTGGTTTATAGAAATGCTAGTAAGTTTTATATGTTAATTTCATATTCTGAAACTTTGTCAGCCGTTTATCAGTTCCATGAGCCTATTGGCAGAGTCTTTAGGGTATTCTAGGTATAGGATCATATCGTCAGTAAGAAGAGAGTTTGACTTCTTTTCCTATTTGGGTGCCCTTTGTATCTTTCTCTTGCCTGATTTCTCTGGCTAGGTCATCCAGTACTATGTTGAATAGGGGTGGTGAGAGTGACCATTATTGTATGATTCCAGTTCTCAAGGAAAATGCTTCAATTTTTTCCCTGTTCAGAATGATGTTAGCTGTGGGTTTGTTATAGATGACTCATTATTTTAAGGTAGCTTCCTTTGATGCCTAGTTTTTTGATGGATTTTTTTTTAATCATGAAGAGATGTTAGATTTTATTGAATGCTTTTTCTGCATCTATTGAGATGACCATATGGTTTTTGTCTTTAATTCTGTTTGTGTGGTGAATTACAATTATTGATTTATATATATTGAGCCAACTTTGCATCCCAGGAATGAAGTCTGTGTGATCATGGTAAAATGCTTTTTGATGTGCAGGTGAATTCAGTTTGCTAGTATTTTGTTGAGCATTTTTACATCTATGTTTGGCAAGGATATTGGCCTGTAGTTTTTACTTTTATGTTATTGTTGTGTCTTTGACAGGTTTTGGTATCATGGTGATACTGGTTTCATAGAAAGAGATAGGCAGCAGTGTTCCTTTTTGAGTTTTTGGAATAGTTTCAGTAGAATTGGTACTGGCTCTTCCTTGCATGTCTGGTAGAATTTAGGTGTGAATCCACCTGGTCCAGGGCTTTTTTGGTGGGTAAGTTTTTTCTTACTGATTCAGTTTTGGAACTTCATATTGTTCTGTTTAGGGTTTCAGTTTCTTCCTGATTCAATTTTGGGAGGTTGTGTGTTTCTAGGAATTTGTCAGTTTCCTCTAGATTTTCTAGTTTATGTGCATACACCTGTATGCACATAACTGTTCATAACAGTCTCTGAGGATCTTTTGTATTTCTGTGGGATCAGTTGTATGTCACCTTTGTCATTTCTCATTGTGTTCTTCTCTTTGTTTTTGTTAATCTGTTTAGCAGTATATTGATTTTTTTATCCTTTATCCTTTACAAAAACAATTTTTGGTTTCATTGATTATTTTTATGACTTTTGGGGTCTCACTTTTATTTCATTCTGTTCTGATTTTAGTTATTTCTTGTTTTCTGCTACCTTTGAGGTTAGCTTGTTCTTGTTTTGTAGTTCCTCTTGGTGTGATATTACATTGTTAATTTGAGATCTTTTTAACTTTTTGAAGTAGGCAATTAGTGCTATAAACTTTCCTACTAACAGTGCTTTTGCTGCATCCCAGAGATTTTGGTATGTTGTGTCTGTTTTTATTTCAGGAAAATTTTTTGATTTCTGCTTTTTGTTATTTACCCAAAAGTAATTCAGCAGAAAGTTATTTAATTTTCATGTAATTGTGTGGTTTTAAGAGATCATTATAATAATTTTTATTTTTGTTCCACTCTGGTCCATGGGTATGGTTGGTATGATTTCAAATTTTTGTTTTTATTGATATTTGCCTTCTGGTCAAGCATGTGGTTGATCTTGGAGTAAGTTCCATGTGTAGACAGGTAGAATGTATATTCTGTGGTTCATGGGTGGAGTATTCTTTAGAAGCATATTAGATCCAATTAGTCAAGTGTCAAATTGAAGTCCAGAATTTCTTTGTTTTCTGCCTCAATGATCTGTCTAATGCTGTCAGTGGGATATTGAAGTCCTCCACTATTTTCATTGTGTGGCTGTCTAAGTCTTTTTGTAGCTCTAGAAATACTTGTTTTATGAATCCAGATGCTTCAATGTTGGGTGTGTATATATCTAGGATAGTTAAGTCTTCTCATGAATTGAACCCTTTATCACTATGTAATGCCCTTCTTTCTCCTTTTCTACTGTTGTTGGTTTAAAGTCTTTTTTATTTGATATAAAGACAGTGACCCTTGCTCTTTTTCATTTTCTGTTTGCATGGTAGATCTTTCTCTAACCCTTTACCTTGAGCTTATGGGTGGTGTTATGTGTAAGATGTCTCTCTTGAAGATAGCAGACAGATGGGTCTTGTTTTTTTTTTTTTTTTCCAATTTGCCTCTCTGTGATTTTAAGTGGGGGGTATTTAGACAATATATATTCAATACTAATATTGGTATGTGAGGTTTGGATCTTATTGTGAAATAATTAGCTGGTTGCTTTGTAGTTTCTATTGTGTGCTTGCTTTTTAGGGTCTAAAGGCTATGTACCTTAGTGTGCTTTTGTGGTAGCAGGTATTGTTCTTTCATTTCCATGTTTAGAACTTCCTTAAGGATGTCTTGTAAGGTTGGTCTAGTGGTAATAAATTCCATTAGTGCTTGCTTGTCTGGAAGAGGTTTTATTTCTTTTTTGCTTATGAAGCTTAGTATGGCAGGATATTAAATTCTTGGTTGGAATTTCTTTTCTTTAAGAATGTTGAAAATAGGCCTGTATCTCTACTGGCTTGTAAGGTTTCAACTGAAATGTCTATGTTAGCTTGATGGGGTTCCCTTTGTATGTGATCTGACTATTTGCCTTTAAGATTTTTTCTTTAGTGTTGACTTTGGACAGGCTGGTGACTATATGCCTTGATGATGTTCATTTTGTATAGTATCTTGCAGGTGTTCTCTGGGTTTCTTCTATCCAGATGTCTACCTCTCTAGCAAGATTAGGGTAATTTTCTTGAGTTATTCCCTTAAATATGTTTTCACATTGTTTACTTTTTCTCTTTCTCTCTCATCAATGCCAATAATTCATGGGTTTGGTCACTTTACATAATCTTATCTTTCTTGAAGACTTTGTTCATTTTTTAAAATTCTCTTTTCTTTGTTTTTGTCTAACTGGGTTAGTGCAAAAGACCAGTCTTCAGGCTCTGAAATTCTTTCTTCAGCTTGGTCGAGTCAATTGGTGAAGCTTTCAATTGTATTTTGAAATTTTCTCTTGAAAGTATTTCAATTCCTTTCAATTTCAAATTTCTCAATTCCAAATGCTCTGATTGATTTCTTTTAAAGATGTTTATCTATTCCTCCATTTTTTGGATTGCTTTAGAAGTTTATTTGTGTTGATTTTCAACTTTGTTTTGGATTTTGTTGAGCTTCTTTGCAATCAATGCTTTAAATTCTTTATCTGTCACTTTTGAGTTTCCATTTTGGCTAGGGACCATTGCTGGAGAGCTAGTGTGATCCTTTGGTGGTGTCACTACATTCAGATTTTTCATGGTGCCAGAATCTTTCTCATCTGGAGATGCTGGCACTTCAAATTTTTGTAATTATTCTCATGCATCTAGGATTTTCTCTTCTTTTTTTCTCTGTAATATTATTTTCAAAATGTCCTTTTCCCTTTCCCATCTCCCTAAGGGGTGTGACTGTAGAGAATACTGGGTAGGGTGTTTTGGCTTTGCTTCTACAGCCCTGTGCTCTTCTGTTGGCAGGGTTTATATTGGGCTGTGCAGTTCAACCTACAAGCCAGTAGATGGCGCTTATAGGTAACAGCCAGCTGAGGCCACCGTAGCTGGGTGTATACTTGATCCCTGTTTACTGGGAGAAGCTCTCTTTTGTCTTAGGCAATGGGTGAATGTGTGGAGTGCACAGTGGTCTGAGCTCCCTCCTCAGCTCTAGAGGGGTAAGATAGATGGTACTGGAACAGGCAGGTCTGCCAACAGGTCCTCCAATGGCAGGCACAGGTACCAGTGCCAAGCAAGAATCCAGTGGGTGGCCTCCAAGCACCCAGAAATGGGCCTAGGTGTGGAGTTGGGAAACCTCCTCAGCCCCAAGTTCTCTGCAGGGGGATGAGGGCAGCCTAAACTCCTAATCTAGGAGAATAGGTTCTCAGAATGCCTAGAAATCTGCCTGGGCATGAAGCAGAGGGCCTCCTGCACCAGGATCTGTGCACAGGAAGCACAGAACATGTCAGTCTGCTGATCTCGGTGAGCAGGTATCCTTTATGTCTGGAGACCTGCCTGGACGTGAGTAGAGAGAGCCGTGCTGCACCACAATCTATGCCCAGGAAGGGTGGGAAGGTTCAGGCTGCTGAACCAGGTGAATGCCTGGAGATCTGCCTGGGTGTGAAGCAGAGAGAGCCTCCTGTACCCAGATCTATGCGCAGGAAGACTAGGGTGTCTCAGGCTGCTGTTTCATGTGAATCGGTGCTCTAAATGCCTGGAGGTCTGGCCACATTAGGAATAGAGAGGGCCCCACTGTATCTAAGTCTATGCACAGGAAGGGTAGGGTGGCTCAGGCTGCTGATTCAGGTGAGTGAGGGGGTGCTCTGAATACCTGGAAATCTGCCTGGGCATGGTGTGGAGAGGGTCCTGATGCATCATGATCTATACTCATGAAGGGTGGGGTGGCTCAGGCTGTGGGTCCATGTGAGGGTGTGCTCTGAATGCCTGAATTTCTGCCTGGGTATGAGGCAGAGAGGGTCCTGCTGCACCATGAACTCAGGGGAGCAGGCTGGAGCACCCAACAATGGCACACACACAGCAGGTCACCAAGCCAGCCCTGTCTGCAAGTATCATCACCCAGGAGAAACTGCAGCTGTAGCAGCTCTCCTTCTACCACAGGGTTGTGACAGGGTAGAGTACAATTCCAGTGCCGACTACTGAGGTGCTTTTCACAGCTCTGGTTATGGAGATTCCTAGCCTGTTCCAGAGCAGCCATTCCAATCTCCGGCCTGAGACTAAAATGCCTGCATGGCTATGCTGCTGAGTCACAAAGAAAAGCTTGACTTAGTATGCACTCGAATTAAAAACAGAATCCTGCTCTCAGTCCTGGGTCTGGGAAAATGTCTGCAGTATTTCCTGGTGTCTTGCGCTCACAATGTCTCTAAGCCCCTTCCCAAGTTATTTCCAAGGCTTGGGAGAAACAAAGTGCTCTTTCTCAGTTGGGGTTGCTCCAATCCTCAGTGGAAAGATGAGTTACAGTGGGAAGTTCTCTGCCTCTCTCACATACTGGGGCTTCACTCATTTTTGTCAGCCAGATGCTGTCATGGAAGCTGTTGGCCAGCATTCTCCTCCCAGGGATCTTGGGTGTCCTTCACGAATGCTGAGGATTCCCATTTTCCTTCTTGAATTAAAGTCCCCAGAGTTGATTTTTATGCACTATTTTTATGCTACTTCCAAGTTACTGAGGCGTGCTAAAAGCCTCTAATCAACCCTGTTGGGGAAAAAACGCAGTATAGAGATTTTAAGATGTTGATTCTTTCAATCCATGAACATGGAATGGTTTTCCATTTGGTTATGTCATCTATAATTTCTTTCAGCAGTGTTTTGTCCTTATACATACAAAAGCTTTTAAAGGTGATGGAAACAGTGCTGGGGAAAAGAAATGGATGACAGACTAGACTGTGTAGTAAATGGAGGCCTCCCTGGGAAGGTGATGTTTGAGTTGATACCTAATGACAGGAAGGGGTCAGCCATCAGAAAATCTCTATTAGGCAGAAAGAAGCACAAATGAAGCCAAAGGAGCTGCCCTAGAGTGAGTTATGGAAAGCATTAGGGATTGAGGTCAAAGAGGTGGTTAGGAGCTAAATTGTATTGGACTTTGTACATCTAGGTAAAGAGTTCTGACTTATTTCAATTCAAAAGAGAGGCTATTGGAGGATTTTAAACAAATATTGATGTGATTTAATTTACATTAAAAATCACTCAGTATATGCCTACCTGATTGTATTAAGTGTGTATCTATGTTTATGTATATTTGTTTTGCTTTGTTTTGTTTTTTTTTTTAAATCTTACTTTAAGTTCTGGGATACATGTGCAGAAAGTGCAGGTTTGTTTCATAGGTAGACATGTGCCATGGTGGTTTGCTGCACCTATCAACCCATCATCTAGGTTTTAAGCCCTGCATGCATTAGGTATTTGTCCTCATGCTCTCCCTCCCTTTTTCCCCCAACCCCTGAAAGGCCCCAGTGTGTGATGTTCCCCTCCCCAGGTCCATGTGTTCTCATTGTTCAACTCCCATTTATGAGTGAGAACATGTGTGGTGTTTGGTTTTCTGTTCCTGTGTTAGTTTGCTGAGAATGATGGTTTCCAGCTTCATCCATGTCCCTGCAAAGGACAAGAACTCATTTTTTTATGGCTGCATAGTATTCCATGGTGTATATGTGCCACATTTTCTTTATCCAGTCTATCATTGATGGGCATTTGGGTTGGTTCCAAGTCTTTGCTATTGTAAATAGTGCTACAATAAACATCCATGTGTGTCGTCATAGTGGAATGATTTATAATACTTTAGGTATATGCCTGGTAATGGGATTGCTGGCTCAAATGGTATTTCTGGTTTTATATCATTGAGGAATTGCTGCACTGTCTTCCACAATGGTTGAACTAATTTACACTCCCACCAATGGTGTAAAAGTGTACCTATTTCTCCACATCCTCACCCATATCTGTTATTTCCTGACTTTTTAATGATTGCCATTCTAACTGTCATGAGGTGGTATCTCATTGTAGTTTTGATTTGCATTTCTCTAATGACCAGTGATGATGAGCTTTCTCTCATGTGTTTTTTGGCCACATAAATGTCTTCTTTTGAGAAGTATCTTTTCCTATCCTTTACCCACTTTTTGATGGGGTTGTTTGTTTTTTTTTCTTGTAAATTTGTTTAAGTTCTTGTAGATTCTGGATATTAGCCCTTGTCAGATGGATAGATTGCAAAAATTTTCTCTCATTCTGTAGGTTGCCTGTTCACTCCGATGATAGCTTCTTTTGCTGTGCAGAAGCTCTTTAGTTTAATTAGATCCTATTTGTCAATTTTGGCTTTTGTTGCCATTGGTTCTGGTGTTTTAGTCATGAAGTCTTTGCCCATGTCTATGTCCTGAATGGTATTGACTAAGTTTTCTTCTAGGGTTTTTATGGTTTTAGGTTTTACATTTAAGTCTTTAATCCATCTTGAGTTAATTTTTGTATAAGATGTAAGAAAGGGGTTCAGTTTCAGTTTTCTGCCTATGGCTAGCCAGTTTTCCCAGCACCATTTATTGAATAGAAAATCCTTTCCCCATTGCTTGTTTTTTTCAGGCTTGTTGAAGATCAGGTGGTTGTAGATGTGTGGCGTTATTTCTGAGGCCTCTGTTCTGTTCCATTGGTCTGTATATCTGGTTTGGTACGAGTACCCTGCTGTTTTGGTTACTGTAGCCTTGTAGTATAGTTTGAAGTCAGGTAGCGTGATGCCTCCAGCTTTGTTCTTTTTGCTTAGGATTGTCCTGGCTACGCAGGCTCTTTTGTGGTTCCATATGAAATTTAAAGTAGTTTTTTCTAATTCTGTGAAGAAATTCAATGGTAGCTTGATGGGAATAGCATTGACTCTATAAATTACTTTGGGCAGTATGGCTATTTTCACGATATTGATTCTTCCTATCCATGAGCATGGAACGTTTTTCCATTTGTTTGTGTCCTCTCTGATTTCCTTTAGCAGTGGTTTTTAGTTCTCCTTGAAAAGGTCCTTCACATCCCTTGTAAGTTGTATTCCTAGACATTTTATTCTCTTTGTGGCAGTTGTGAATCGGAGTTCACTCATGATTTGGCTCTCTGCTTGTCTATTATTGGTGTATAGGAATGCTTGTGATTTTTGCACATTGATTTTGTACCCTGAGACTTTGCTGAAGTTGCTTATCAGCTTAAGTTTTTGGGCTGAGATGATAGGGTTTTCTAAATATAGAATCATGTCATCTGCAAACGGAGACAATTTGACTTCCTGTCTTCCTATTTGAATACCCTTTATTTCTTTCTCTTGCCTGATTGCCCTGGCCAGAACTTCCAATACTGTGTTGCATAGGAGTGGTGAGAAAGGGAATCCTTATCTTATGCTGGTTTTCAAAGGGAATGCTTCCAGCTTTTGCCTATTCAGTATGATATTGGCTATGGGTTTGTCATAAATAGCTCTTATTATTTTGAGATATGTTACATCAATACTTAGTTTACTGGGAGTTTTTAGCATGAAGGGGTGTTGAATTTTATTGAAGTCCTTTTCTGCATCTATTGAGATAATCATGTGGTTTTTGTCATTGGTTCTGTTTATGTGATGGATTTGTAAAGACAGACTCCCAAACCAGAACATTACATTGTCAGGGAGGTTTGTTTAGCTACAGGGCTAGATTCAGAGAAATTTCAGTACTTTGGAAGAAAGTGATATTTTGTTGCCTGATGTGTAAGTATTCTGCAAAGTAAATGTTCATTTTTTTTAACTATTGAATGTGCCATGTGATTATTCAAAGAAGTTGAAAAATGAGGAGAAATATAAGAAAGGACAACAAGTCATATTATCCCAACAAAATTATGTTGATGATTTTTTCTTGATTTTTTTCTATGCATGAGTTTATGTGTGTGTATCTGTCTGTCTGTCTGTCTGTCTGTCTGTCTGTGTAATCTATCTGCCTACCTACCTACCTACCTAATGTCATCTGTGTAAACACTTTGGAATTCTGCTTTTGCAGTTAACAAGCATTTTTCAAAATTTCCCATAGTTTTTATAAACACTATTTTCATGATACAATATATCAGTAATGGATGGAATCATTGCGTAAGAAGTAATTTTCAAGGTGGGGGTGCAAGTTCTCCCCTTTCATTGGAGATCCTTGAGATTTCTTGAGATTCATTTCATTCTAGACTGGAAAAACCTTAAACTAAAGCAACTTTTTTTTTTTCCTGAGGAAGAATTAATTAAGAGAACCGAAAGGAATATTTTCACTCTCTTTGAATTATGAAAATCCTAGAAATATTACTACTGATTTGAGATGGGAAGAATAATGAAATAATGAGAAATGGATGAAATGAGTGAAAAGCATGAACAGAGTCACTGAAAGATTTGGTTCAGTATAAACATACACAATAGAGAGATCCAACAGTAGAGATCACATAAATATACTACATGTAAAAAAAACCATTTTCAATAAAATTGTTGGTGCATTTGTATAGGAACAGTCATGTGAAAGTAGAAAGGAAGTGGAAATCCTCTACTGAGAATTCTTTTTTTTTTTCTTTGCTGTTAGTACATGGAAAATCCAGGACCTACATTAACTCCTATGTGTGGGCTTGATTTTCCCTCCCCTCCCCTCCCCTTCCCTCCCCTCCCCTCCTCTTCCCTTCCTTTTCTTTTCTTTTTGACACAGAGTCTCACTCTGTCACCCAGGCTGGATTGCAGTGGTGTGATCTCAACTCACTGCAACCTCCGCCTCCTGCATTCAAGTGATTCTCATGTCTCAGTCTCCTAAGTAGCTGGGACTACAGGCATGCACCACCACGCCAGGCTAATTTTTGTATTTTTGGTAGAGACGGGGTTTTGCCATATTGGCCAGGCTGGTCTCGAACTCTCAGCCTCAGGTGATCTGCCCACCTTGGACTCCCAAAGTGCTGGGATTACAGTTGTGAGCCACCATGCCCAGCCTCTATGGATTTTCAAGTATGCTGTTTTGCCTCGAAAGCAGAAAGGAAAGATAATCTGAGAGACGTTGTGAAGAAAAATAAATGAATGAATGTTGGGTTCCAGTGACTGGTTAATATGCAAGGTGAAAAAAAAAATTAGGAATCAAAGAATCATTTAAATCTGGGATATTTAGAAAACTTTGAAAATAAAGTTGACTTTTTGGAATAGGATAGGGTAAATTTAATTTGGAGTATGTTGAGTTTCAGGCATTGGCAGGACTTTTTTTTTTCCATGCATATATTTTGACTTTATTTTTAAGTTTAGGGGTGCATGTACAGGATGTGCAGGTTTGTTACATAAGTAAACGTGTGTCATGGGAGTTTGTTGTACAGATTATTTCATCACCAAAGTATTAAGCCTAGTATCCATTAGTTATTTTCTGATCCTCTCCCTCCTCCTACCCTCTACCCCCTGATAAGCCCCAGTGTGCGTTGTTCTCCTCTATGTGTCCATGTATTCTCATCATTTAGCTGCCACTTATAAGTGAGAACAGACAATACTTAGTTTTCTGTTCCTGCATCCATTTTCTAAGGATAATGGCCTCCACCTCCATCCATGTCCCTGAAAAGGACATGATCTCATTCTTTTTTTATGGCTGCATGGTATTCTGTGTTGTATATGTACCACATTTTCTTTATCCATTGTATCATTGATGGGCATTTGGGTTGATTCCAAGTTTTTGCTATTATGAATAGTGCTGCAGTGAACATATGTGTGCATGTATTTTATAATGGAACAATTTATATTCTTTGGATATATACCCAGCAATGGGATTGCTGGGTTGAATGATATTTCTGACTTTAGGTCTTTGAGAAATCATCACACTGTCTTCCACAATGGCTGAACTAATTTACACTGCTACTAACAGCGTTGGTATAAGCATTTCTTTTTCTCCACAACCTTGCCAGCGTCTGTTATTTTTTTGACTTTTGAATAATAGTCGAAAATGCCTTCTTTACTCAACAATAGAAATTACTTGAAGATTAGCCTCACTGAGGTGGAAATGGCTAACTTTACTTAGGAAAGATTGGTGGTAATGCTACAAAGAGGTTTCTCCCAGTTCAAGGATGCTATGCTGTGCCACAGATATTTGAATTAAGCATAGGACACATCCCAAGGGCATTCCCATTGGCTCAGGGTTATCACTAGACAGCTTGCTAACTCATTACTTGAAGGCCTTCCTTGCTGTCTTTTGTAGCTCCCTCATTGGGTGAGCTGGATCCTGAGATATCTCTTTGTCCTGTATGCTTTACTACCCATAGCTGCTTACTCAAGAAAGGCTAGAGAAGTAGAAACTAAACAGTTTTTTTAACTTACGCAATGCAAAGAATAATGTTTTAATGTTTCAGGTGGAACACAGCTGGTTTTTATTATATTGGAGATTTACTGATAAATTCAAGGATGTAGCCACAAGCCATGCAAACTTGTAAATGAAAGAGAAAAACATTTTACAGTTGATTTTATCCTAAAAATAAAGTTAAATAAGCATAATGAAATGAGGTAATGCAAGAAAGAACCTCTCATGGTGCTTGGCATTTAGTAAGGCTCAGACATTGCGGATTTTGGAGCTGGACTTTGAGGATTCGAATCCAACCTATGTGTTGTTTCTTACTAGCTGTGTGACCTTTGGCAAGTTACTTAAACTCTCTGCATCTCAGTTTCAATAGATGTTAAGTGGAGATAATAGTAGTACTATTTCATGGAGATGTTATGATAATGAAATGAGTGATTATATAGAAAGTGCTTAGAACTGTGCCTGGTACACAGTGAGCATTAGATGTGTTAGCCATTATTTTGTGGTGGTGGTTGTTATTGAAGACATCATAGATCACTTTTGTGTGACACTATGTCAAATAAAAACTTACAATAAATCTTTTATCTTCTTTCAGATGACCATTAATCTTTGGGATATGTATTTTGCTCAATCAGCTCTGTGTCTCTGAACCCGTACATGTCATGACTTTGCATTGCTTGGGGCTTAAGAAAGGTTGCTGTGGTACTTCAGATCACATTCCCTCAAATGCAGCTAAATACTGCTGCTATTTTTTAACTGACAATTTTGCTCTAATCATCATATTTAAGTGAATATTGTGAATCCTGGATGTATAATATATTCTGGGCACTGAATACATTGGTTTAGATATTCAGGACATTTACGTGAGAACTTCTCATATGTGAAAAATGAAGTTACTGATGACAGGAATAATGGAGGAGTTATAAAATGAATTTCTTGTAGAATTCCACAGATTGATATTTCACTAATTTTGCTTTAAATAAAATATTCCTGGAATGTACATTAGGTATGACGCATAGCTCCTCCAATCATGAAAATCTTCCTTCTGAATTCATTCCTCATGCCTTACCTCATTAAGGATTCTGCCTCGAATGCCTGCATAAAAGCTCTATTATTTCTAAAAAATCTCAAATGGGCATTAAAAATAATTTCACTGAAGCTGCTACAACACAATTTAAGTCTTCACATAAGATGGAGATGTCTTAAACCTAGTCTCAGGGGAGGCTGGCTGAAACGCCCCGAAGCCCTGTCTCATTTATCACAGAGGCCTCAGGTTATTTGCTATCAGATTCAGTGTTTTTAATTTTATAAACAGGGAGGCACTTACAGAAAGTTATCCAGGGTGATAGATAAGCTTTGGATATGCTCAAAATGTATATTATTGTGTGCTTAAACAAACAAACAAACAAACATGTATTTGAGGCTGGATGGGGAAATTTTAAATTACAAAGTGATGATTAGGTTAAATGCCTGGCATGTAAAGAATGAGTCATGGAAGAAACGTGGAATTGGGAGATTGGGTTCATTTGGCTCTGTCTAGAGTATCTGAACTAGATAGCTATTTAACTTCTGTGACTCTTACTTTTAAAAATATCTGTAAAATAAGGGTTTTATACCAGATCAACATTGCCTAAATAGTATTACGATTACGAGTTCTGATTTCTAGACTATTATTAGGCACTATTGATATAAAGTGTTTGTAGTTAAATATGTTTATGAAATTGAAGAGGTCTCTCCTGCTGGACTTTGTGGACTAGATGTCATGATATGTGTCTCCAAAGTGGGAAGAGAACAGGGAGAATTTCCTAAACTTATGTGATTATAGAACCTTTTTTGGCAGTGACAGTGTTTTTGGAAGAACCTTTGGGGACTTTTGAGGTACCTTATCTCAAAGATACTGCCTAACTCTATTACATTTGTTAACAGACCTTTAGTTAAGCTGTGAAGAAAAGGCATACTCATAAATATTCTTGACTTCCTCAAAAAGAGTTCTACAGTAACAAAAATTTCTGTTTTCATTCATTGTTGTACACCTCTACCCAGCTAGCATCTCTGATATAAAAAAGGTTGAATCCTATAAATTAACTTTTCAAATTAGGATTGTTGGGGCTCAGAAAATTATTTCTTAAAGTATGGTACTTTGGCATTCTCAGTACTTTGGACTGAAGCGAATACTTTGAACTCAGATGCAAGATCTTTCTGACATTCTCCTACCCTTCTTTCTCCTGCTTCCCATTTTCCCCTAAGGCAGGCCATAGAAACTAGAATTCCTCTTCACCAAGGTGGTTCATAGAAATTAGAACTTCTATCCCCAAAAGCCAGATATAAAACCTGGAAATATTATTCTGACCTTTCCCCACCTTTCTGTGTAGAGGCTGGCTGTAAAGAAATTCTGTGACCTACTTTGTCTAATGGTAGGTCACAAGACCCTCATTTCAGAAGGGGTCTTGCCCTATACCCATGAGGAAAGAATGCTACACAGAGAGGTCAGGAAGAATGAGGACAGGCCTTACTGCATTTCCCTACTCAGTCTATTACCATTAGGTCATATCCTTTTTGCCCAATCACACTTCTGTATAACTGTCTATTCTTCATCAAATCTAAGCATAAAAATGGACAGTTTTCCTCTTGGGTCTGTGGGCCTTCATTTCTGAAGGCTATTGTGTCACATAAAACTTTGATTAAATAAATCTGTTATGCTTTTCTTGTTAACCTTTTCTTGTAGGAGTGTTGGTTGTGACCCTTTTGATAGGTAGGAAAGGTGTCATACCTTTTCTGCGCTTGTAACTCTGGTGTTCAATGTGGAGCGGCTGAGGCAACTGACTCACTCCAGTGCCTGCAGGTGAGATCCTAGGACAACTGACCAAAAGCCGGCAAAGGGAGAATTATTTACTAACATCAGCTCTTCCCTGGTCTCTGTCTATAATGCCTGGTTGAGAATAGATGGTAAAATTTTATCTGTATTTGTTCCTTTCCAAATTCAGGTTAGCAGGAGAAAATCATTTGTTTGGATTGTGACTGTTGTGTAAATTTAGCCTTGGGGTACCCATTTGTTATGGATCCTTTCCCTCTCAGGGACAGTTGTCTTTGTCTTTCCTGTTTGTCTCGTTTTTACATCCTGAGAGTTCGGCCTTAAGACTTGTGAGAATATCCCCCCTGATCTCTGTCAGCCAGAGAGCACAAGTGTTGGCTTGTGTCAGGCAGCCAGTGGATGAGGTCCCTGAATGCTCTCTGTTTTATCGTGCCAGCTCTCAGGGGATTTTTTTTTTTTTCTTATAAAAAGTCCCAATTCAAAGGGGCTTTTGTCATCTCCACCATCATTGCTTGGTCCTGTGGTAGCAAAGGTCTTTCGTTCTTTTGACTTTTCTTTTGGGAGTGGTTCTGAGTCTTTGGAGGACTGTACCTTTTCGCACCCTCTTGAGGACGTCTCTCTCATCACTGGTTAAGTCGTAAAAGACTTACTGGTTTTGGTTCTGAGTTACTTGATGGATACCTTCCTTTGGTTTAAAAGGAAAAGGAAAAAAATCAGAATTATTTGTTGTTTGTCCTGGCTGAAATCTGATAATAAGACATTTGAAAGGATTTTTTTAAAAGGCTGTATGGTGAAAAGTCAATTTAAGTGGAAGCTGATATTCAGGCTTTTTCTAAGGTGTCTGAGTTTCTCTGTTGGATCCTGCTTCTCCCATGGGAACTTCACAGTCAACTGAAACTCCTTTTCTCAAACTCCTGCTAACTACATATTCTGTTTTTCTGTTTACTTCCTTCCTTGTTAGTGTGATTTTTGTTGAGGACAATGTGGAACTTTATTGGCCTTTTTGGTGAACTTAAGATCTCCCCAGATTGACTCCTCTAAACCTCTTCTTTCCATTTCTTCTGCTCCTGTATCCTCCTTGTGCCACCGTCTATCTTCCATTCAGTTTCCTTGAGTGGGCCTTCAACTCCTTCCCTCCTCCATTTGTTGGTCAGCAGATAAAAAATTACTAAGAGAAAACATCAGCATTCTGGTAATCATACATAGGGACCGGAAGGAGACCTCTAAAGACTCTGAGACCCCTTGAAAAACACAGGAAAGGTGCCCCTGACCTCCTTTTTGTGGTCCTCTGTCTTCCTCATTTGGTCCTGTGTCTTCCCTAAGAGTCATGAGTTAGTCCTTCTCACATCTGGACCTCTGTTCTCTTTGGCATTGAGCTCCCTGATATCTTTGGCATTTGGGGTACCAAGGGTTAGTTTGTGCTGTGAGAAGGCATTTGACTTTTGGATTCATGGTGGTTGACCAGTTACTGGGTAGAGCTGCAGTTTTCAATACAACAGACAGCGGTTGCTGTAAGTGGTTTGTAAGTGGTTTTTGCTATAGGGGATGTGAACTCCAGTTTTCCAAATTCACAGGTATTATATCTTGTTTCCATCCTCTTTGTTTCTTGTGCCCTCACATAAGAGAAGCCTCAGGTGTTTGACTGGGTCAGACAGAATGGGAAAATCATTGGCTAAGTTGGTCAAAGGAATTTCGGAGCCAAAGCCACAATTTGATGGTGTGCATGGTTTGCGCACTTGAAAGCTACTAGAGTGCTTACCACACCCATGCACACAAAGACAGAGACTCCTGAGTTAGGATAAGCGGGACACAAAATGGGCTAATTGACATTAGGTTACACACTAGCCTCAAGAAAATGCCCATGCAACAAGGTACATTGTGAAAATGTTGTATGACCCAACTATGGGATGTTGTCCTCTTAGGCTTTTACCTCAGCTCTAAGAGACCCAAAACCCAATGTAATAATGGGATCAGCTGGTTATTTTGAATGGACTCCTGAATTTTTGCCTAGGCTCATTTATGTACTTTTTGTACCACTCATAGGGGGCTTTGAAGACATTCATACACTAGATCCTCAGTTACCAGCCTAAAATCTAGTCCACATCCTTTATAAGACTGATCTCTGTTAATAGGTGAACATTCCTCAAACTACATGAAAAAACTTGCATTCTTTCTCTGTGCTTTTGAGATGTAAATTTCCTATCCTGACTTCTCTAGAACTTGATATTTATCTTCTGGAAATACAAAATTCAGGGAGATGACTGTCATCAGAAAGAAAAAAATGTTTAGAAACTGGTCCCATGAAAAGTCTCAGAAGCCTTCTCCATACAAATTGGTAAAAAGCTCTAGCCATCTGGAGCAGGTAACGTGTCCCGCCAAATCCAGCTAGTGAGTCTTGAATTATTGGACCTGGCATGTGGCTTAAAGTTAAAGCTGTAGGATCTGCTTCTTTCTGTATGATTATGTCATTAAATATAATATAGACATTTTTGCCTGTGTTTGCTGATCAAACAGGTATGTTACCTCTGCTAGGTGTTTAAGGTCATAATACTTTAAATCCAACCTCAGAGTAGAATGCACAGTAAATATGGATTGCTAAAATGTATATGAGTCATGGGGGAAAAAAAAAAAGGAAAAACTACATTTAACTTTTAACTTTTAGCTTCTTTGATATTTTTGATACTTGCCTGACTTATTGGTAGGTCAAAGCTAGGGGGAATGACTGCTAGGCTCCCATAAAGCCTTGTGTACATCTTGTGAGCCTATGTATTTAGTTTTGAGCCTCTGGATTCTGGGGTCTGGGAAGGAGGCTATGGTGAAGTCTAGGACATGTGTGTTTCTGCAGCGCCTAGGCTGCCAGTCAACCACAGGGGAGGGCCAAGCCCAGTATGGCCCCATCCTCCCTGGCCTAACTCTGCTTCTTGGCCATCCTGGGAGCAGTCAAGTACTCCAGGCATTGTCTTCACAGCTGTCTGTTTCCTGTCCTCTGTCCTGAGCTCTGTACCATCCATATGGACCTTGCCTTTTGTAGCCTTCTGGGTGCTGAGTGGATGTTTAGGACCCAGGATGGCTGGGGTGAACAATGGGGAGGGTATCTGTGTCCAGTGTTTCAGAGGCTTTGGTTAGGACAAGGCTGGCAAATGTAGGGTTAGTTTGGTTTTGTTTTTTAAAAGAACAAAAAGATAAGATGATGAATAGCCTGTTTCCCATGATCAATTTAAACATAACTGTTAAGAATGAATACAGTTAGGTAAATGTGAATGAGATAAATGTTTATAAATGAACTTGTCATAGTTTAAAAATTCTTTTTGGTAACTTGAAACCTTATAGTGAAATTAAGTAATAGAGATACTCATTAATTGTCTGAGTTATTTCTAAGTAAGTTAAAATATGAAAACATATATGATTATTCATAAGTTTATGTACTTTGGCGTCTTCTTTTTATAAGATATAGAGAAGCTAAATATATTTGGATCTATTAATAAATGTAAAAAATTGAGGAAATGCATGTCTCTAGAAATAATGAAATCATTTGTACTAATATGAGACAGTTCACAAAGTTTGCTACTTTTAACTAGAAATTAAGTTACTAAAAGTTATAAATTATAGTTAATACATGTAATTAAAATACTAGAAATTATAAAGGAAACAACTCTTTGTGAGGAAGTAAAATGTTTCATAATGAATAAAGAACACATTTTTGTTAAAAAATAGGAAAAATGCTTATGTTATACCAAAAAACATTTGTAAACTATGCATCTGACAAGGGGTTAATAATGAGAATATATAAGGAAACCAGACAACTCAATAGGAAAAAAGCATATAATTTCACTAAAAAAAATGGGTGAAAGATCTGAATAGACATTTCTCAAAGGAAGACATACAAATGGCCAAGAAGTATATGGAAAAATGCTCAACATCACTAATTACCAGAGAAATGTAAATAGAAACCACGATGAAATATCACATCACAGTAATTAGAATGGTTATTATCAAAAAGACAAAAATAACAAATGCTGGTGAGGACATGAAGAAAGGGGAACTCTTATACACTGTTGATGGGAATGTAAAATAGCACAACCACTAGGGAAATTGGCATGGAATTCCATCAAAAAATTAAAAATAGAGCTACCATATTATTCAGGAATCTTACTACAGGGTATATATTCAGATTAAATGAAGTCAGTGTGTCAAAAAAATAACTGCACACTTGTGCTTATTATAGCAGTATTCACAAAAGCCAAGACATTGAATCAACTGAAATGTCAATCAATGGATGAATGGATTTAGAAAATATTTGGCATATTTACACAATTAATTCTGTTCAACTATAAAAAAGAATACAATCCTGTCATTTCTAGCAACATGGATGAGGCTGGAAAACATTATGTTATGTGAAATAAGCCAGACACAGAAAGACAAATGCTACATATTCTCACTCATATGTGGGAGCTAAAAAAGTTGATCTCATAGAACTAGAGAGTGGAATAGTTGTTACCAGAGGTTGGGAAGGGTAGAGGGGAGAGGAAAATGAGGAGAGGTTGGTCAGTGGGTTCAAAGTTACAACTAGATAGGATGAATAATTTCCAGTATTCCATTGCACAGTAGAATGATTGTAGTTAACAATAATGTATTATATATTTGAAAATAGCTAGAAGAGAGGATTTTTAATGTTTTCACTGCAAACAAATGATAAGTATCTGAGGATAATGTATATGCTAATTATCCTAATTTGATTATGTTGCATTGTATATATGCAATGTACACTCCATAAGTATGCATAATTCTGTATCAATTTTTAAAAGTTTAAAAAATGTTTATGAAAATGTTGTGTGGTCAAAGCTGACTGAGATTGTATATATTTATTTAAAATTTATTTAAAATTACCTTTAGTGTTAAGAGTACACTGAAGCAAAAGTACAATTTGGTCTTCCCTGTTAAAATGACAAAAGTTTCTTGGAGTATTTTGGTCTGAGAATGTGACAGTTTTTATTCCTTTTATGTAATTGGCCTAGGAAACAATTTTGTGTTTTATTAATGTAGTTTATTTCATGTGGTCACATATTAGTCTTTGATTACTTAAGAAAACTGAGTTTTCTATTAAAAGAGCTCAGTTTTTGTTCACAAGTATGTAACCTTCTCTATTTGTCTTAAACAATTTTTTCTTTTCTTTTCTTTTTTTTTTTTTTTTTGAGATAGAGTTTTGCCCTTGTCGCCCAGGCTGGAGTGCAATGGTGTGATCTCAGCTCACTGCAACCTCCACCTCCCGGGTTCAAACAATTCTCCTGCTTCAGTCTCCCAAGTAGCTGGGATTACAGATGCCTGCCACCATGCCCAGCTAATTTTTGTATTTTTAGTAGAGACAGGGTTTCACCATGTTGGTCAGGCTGGCTTCAAACCCCTGACCTCAGGTGATCTACCTGCCTTGGCCTCCCAAAGTGCTGGCATTACAGGCGTTAGGCACTCCACCCAGCCTCTTAAACATTTTTTATTGTCATTTTGATTAATAAATATCCAAGATAATATTTAACCAAGTGTTTTAAAGCTTTTGACATTTTTGACAAAGTTCTCAAAATTAAATTCTAAATTAAGTCTTTTTGACCCAAATTAACTTTGAGATTTTCCAGTTGGCCTCAAATAAGCCAGTTGGCTTATTTGATATGCTAAATTATATGGGAAGCATTGTCAAGTAATAAGGGATGCTAAACCTGTAAGTTATATCTATGGATGTTATTCATATGAGTGTTTAAAAATTATGAGATTCCTAGAAGTCTGATATGCTATTATTCACAATTTTTGGTTATTATGTTAAAATGTTGTATGCCACAGAAATCACCAAATTTCCTTGTCATTTGCTGGTTATAATGAACTCTTAACAGATTTCTAACCATGATCATTTTAAGTCTTGTCTATAGTTAATTGCTTTATTCTGATGATCTTTCTGAAAAGTTTTTGCAAGCAACTAGAATTGTAAAGTGTTGTGTCTTCAAGAAAGTTCAGGGAAAGGATGGAAATAACTCTGACAAGTACAGGTTTCTGATAACTTTGGGATCATATCATTGGACTAGGTAAGAATTTCCACAACTCTAATGAATAAACAGATGACTTAATGAGACTGCTAACCAAGATCAAACATAATAAGAATTAATTACACAGGACTGAATCAACTGATGAGGAAATGTTTTCATGACTTTTTATTTGAAAGTTTTCTGGTTCTTATTTTAAATGTTTATTTTCTATATTTAAAGATTTTTTTTCTCTGAAGGCATCTATAGCTTATAACAATTTGGTAAAGTATAACTTTGTAAACAGAATTAAAACATTTACTTTTTTTTTCTACTGTATCCCTCCAGAATTCAGAAACTATTTGTAAGGATTCTTATTTTATGGCAATATTATTATTTGTGTAACTTCAGTAAGAATTTGTTCTCCTTGTAACATGACACAATTGGAAACACTGGCTATGTTATCAAGGCTTTGACTGGAATGTCATATTTTCAGACAACATCGAGGAACTAAGGTTGACATTATGGAGCCAATAAAGCCCGCTTTGCAATAACTGGCATGGTTTCTTGAACAAAGTTCACATGGTTGCCTTATAGATGGCTAAAGAATGTCACTTTCTGACAGCCCTGAAACCTCAGGATATTTTGGACCCCTTGAGCAGAGAGGAATTCACCAAACTATATAGATACTATGGGAAATTTGACAGTGAGTCCTTGGCTTGGATTCCTAGCCTCAAGAAGCTTTTAAAAGTCTAATCTGAGATTCCTAATTGAAAATTTCAGCAAAACAAACTTAAAAAGAGCCAATATGCACATGCCTGTAATCCCAGCTACTTAGGAGACTGAGGCAGGGGAATCGCTTGAACCCAGGAGGTGGAGGTTGCAGTAAGCTGAGATCACACCACTGCACTCCAGCCTGGCGACAGAGCAAGACTCATCTCAAAGAAAATGGTCAATAAATATTTTTGCTGGATTTATGTAAATAATCAGGAGAAGTTTAAGGAGACTAAACTTATTTTGCAAACAAATCAGTCTACTTTGAGTATCTTTACTAGAAATGAAAGTGCGTATAGAGAGAAAAATTATGTGTCAGATGAAAACTATAGTGCACTTGTTATTAGATTCTAACTAATTGTTTTTGAGGGTCCATATCTACCTGAAATCTGGGCTGTATTCTGAAATTCTTCTAGTTTCCTCTAATATCTGGCCACAACTCTCCAAAATAATATTTTTAATTTTTCTCCCACCCTTCTGGCTTGATATCATTGAAATTAAAACTGTTCTTTTCCTGAAGCCCTAAAATTAGCCAAAGCTTGATGACTTGATGTAGACTTCAGGGAAATCACCACAGCAGCTTTTGTATGAACAACCTTCATGCCTGTTGCTGTATAGATTACTCAGAAAGCTCACTTGAAAACTAAAAGCAAGAAAAAGCTGTTAGATTGCCACTGCCTGCACTGTCTTCACCTGAAGATACTTTGAGGCCAAATCTAGAAATTGTCTCAATTGGATACCCTCTGGACTCAGGAATGAGTTTATGGATTACTTCAAACATTACCTTTTGTTTTCTTTTGTTTTTATAGAAATGACTATTGTTAAATATCTGATTACTCACACCATATGGAGGACTAAGTTTGGTGGAGGCCTACCTGCAATACCACCTCCTCAAATTAGACACAACCATTATTTGTCTAATTGGACAGACATATTTTCAGGACTGAAAGACTGATTTGATGGCTTATGAGACAATCCAACAACCCAATTTTTTTACTGTTAAACTTTCTGGGGAAGTTTCAGATGGGGGAATGTTGGGCTCAGAAAATGGTACCACAAAGTATGGCACTTTAGCATGCTGAATAAGTTGAACTAAAGAAAAAGGTCACAGAAGCAAGATCTTTCTGACCTTCTCCTGCCCTTTTTATGCCTGCTCCCCTTTCTCTCCCAAGGCAGGCCATAGAAACTAGAAACCCTCTCCCCTAAAGCCAGACATAAAACCTAGAAATATTACCCTAACTTTCTCCCAGCTTTTTGTATAAGAGCTGGCCACAAAGAAATACTCTGGTCTACCTTGTCTTATAGTAGGTCACAAGACTCATTTCAGAAGGGGTCCGGACCTATACCTAGGACCAAGAACTGCTATACAGAGAGTTCAAGAAGAATAAGAACAGGAGGTCTTACTAGGTTTCCTCACTCAGTCTACCATTAGGTCATACCCTTTCTGTCCAATCTCATTTCTACACAACTGTCCATTCTTCATCGAATCTAAGTATAAAAATTGACAGTTGTCCCTTGGGTCTCTGAATCTTCATTTCTGAAGGGTATTGTGTCATGCAAAACTTTGATTAAATAAACCTGTTATGCTTTTCTCTTGTTATCTTGTCTTTTATTATAAGAGTGTTGACCGTGATCCTTATGATGAGTGAAGAAAGATTTTACACCTTTTCTGTCCTTACAGGATGCATTATTTTTTGTGTAAAGCCAATTATATATGCAAAATAGCACAAAAGGCAATCTCTTACTCTTCCTGCTTTCTCTTGATACATTAAAATAATCAGATACTTTGAAAATTAATCTAAAGCTACAATGTCATCTGTTTTTTTCCAGGCAATGTTAAAATTTGAGATAAAATAGTTATTAAAGCAAAGATAGTAAGGAAATCTCATATATGAAAACAAAACTATATTGGTAAGAAAGAGGTGAAAATTTTAGTTAGAAAAATTTACACAGGTTAAAAATTTGTTAAAATCTTCGTAGGCAGAAATAAAAGGCAGATGTATATTTTGGAGTCTTTGTCATCCTCATCTATTGAGACCTACTGGACACCGGTATCCCAGTAAGATATTAAATGCTGACTCCATCCACAGAACTTAAAATCTTGTTAGAGGCATATAACATATACAGAAAGCAAATATATGCAAGACAGCATTTACTGAGTTCCAAATTTTACAATTATGGCAGAAATATTGAAGATGCATTATGACTACTATCTGGCATGGTCCCAGCAAATTTCTATGAAATTTGTATTTTGAAAGTAGAAGGAGGAAAGGGAAGACTTTCTGGGTAGAATAAGTGATGTGAGAAGGTAGGAAGGAATTTGTAGGTCTTATAGAAAGCAATACATAGCTCATTTACATTGGATCAAAACATTTTGTACTTGGAAAACAAAAGAGATAAAAATAGTGTTGGAGATGTAGGTAGGAACCACAGTTTAGAAGGAGGTAGAATTCCTTCTATTTTCTCAAGTTGCAGTTTAGATTAGATTAAGAAAACCTGCTTAGAAGCAATTTTTGACCCAGTTAAGTTTTGAAATCCCTCCTGAGCTAACTGTGTGTCTTGGCAGGCGTGATTGATGTCTTTTGGGAGCTAATGGCTGAGGCATTGTTTCTCAGAGCTGGATTCTCTGGCCTGGAACGACATGTCTATGAATAGTGATTTGATGACCACGGAAGCACCTGCTTGTCAAAGCCTCAGGCTCTGCAGTCTTCCTGTAGCTTTTCTCAGTCACTGCCTGGTGCTCTGTTTTCAACATTTATTTAGTGTACCCTGTGGTCTCATGAAGATGATAATCTCTTTCTTCCCTTCGCAGCGGCATAAAAGTCCTGCAGTTATGTGATGTGGTATTGTAGAAGAAATGATGTAGAGCTTGAGTAGTCACGGGATGAAAAAGTTTTAAGGACCACTGGGGTAGGGTAATTTTTCATCATTAGTTCCCTAGAGGGTTAATATTAGTAATAATTTTTTCCCAAAGCCTTTTAAGATTAACAGTTCTTTTCAGCATTTATGAGGTCCCTAGCACCAGGACCCTGAGTATGTATAATCACATGTAAATAGAACACTAAATGCTCTATTTTTTTTTCTGAGCTGACTTTAATAAGATAATTTTCCAAAATGGTACAGGCAGTGTCTAAAGAAAATGAGATAATTAGATACAGTCTAGGTGGCTAAAATTCACCAATGAACAAATTGAAACATTCATGGCAGCATAAAAATTCTGAAGAGACTGCCTTGGAACTCACTGGGACCAGCAATAAAAGCAGTTTCTACTAACACTGACTTATTTGATACTTTCAACTATACTCATGGCCAGTGATTCCTAAATCTAGATCTCTAAATTTTCAAATTTAGATGTATACATTTAAGTTCTAAATCCTTTTGTACTCCAGACTTTCATATCAATTTATCTACCAGAATCTCAATTTGGATGCCATGCAGACACCTCTAGATTTGCATGTCCAAAGCCAGGTTCATCCTTGCCTTTAGTACCTCCTATGGTATTTCCTATTCACAGTTATCCCCACTATCCACCCAGTTGCCCAAAACTGTAAATTTAGGAGTTATCCTAAATTTCTCCTTGTTCTTTTCTCTATATTTCATCCATAATGGCCAAATTTATATCTTATCCATCTCTTCTTTTTATTCCTGAATAATTATTAAGGGTTTCAATAATCTCTTGCCTTCTACTGATCTCTCTTCACTATTAACTCTGTAGTGATTTTTTTCTAACAGGCAAATATCACAATATAATGCTGCAAATCAAAACATGTCAATTTTACCTGTCACCTACAGAATACAATTTAAACATGTCTGTAGCCAATCTAGTCATCATCATCTGGTCCCTGCTGACCTGCTAGCCTCTTTTAGTTTCTTCTATTTTACCCCTCCCACCTGCCACATTTCTCATGACCTTTACTCCTTTGTGTATTTTCCAATTCTACCAACATGGACTCCCCTATCACTGTTGTGATAGACTGAAAAATGCCCCCAAAGAAATCAGATGTAATTCTTGGTACCAGTAAATGTTACCTTACTTGGAAAAAGGGTCTTTGCAGATATTAAGTTAAGGATCTTGAGATGGGAGATTGTCCTGGATTATCTAGGTGGGCCCTAAGTGCAATCACATGTATCCTTATAAGAAGGAGACAGAGGGAGATCTTTACAGACATGGAGAAATTTCAAGATGCTAGACTTAAAAATTGTGCAATATGATTACAAGCCAGGGGATGCTGGCAGTCACCAGAAGCTGAAAAAAGGCAAGGAATGAAATTTCCCCTAGAGCCTCTGGAGGGAGCGTGGCCCACCCAACACCTTGATTTTGGCCCAGCGATATTGATTTCAGACTCTGGCATCCCAAACTATGAACTGCAATAGCTTCTGTTGTTTTAAGTAACAAGTTTATGGTATTTTGTTACAGCAGCCATAGGAAACTAATACAACAGTTGTTTCTGTTATTTCCGTGTATGCTTCTTTTTATCACATATATTTTTGCCCCCAATCTGGAATGCTTCTCCTCTGTTTCTCTGTCTGGAAAATTCTTGTTAATTTTCAGAGCACACTCTGTGAAACTTTTTCTGACTCTCTCTGGCAAGTCGGCCCTCTGTCCCATTGTGCCTGCTATGTTTATTTTAACATCTGTATGTTTATAGTAGTGGTATAAGTGGCAGTAAAGCTGCCTCAGTGGTTATGAATATGGGCCACTTGAATCGGTTAGAGGTGGGTCAAGTAGCCTTGTGCAAGTTGTGTCTCTAAGCCTGTTTCCATATCTGTAGAATGAGGATAGTAACGGTATCTATCTTGTAGTTTTGTTGTGAGGATTGAAAGAGATAATCTAAGTAAAAATGATAGCTTGCAAATAGAATGTGTTCAATAAATGTTAGCTGCTTTTACGGTACTGTATTTTCATTGTATTTATGACTGTCTCTTCACTGGACAATGAGCTCTTTGAAGGAAGGAGGAATTCTTGTAATACCCAGTGCCTGGCTACTATTAAGTCACTATTCCCTTACCTGGAGCTCCCACAATGCCTATTCCTGTGTTCATTCATCCTTCAAAAAAATGTTACATCATATTTTTATCTATATGTTTTATCTAATGTGGCAATGTATTAGCTCTCATCTCCAGACTGGAGTTCTGATGGATACAAGACTCAGATGGTAATTCTCTACTTCTTGGTAGGGCCTTAAGAATATTTTCAACTTTGTATATAATTCAAGAGGTCAGCATTTTCTCACCCCTATTTCAGTTTTTACTGGGTTCAGAGGTAGGCCATCTGAGAGACTTAAAAAATAATTTAACACTTGGTTTAAGGAAAATGACTATGTATACAGCTCATTTACATGGCTTTGCAATCATAGAGGTCAAGAGGTATAGAATTATTCCATATTTAATAGAAGTGTTAGGATTGCTGAGTGCTAGAGATCCTTTCATGTGCCTTGATCTCCATTTTATAGGCGCCATTCGATGTTTTTGAAAGTCCATTTGATATTTTTGGTATTTTTATTATAGAAACCATTTGATATAGGATTAACTGATTTGATAATAAACATTTTATCTATGAGAAAATCAGTAAAAATCATCATCAGAAAAGTCTATTGTCATTAAAATCACCTTTTGGACATTCTGCTAAAATAATAATGTTCATTTCTTTTCCCTGAGGACACTTAAATGCAGCATTACTTTGTACTTTATTCTATTGCAAATGTCCTTTAAAGAAAATGAAGTACTTAGTTGAGAGAACGTCTTACATGATTGCTTTAAAGATCAGAAGTACATGGAGGAAATACTTCACAGGTTGATGGCTTGTATATAATGTTGGGCTTTGTTTAATCTTAGTTGAATTTCCACAAAATTCTTCATTCATAAGGGAAAATGTCCAAATTTCACAAAACTATTTAGTAAAAGGTATAACAGTGTGTGTACATTTAATGTAGTGTGTTGTAATTTTTGCTTCTCTCTGTCTCTCTCTCTCTCTCTCCCTCAGACATTAAATGTTGTAAAGGCAAGTATTATGTATTATTCACCTTTTATAACGACCACTAAGAAGACTTCCTGGCACATCACTAGTCATTAGAGCAATACAGATTACAATTATAATGTAATTTTAATGACTGTAATAATAAAGATGGACAATATTAGTGTTGGTTAGGATGTGGAGAAACTAGAATTTTATGCATTGTTGGTAGAAATATAAAATTGCATAGTCATTTCAATAAAATAGTTTGTGTTTTCTTAAAAAGTAAAACATAAATTTACCATATGACTCAGCAATTCCACTCCTAGGAATCTACTCAAAAGGAATGAATTCATTTTTTGCTCATCAGTATCCTCTCCTGGTCTCCTCGGTCCTGCACTCTGATCCTAACAATATAGATGCTTCCTTACTTCTCTTTTTTGCCCTATCCTGAGGTAAAAGTAGCGTAGTGAAATTAAAGACCTACATGAGTAAAGTCCAGAAACATGAGGAAGTACTGTAATGTTTACATATAGGATTAACTGATTTGGTAATAAACATTTTAATTATGAGAAAATCACTAATTTTGAGAAAACAACTTGTGCATTTTTGTGCTAGACAAAGTTTATTTTTTGGTCTCACAATTATGGAATCACAGAATTTTACAGCTTAAACATACTTTAAAGATTAAAATTGCATGAAATAAGCATAAACCTACCCCCATACTAGGTCAAAATTCATGTTCATCATAACCTCAAAATATGACCATATTTGCAAGTAGGGGCTTTGCAGGTATAATTAGTTAAGATGCGGACATACTAGAGTAGGATGGGTTCTAAATCCAATATGATTTTTTATCCTTATAACAAGAGGAGAGGACACAGAGGCACACACAGGACACACAGGAAAAAGGTTTATATGAGTATATAGGCAGAGATTGGGGTAATGCACCTTCAAGCCAAGGAACACCAAGGATTGATGATACCATGAGAAGATTGAAAGAAGCAAGGAAAGATCCTTCTCTGGAGCCTTTAGAGGGAACATGGTTCTACTCACATCTTGATTTATACTTTTAGCTTCCAAAACTGAGATAGGAAATTTTTGTTTTTTTTAAGCCACTCAATTTATGGTAGTTTGTTGTGGCAGTGCTAGAAATTTAATATATTTCTATTTATTGAAAATAAAAATATACATTGTTATTCAGATCGAAGAGTCTACCAACTAATTTGTTTTGGCAAGGTAGTTTCTGGCTTTAAAATTATTTCATAGCTAGCTGTGGAGCCCAGCATCTCATATTTCACAGATGCCATGCATCTATTTAAATTGATATCACAAACATTTGCCAATGAACCAAACTGTGTTGATTTTTGGATACTTACAAAAACTTAGGTTGTAATTTCAAAAGTTGGTGAGAAAATTCCCCAGGAATAATGTAGTGGTTGAATTGAAGGATTAGTTGCATATTTTAGTACAATAAAAGATGTATGCTATGTACTATGCACAAAGCATATGTATTTTGTTTTGAATCATTTATTTAAAGGTGTTAAGAGGTATTATACAGGGGCATGTTTTAACCCAAGTAGATTTACTTGAATCTTCTTTTCTTTAATATGAGTTAATGTGCGAGATCATAAAATTAAAGGAACGACCTTGGAATGCTTAGCTAGACTATGATGGTGTTAATTTGTTCAGTTGGACATAATTAGTTTTATATTTTCTAAAATGAGTTGATACATACTAATACTAATAAGATTTCCTCTTTTCTGAAAAATGTGTTTTGTACATTTCAGCATTTAAAATAAAATATTCATCTTATTACTTTTCATTTTTTACTAGAAAAAGAATATATAAAATATACAGGCAATTGGAACAATTCATACTATTTTCACACAATTTTCTAATAACACGAGAGTAAATTCTCATTGAAGCTTGTCCAAATATTAGCATCTATTGCATTAAGGAAACAATCTTGTAAGATCTTACTAACTCATATGTCTTTTGTGGCTGGTAACCATAACATTATAGGTTTAGGGACCTCTTAAAATATTTTCAGTGAGGCCACATATTGCAAGACATCAATTTTAAATTTATAAAGTTCTTACATTTTGGTCTCATGGAGTTTCTGTTCTCATTTAATTCTTATATGACTATACAAGTTAGGTATTTATGTCTCTATTTCACTGATGAGTTAAACTATTATTTGTGCCTAAGTCTGCACCAAAGTCTATGCTCTTTCAGGAATAACATATTGCTTTAACTAATGTGGATTAGATTTTAAGGTTTACTTAAAGTCACTTGACCTTATGTAAAAGATTAGAATTTGAATCCTGACTCTTCTGATTATTTACTCTGTAGTTTTAGGCCAGTTCTATGAACCATAATTTTTTTTTATTATAGTAAGAACACTTAACATCAGATTTACCTTCTTAACAAATTTTGTGTACAGTACAGTGTTGTTGACTATAAACATGGTATTTGTACTGCAGATTTCTAGAGCTTATTCATCTTGCATAACTGAAACTTTATATCCATTGAATAGCAACTCCCCATTTCTTCCTCTCCCCAGCCCGTACCAACCACGATTCTACTCTATGCCTCTGTGAGTTTGATCATTTTAGATTTCACATTTAAGTGGAATGATGTAGTATTTGTCCTTCTGTGACTGGTGTATTTTGCTAAGCATAATGTCCTGAAGATTCATCCATGTCACATATTGCAGGATTTACTTCTTTTTAAAGGCTGAATAATATTCCACCGTATGAGTGTGTGTCTGTGTATCACCTTTTCTGATGAAAATATTCATCTGTTGATAGACATTTAGGTTGTTTCTACATCTTGGCTGTTAATGAATAATGTTGCGATGAACATGATTGTGCAAGTGCCTCCAGGACCCTGATTTTATTTCCTTTAGATAAATACTCAAAAGTGGGATTGCTAAATTATATGGTGGTTCTATTTTTAGTTTTTTGAGGAAATTTCATACTGTTTTTCATAATGACTGCATAAATTTGCATTCTTACAACAGTACACGAAGTTTCCAATTTCTCCTCATCCTCAGGACCACTTCAGTTTTATCTGTAGTAATAACAGCTAACTCCAGCACTTGACAGTTTAAGCACTTCACAGTTATTGGTTAATTTAGTCTTTATAACAACCCTATGAGGCAGATAAATACCCCCATTTTAGATAGGGGGAGAATGAGATTTAGAGAGTTTAAATAACTTGCCTGAAGTCACAAACTATTCAGTGATAGATCATGGATTCTAGCATCTAAGACTGTGTGCTTTGCTGCTCTCTGTCAAGACGGAGATTAAAAAAAAACACCCACTGCACCAGCTGCTTGTCAGCATAAATGATAATGTGTATACAGGCACTTTGTAAACTGAAAAAGACTAAAGAAAATTTATTTATTATAAATAAGAATGCTTTTCTTTTACCATGGAGGAAATGTCAGGGTAGGCAGTTTCCTTATAATAAGTTCTCATGGAATTTAAATGCTATTGTCACAACCTAATCCTACTGATATAATTTTTAAAACATTCTTTGAAGTAAGATAGGCATTTTACTTCATTTAACAAATGAAGCTAAATGTAAAAGCTGTCTGCTACTAGTTTAGCAATTTATGTTTGATAATTCCTTCTTTATCGCTTCGATTGTTTTAATTAAGGATCATTTGTTGAAATCAATCAATGTTTTCTTTTATTGATATCCAGTATTCGGATGAGAAGAATTCTTATGTACCTTAACATTAAATTATTTGCCATAGTGTATTATTTGTTGCAGAGAATGTTCATTCCTTGATGCCTACCCATTTCCTTAATGAAGTAAGTTTAGGTATTCTTTATAAATTATATTATTGTGCTTCTGAATTTCAAACTTTTTTCAATAGGAAACTAAAATTCAGAATCACAAGATTCTGACTGCAGTCATCTGTATTTGGTCTCTGACTACCAAAATTAATGTTTTCTTTGATTATTATATCACTGTACTTCATGAGGACTGTAAACCAAAAATAAAATTATAAGACCCCCCCAACCCCAACCATCTGAATGGACCTCTCCTCTTGGCCAGGGCACTCCAAATTTAACCTGAAAAGCTGGTTCTGGCCATGATGGGGGTTGAGGGATGGACGTGCCTCATTATACTCTCCTCTATTTTTGAACTACTGATAGAACAGACTCTTTAAATCTGATAAGAAACACTTACAATCTGTTCTCTCTGAAGCCTGCTACCTGGAGGCTTCATCTGCATAATAAAACTTTGGTCTCCATAAACCCTTATCATAACCTAGACATTCATTTCTATTGATAATAACTGTTTCAACCAATTACTGATCAGAAAATTTCTTAATCAACCTATAGCTTGGAACACCCCCCATTTCCCTTGAGTTGTCCCACCTTTTTGGGCTGAACCAATGTATATCTTTCAGGTATGTGACTGATGTGTTTTTTGTCTCCCTAAAATGTATAAAACTAGGCTGTTCCCTGAGCACCTTGGGCACATGTTCTCAGGATCTCCTGAGAGCTGTGTCATGGGCCATTGCTCACTCGTATTTGGCTCAGAATAAATCTCTTCAAATATTTGACAGAGTTTGACTCTTTTCATTGAAAAAACTTTCATAGTCTAACATTCTTTTTCTTTTCTCGTTATTGTCTTCATCTTCTTTCTCTTCTCTTCAGTCCTTCTCCATGTCTTTTTCTTCAGAACCCTTTGATATCTGTATTATAAAAGCTTCTCTCTAATTTCTGGCCAAGTATATAAATAAAAATAAATTCTTTTCACCTTTTTTTTTTTTCATTTCCAATCTCTAGTAAGCCACTAGGTCAGATTCCTCTTTTGAGTTGTGGGGTGGATAGTGGAATGAAATACCCTTACCATCCAATAGTGACCTAATGGTCAGTTTCCTTCCACTTGTGCTTTGCCATGATAGGACTATTCACTTCAAACCGTAGTACTTTAGAAAGGAACTGTCCTTCCGTTCTGTGAATGCATTTCATATTAACATGTTTGTAGCTGGCAAAATAAAGAGCATTTCGTGTGCTTTAGATCAACCACCAAGATGGTTCTAGTCATTACAATTTTGCTAAAATGAACAGAACTAAAATTACCCAGATAGAGAAAATCTTGTTTCTAGTAATAAAGTCACCATTATATTAGTATGAACAGAATGACAGTCTTAAAGTATAATAGCATGCTGTACTTATTCACAGAGTTTCTTTGGAAATGTGAACCAATTTTCAGTACATTTGAGTATAGTTTAAATAAACCATACACATTATTTGCTCTGTTTCTGAAATGTTATCATAGAAGCTGAAACATTGTCTAAAGATAATTTGAAATTTTAGATACCAGCAACAGCAATTGAAAAAGATTGTTTAATAGCCTAGAATGCAGCTCTAGATGTGAGGGTCTATATCCATTTATGTAGAGGGGCAAGACTCAATGGCTTTGACTAGGGATTGGGTCTTTCTAGTAACATAGCTAATGCCACACTGTTCCTCTTTCTCGAAGAGAGCCCCTATCAAACTTGTGCTACCCTTTAGATATGGGCCTGGAATGGGGAAGCTGAGAATTATTCCTTACCCTTGAGAATCGAGGTAACAATGGTAAAATGGATTTATGGTCTTAGTAGTAACCAGAGTGGCAATTTTACATATTTTCGGGGGCAGGGACCGCTTCTGGTCTCTCAAGAGTCCACACTATGGTATTTACTGGAAAAATAGTTACCCTAGAAGCTACTGATGGTAGAATTAATGAATAATTTTAAGAATTTTGTTGCAGTATAAAAGTAAGCTTCACCACAAATATATTTTATAAGAATATATTATTTTTACCAATATAGAGTGTATGAAAATAACACTTGTTATAAGTCTGAAAACCGTAGTCATGGTTACTTTGACCATCAGAATATTTTTCTTTGCTCTTTATCCTGGAAAAAAATAAAAACATCTGTCTCTGAGATTTTAGGATAATAAATAATATTAATTTTTATTCTAATTCGGTATGAAGTATTTTTATCGAACGAGATAAATTTTTTAAAGTTATATAAAAGAAAATTTCATAATTCTCATTGGTTTCTCTGGGACTAACTCTGTAAAGTCATTGGAACAAAAACTAGCCACCAGATAATAAGATCAGTATTCTCGACTATAATTATTTAACTTTAAAATACAGCATACTGGGTACACAGCACAATACCAGTGCTATGGAAGATACCAAATAAAGGAAAGGAAAAAAAAAATATTCTTTACCCGAAAGAACTTAAAATATAGGAGGAAGTATAAGATAGTTCTAAAGTAGGACACTGAATTTGCAATAATTTGTTCCATATTGTATGTATAGAGACAGTTCAAAGTAAGAAAATAAACATGTAAAATCAGGGTGATCTCTGAGAAGTCAGAGATTTTAAAATCTGTTTAGTTTAGACTATTGTTTCTCTGATGGACACAAAAATACGCCTTCACTGAAGTAAATTTGAAAAAGAAATTGCCTACAAACCCTTATTCGGAAATAACCACTGTTTGAGTCTATGAATTCAGTGAACACCACTTCTTTTACCTGTAGCCATTTTCTACCTTGAGCAGTGTTTTCAACCTCCTTCACCTGGCTAGTTCTTCCTCTTTCTTTAGAGTTTATTTTAAATGGCACTTGCCCTCAAAAAAGTTTTCAAACCTCCTGAGTTATTTTAGGCCCTCCTGCTAATATGCTCCCATTTAGTCTCTGGGCCTCCTCTACATTCATGAAATATTTATGATCCTGTACGCTGTGGTAGATGCTGTGGATGCAAGGGACAGACATGAGAAATAGGATCTCTACCATCATGGAGTTGGCAGTTATAATAGAGACAGATAATTAAGAAAAAGGGAATGTGTTACTATAATCTGTTGTAATTACTTGTTAAATGTACCTTCCCCATTAGACCGGCAACTCCATAGAGTAAGGACTATGCCTTTTTTGTTTAGAGAAGTTAGATGGTAAATAAGCGTGTGTGTGTGTGTGTGTGTGTGTGTGTGTGTGGGTGGGTGTGGGTGTGAGTGAATGTTTTAAATGAATGAGCACTGAAAATAAACACATGAGTTAACATTTTTGTGAATTTTTTCATATTAATTCACATATCTATATATGTTTATATGTGCTCAAAATTGGAATTTTTAAAATAAATACATACTGTACTTTTTTCAGCATTATATTTTTAGTATATTCCTATGTAACTGTTTTAATGATTACATAATATTTGATTATAGAAATGTACCATGTTGACTAACCACCCTACTGAGATTCTTTTTTAAAAAATGTTTTTATTTTTAGTTATGTGGATACATAATAGTTGCACATATTTATGGGGTACAAGTGATATTTTAATACAAAGATATAGTGTGTCATAGTCAAATCAGGGTAATTGGGGTGTCTATCACCTCAAGCATTTATCATTTTTTTGTGTTAGGAGCATTCTAATTTCACTCTTTTTATTATCTTGAAATATGCTATAAATTATTGTTAACTATAGTCGCCCTATTGTACCATACATTCATTTAGGTGGTTTCCATTAGTTTCCTCTTCTGAATTATGTTCTGATGGATATCTTTATGCATTAAGCTCTGTATCTTTTATTATATTTGCTCAGAAAAATGGAATCATTGGACAGAGGTTAGTATCTTTTTTAAGGCTTTTGTATAGATTGCCAAGTTGTTTTCCAGAAAGTTAAGTTATACTTCATTAAGACATAATTTAGGTAATTTTACCAGGTTTTGAAACTGGCAATATAGATGACCTAATGGAAAGGAGCCTGGCAGGAGCAAGGGAACCTAAATGAGAAGTAGAGACGATTAAGGAGATCAGAAGTACATGTGTATGTTGTGGAATCAAGGGATTGAAAATCCTGGGGAAGGGGAACTTCAGATGAAATAATTTTAGTTTATAAAAATAGGTAGTTGGAAATTATTATAGGCTTCTGAGGAAAAGAGAGATAAACCTGTCTCTACAGTCAAACATATCTTGACTCAAAGTAGTAACGTGGTGACCTTAAGCACTTGAGCTCACTGTTAATTTTCAACCATGTTCCATTCACCTTTGAAAAGGCCTTGGAAATCCATATACATTTCTGGTTCTTCACCCCATCTCTATGACTGTGGGAGATTTGAGAGAGACCATTTCAGGTCTTCTCTACTCAGATGACTCTCTAAACCATTTCGATCCCACTGCCTGGGCAGTACCATAAAGTGGTAGACACAGCACTACTTTGAGGAGAGTTTGAAGTGTTTGTAGTGTGTGCCAGGGAAAATGAGTAACAAGCCTCACTGTCCAGAGATTGTCTTAATTTTATCTGATAGGTTATTTAATAAAATAGGTAGGGAAATGCAAGTCACTATAATTTAGGGGAAATGGAAAAATATATCAGTTTAATATTTCTAAAATATGATCTCTGTTAAATTATTTTTGGATGTGGCAGTTATCATGGCACTAAACTTAAGATAAGATGAAAGTGGAGAAAGCCTGGAGCAGGCCATACACCATGTCCCTATCTCCAGCTAACCATTTAATTAGTGTATGATATGCTTCACATAGGAAAGTTCTAGAAAATTCAGTATAAATTGTACCTTCCATAGAATAAAAAAAAATTCAAAACCATTTTGGCTGATAGTTGGCCTGGAAGTAATATCATCTTTATGTACAAAATATTACATTTTTTCAATTAGCCGGGCGTAGTGGCGGGTGCCTGTAGTCCCAGATACTCAGGAGGCTGAGGCAGGAGAATAGCATGAACCCGGGAGGTGGAAGTTGCAGTGAGCCGAGATGGCACCACTGCACTCCAGCCTGGGTGACAGAGCGAGACTCTGTCTCAAAAAAAAGACAAAAAAAAAAGATTACATTTTTTCTCTGAACACAAATTTCTAACAGACTTTTATTAATCATCATAGACTTTCTTTCAGAGTCCAGAAATCCTTTAGAAAGAGAAGAGAAAATGGATTTTTTCCCTCTGTAGAATGCAGATGAATCTTTGGTATAAATCAAGTGAATTTATATTGAATAACCAGACAGTTTATTAATTCTAAGAGTGTTTAGCTCAAAGCATTTTTATGTGCACTGTAATTTGTCTTGAACCAGTGGTGTAGCATTTTACTGTTTTTTTTTTCTGTTTCCAGAGCTAAAACCTTCAGATATTTGTTCTTCTGTATTAACTTTGCACTGTTTCATTATATTTCCCTTTAATATTACAAGACTTTCTCCACTATAGAAAGGCTATGTAATATGTCATAATATCTGACTCAATGTAACTCGTACATCTAGGCTGAAGAACAATTCTAACCACCCCTGTTTCTCCTTTGTCTTCTGTAACACTTTTTTCTTGTGTTTCTTCTCTTAACTGCTCTATTGGATACTCCTCCTTATCCTTTCAATCCCTCCATGTTGATATTCACCCCAATTCTATCTCATGGATTTAACTATTTTTTACCTAGGTCATTTTTTTTGTGCTAAAGATCCCATGTAAAACTACTTATGGTATAAAAATCTTGGTCTGAATCCACTGAAAGTGTGTCATATGGCAACATGTACAAATGTGAAACTTTTTATATTCGCCCCTAAATTGTATTGAGGCAGTACCATCTACCCTTATGAAGTGAGAACACAGCATTTTATGTGATCTGCTATTTTCATTGCTACTACCCTAATTTAGGACCCATTTTCTCTTTACTGAAGTCACAAGTAAATTTAGAAAAGACCTTATCAAATATAGAAGTTTGATTCGCTAAGATAGAGCAATTAAAACTGAACATTCTATACAGAGGTTAGAGATGACATATTACACATCTTAGTGAACAATAATGAGCATTGTAAAATCATTCCTTGGCAATCACTTGATCATTAGAAACTTCTTAGGCTTTCTATTTTCCTCAGTTTCATTGCTATACATCTATTTTACTTTTTTGCAGCTTATATTCATACCAAGAGGGCTTTTTCATAAGGTCCTGTGTCAAATTTCAATGTTAGGACCTGTGATTACTGACTTCCACTCTTCCACCACCTCAGTGTCAGGGTAATCCTAGTGAAATGATGTTAAGATATGTTGGAAGCATACTTCATGTATGTGGCAGGAACCTTTCTTCTTATTAGACAAAAAGTAGTAAGATCTAATATTGATGAAAAAGCTTCTTTACCCTGCTCTGCCATTTGCTTTATCTTCTTTTTGTTTTCCTGTTCCTAGCTCCCACTTTGTCTAATTATTACCAATAATAGAGTACAATCAATCAAAATCCTCTTAGTAGCAAATATATATATATATGTTTTGTGTATGGTTTGGTTCTGTCCCCACCCAAATCTCATCTTGAATTGTAGCTCTTATAATTCTTACATGTTGTGGAAGGTACCCAATGGGAGGTTATTGAATCATGGGGGCAGGTTTTTCCTGAGCAGTTCTCATGATAGTTAATAAGTCTCAGGAGATCTGATGGTTTTATAAAGGGGAGTTCCCCCGCACATACTCTTTGCCTGCAACCACGTAAGACATGACTTTGCCCCTCATTCACCTTCCGCCATAATTGTGAGGCCTCCCCAGCCATGTGGAACTGTGAGTCAGTTAAACCTCTTTCCTTTGTAAGTTACCCAGCCTCGAGTATGCCTTTATTAGCAGCATGAGAACAGACTAATACAGTAAATTGGTACCAGTAGAGTGAGATGCTGCCGTAAAGATACTCAAAAATGTGGAAGTAACTTACAGGCAGAGGTTGGAACAGTTTGGAGGGCTCAGAAGAAGACAGGAAAATGTGGGAAAGTTTGGAACTTCCTAGAGACTGGGAGGGCTCAGAGGACAGGAAGATGTGGGAAAGCTTGGAACTTTCTAGAGACTTGTTGAATGGCTCTGACCAAAATGCTGATAATGATATGGACAATAAGGTCCAGGCTGAGGTGGTCTCAGATGGAGATGAAGAACTTGTTGGGAACTGGAGTAAAGGTCACTCTTGCTATGCAAGGAGACTGGTGGCATTTTGCCCCTGCCCTAGAGATCTGTGGAGCTTGGAACTTGAGAGAGATGATTTAGGGTATCTGGTGGAAGAAATTTCTAAGCAGCAAACTGTTCAAGAGGTGACTTGGATGCTGATAAAAGCATTCAGTTTTATATATTCACAGAGACATGGTTTGGAATTGCAACTTAGTTTAAAAGGGGAGCAGACCATAAAAGTTCAGAAAATTTGCAGCCTGATGATGCAATAGAAGGGAAAAATTCATTTTCTGAGGAGAAATTGAAGCCAGCTGCAGAAATTTGGGTAAATAATGAGAAGTCAAATGTTAATCATCAAGACAATGGGGAAAATGTCTCCAGGGCATGTCAGAGACCTCTGTGGCAGCCCCCCTCATCCAGGCCCAGAGACAGGAGGAAAAAATGATTTCATGAGCTGGGCCCAGGGCCTCCCTGCTCTGTGCAGCCTAGGGACTTGGTGCCCTGCATTTCTGCTCCAGCCATGGCTAAAAGGAGCCAAGGTACAGCCTGGGCCATGGCTTCAGAGGATGCAAGCCCCAAGCATTGGCAACTTCCACGTGGTGTTGGTCCTGTCAGTGTACACAAGACAAGAATTGAGGTTTGGGAACTTTCACATAGATTTTGGAGGATGTATGGAAACTTCTGGATGTCCAGGCAGAAGTTTGCTGCAGGCACAAGGCTCTCAAAGAGAACCTCTGCTAGGGCAGTGTGGAGGGGAAATGTGGGGTTGGAGCTCCCACACAGAGTCCGCACTGGGGCACTGCCTAGTGGAGCTGTAAGAAGAGGGCCACCGTTCTCCAGACCCCAGAAGGTAGAGCCACTGACAGGTTGCACTGTGTGCCTGGAAAAGTCACAGATACTCAATGCTGGCCTGTGAAAGTAGCCGGGAGGGGGGCTGTACCCTGCAAAACCACAGGGGCGGAGCTGTCCAAGGCCATGGGAGCCTGCCTCTTACATCAGTGTACCCTGGATGTGAGACATGGCGTCAAAGGAGATCATTTTGGAGCTTTAAAATTTTACTGCCCTGCTGGATTTTGGACTTGCCTGGGGCCCGTAGTCCCTTCATTTTGGCCAATTTCTCCCATTTGGAATGGGTGTATTTACCCAATGCCTGGACCTCCATTGTATCTAGGAAGTAACTAACTTACTTTTGATTTTACAGGATTATAGGCAGAAAGGACTTGCCTTTTCTCAGATGAGACTTTGGACTGTGGACTTTTGAGTTAATGCTGGAATGAGTTAAGATATTGAGGCACTGTTGGAAAGGCATGACTGTGTTTTGAAATGCGAGAACATGAGATTTGGGAGGGGCCGGGGGGATGATATAGTTTGGATGATGTAGTTTGGCTGAGTCCTCACCCAAATCTCATCTTGAATTGTAGCTCCCATAATCCCCATGTGTCATGGGAGGGACCCAGTGGAAGGTAATTGAATCATGGGAGCAGGTTTTTCCTGTGCCATTCTCATGATAGTGAATAAGTCTCACGCGATCTGTTGGTTTTATAAAGGGCAGTTCCCCTGCTCATGTTCTGTTGCCTGCTGCCACATAAGATGTGACTTTGCTCCTCATTCACCTTCTGCCATGATTGTGAGACCTCCACACCCCTGTGGAACTGTGAGTCAATTAGACCTCTTTCCTTTATAAATGGGTATATCTTAATTAGCAGCGTGAGAACAGATATATATATATATTTCTCTCTCAAAACAGGATCTTGCTGTGTCACCCAGGCTGGAGTACAGTGATGCAGTCACAGCTCGCTGCAGCCTCGGTCTCCTGGGCTCAAACAATCCTTTAACTCAGCCTCCCAGTAGTTGGGACTACAGGCATGCAGCATCACACCCACTAATTTTTGTATTTTTCATTGAGACGGAGTTTCACCATGTTGACCAGGCTCATCTCAAACTCCTGGGCTCAAGCAGTCCTCCCTCCTCGGCTTCACAAAGTCCTGGAATTACAGATGTGAGCCATGGTGCCTGGCCTATAGTATGTTTTAATATAGAAGAATTTCACATAAAAGCCATGTGAAGTTGGAAATGCATTATTGTATTTCCCTGGGCTTTGTTTTGCTAAATCAATTTTCATAAGCTTTTGCCCATGACTTTATAAAATTGAGGTGCTGGCACATTTTTCTGAATAAATTGTTAAATGCCTAATTCACCTTTCTGTTCTTTCTGTGTTTATCTCCTTCTCTGCCTACCTTTTTACATTGTCATATCTGGCAGCTACACATTTTCTAAAATGAACCCTGTTGTGAAAAAGGAAAAAGGGGCTCTAGAGTCTCTGTTTAAGAGCAGAATGATACACTTCATTTTTTCAGAAAAATGGGCCTCAAGAGGCCAACTCTAACATTGACAGGTAATTTTGAATAGGCAAAGTAATTTAAGGGAGCAGGCATGTGCCAGTATTGCTGTGAAGAAATGGCATTAATAACATATATGCGAATCTATGTACCTGTGTTTTAGTTCCTCAATTAAAATTAAAGTCCTTTGGATCCCACACTGTTTCTGTTGCTTATCCTACCATATGGAATATAGTGTTGTAGAATATGGGAGTTTCATAAATATTTGTTGATCTGTGCTTTAACTTGCCTAGGAATTTTATAAAATGCTGCATATCCTGAAAAATAATTTGGCATTAATTGAAAAAAAAGAAGCACCCTGAATTTATCTTTGCTTATATATGATTTTCATATTTTTTAACTTACTTCACAGCCATTTGATCTAAAAAGTCATTTATTAATGGAGTAATTCCAGTGGAAAAAGAACTGATCATAAAATAGTGTTAGTCATTTGTTGGAAATATAAAGAAAAATAGGTATAATGTGGTTCAAATCAGTACCATTCATTAATTTATAGCCACTGCATTATGCACAGTACCTAGCACACTGAGAATCTTAAATGTTTACAATTAATTATTGTAATTCTTCCTTCCCCATTCTATCCTGAAGACCTACTTTTAAGAAATGACAGTTTATATACTTCCATTTATATTCATGTTTCTGTAGGTTTTTCATTACTCAGCTCACACACTAAGAATAATCAGTTGTGTTGTTACTCTCTTGGAATGGAGAAAAACCAACATGTACCTTTAGTTGAAGTGATTAATTTTGGTGATCCCAAAGCAATAGAGTGTACTGTATGTGCAACAAAAAAACCAATGACATAGTCTTCCAGGGTAGACTGTATGTGTTGTATCCTTCACCATCTTTAGATCTTAAAGCACTTGGTTTGTGACAAAACACAATTTTAGATAGTGGTACAATAAGCATTTCTCATATCTAGATTTAGAGGTGTTCCTACAAAGCTTCATGTAAATCAAATAATATAAGTACACCAAAGGGGGACAGGTATTTCAGGAAAATAGAGGGTGAAATATTTTGTAAAATATAGCCATCAACACTTTTCCAAAAATAAATTTTGAATATTTATTTTGGTGTCTGATACTTTTGATTTTTTTTATTGACATGTCATTTACATACAATGAAATTCATGAATTGTAGTTATACAATTTGATGAGGTTTGATAACTGTCAAAGATTTGCCTTAAGATTTAGAGCATTCCTGTCATCTTAAAAACATTCCCTTATTTACCTTTGCAATCAATCCCCTCATTATCTTGACTTAAGCAATCTTTGATCTGTTTGCTTTCACAGATCACATAGTATTGCGTTGTCTTCATTTACATACTAATAGAACCAGATACTATGCATTCTTTTGTGTCCTGAATTCATTCACATAGCATAATGTTTTCAGGTTCATCCACATATTAGTTGTCTGTCCCTTTCATTGCTGAGTAGCATTATTTTTTATGGATATTGAACAGTTTGTTTTTAGATTGATCAGTCGATGAACATTTGATTGTTTTTTGGCTATTATGAAAAAAGTTGCTTTGAACATTCAAGTACAAGTCTTTGTGTGGACAAATGTTTTCATCTCTGTCTTTTTTTTTTAAAAAATACCTAGATGTGGGATTACATAGTCTTATGGTAAATATATGTTTAAAAGAAACTGCTGAATTGTTTTCCAAAATGGCTAAGCCATTTTGCATTCCCATCAGGAATGTCTGAGAGTTCTGGTTGATTCAATAATTTCCATCACTTGGTATTGTTCATATTCTTATTATTGGCCATTCTAAAGAGTATGTTCTGGTATGTTATTTGCATTTCCCTAATGATCAATGATGTTAAGCATCTTTTTTGTGCTTATTATTTGCCATTCATATATATTCTTTTATAAAGTATCTTTATATCTTTCAATGATTAAACAAAAACCAGTTAGTCTTATTATTGAGTTGTAAGAATTCTTTATGTGTTTTGATACAAGTGTTTTATCAGATGTATGTTTAATCCAAGTTTATGGCTTGACTTTTCATTTTCTTTTTTCTTTTTTTTTTTTTTTTTTGAGACGGAGTCTCGCTCTGTCGCCCAGGCTGGACTGCGGACTGCAGTGGCGCAATCTCGGCTCACTGCAAGCTCCGCTTCCCGGGTTGACGCCATTCTCCTGCCTCAGCCTCCCGAGTAGCTGGGACTACAGGCGCCCGCCACCGCGCCCGGCTAATTTTTTTGTATTTTTAGTAGAGACGGGGTTTCACCTTGTTAGCCAGGATGGTCTCGATCTCCTGACCTCATGATCCACCCGCCTCGGCCTCCCAAAGTGCTGGGATTACAGGCGTGAGCCACCGCGCCCGGCCGACTTTTCATTTTCTTAACAGTGTGTTTTGAAGAAATGATGTTTTATTTTGGTGATTTTCAAATTATCAGTCTTTTATTTTATGATTTGTGCTTTAAGTATTCAGAGACATCTGTACCCAAGCCAAAGTTACAAAGATTTTACCCTATATTTTTCTTTAGAAATTTTAGTTTAGGGCCTACATTTAAGTCTATTTTACATTTTAAGTTACTTTTTTATATATGGTGTAAGGTTTGAGGTTCATTTCCTTTGTATTTGGATATCCAAAT